>NC_000011.10:44908484-45211515 GCF_000001405.40 Homo sapiens | reverse complement strand
TGCTCCTTGCAGCCGGACACAGGGAGGGGGCCCAGCCTCTGCACATGTGGGTCCTGCTTTCTGGTGACCAAGGGTATGGGCTGATCCCTGTGGCAGGATTAAATGATGTATGGGCTGACCCTACTGACAGGCAAGCCCTCCCTGCCTGGATCTGCGGACTCAACTCAGAACCACCCCCCAGGAAGGTGATGGGGAGGACAGACAGGTTTATCTTACAGTTACCTCATGCCTCCCAGGGGTCCTGGGGGCTCACTTGGGCCAGCTTGGTAAGAGTCCTGTGTCTCTTGGCAGTGTTTGGTGGGACAGCAGCCATCCCCTGAGATCCCAGAGACCTGTCTAGCATGGCCAGTGTTGGAAGGAGTGAGACCCGGCGAGGTGATGCTGCTCCTTCCCTCCCAGGTCCCCGTTCTGCCAAGCCCCTGGCCGAGTGCTGCCGCAGCTGGCCACTGCCAGGAAAAGGAGGGCTGTGAGCCTGCCATGGGGGTGAGCGGGCTCTGCCTGATGGCACACTCGGGCTCCCTGCCAGCCCAGGTTACCTTTGGTGGCCTCATTACATTCAGTCTCAGGGAGATGGAGGGGTGAGCGGAGCAGGATGCAGGGAACAGGCTTTACTGGATGCTGACCCCCCCATTTTTTCTTATCACGGGGTGGAATCCTCTTAAGACTTAGGAAAACACTGATTCACAGGAAGCCAGCAGACCCGGGTTCAAGTCCTGCTTCTGAATTGAGCTCAGGGCCACCTTGGTTTTCAGAGCTTACTTTCTGCATTGCAAGGAAGTTGAACTAAATGGTCTCCATGTTCTTTTCCAGTCCTAAACATCTGACTCTGTGAACTGCCACCTGTCAGGAGCCCCAGCCAAACAGGAAGCAAGTGGATCACAATGGCAGGGGGCCCGGGAAGGGAAGGTGCAAGTGAGTCTTTGCAAAGCACCTTCCCATGGGCTGAGCCACGGCTGCTTCCCTGGGGCCCCTCCTGCCTGGCTCCCACCACTCACGAGCCGGTCAGGCAGACGGCCTCTAGTGGGGACTGCAGCTGGCGGGGCACGGGGGAGATGTGCAGAAGTGGAAAGGAAGGGTTGCAGTCCCTGCGGAGGCCTTTAGTGCTCCCCCTTCTGCTGAGCCCCAACTAGAACTCCAGCCCCAAGGGACACCCGCCTCGGCCGCTGGGGCCCTGGCTTCAAAGTGCATGTGAGACACAGGAAGTAGAGAGGAAAGGCAGGGACAAGTACAGAGGGAGAAGAGGGGTGGGGAGCGGGTGGCGGAGCAGCCAGGAGGATGGAGAGGGAGCTGAGAGGCAGCACACAGAAAAGTGGGGGCAGGCAGCGTGGCTCAGGCAGGGGAGTAATAATAGAGGAACAAAGCAGTCAGGACCAGACACAGAAAGGAACTGATCTTTCCATGGCCCGGCCCGGGCCTTCACAGCTTGGCCGCCTCGTCTCCAGCCCCCTCCCCCGCGCTGCTACACTTGGGCTTTCCTGGCTTCTCACTGTTCCTGGAACGTGCCAAGCGCCTTCCTGATGCGGGGCCTCGTACATGCTGTTCTCTGCCTGCGCGCCTCCCCTCCCCTTCTCCGCGCCCCACGCTGCTGCCTGGCCTGGTTAACTCTTACTCTTCACATCCTAGTCCGCTGGACTTCTTCAGGGAGCCCTCCCCAGTCCCCAGTGGAGCCAGTTTTACCCACTCCTTAACTCTCAGACAGAGCTGCTACATAACCTGCAGGGTCAAATGCAAAATGAAAACGTGGGGCCCCTGGCTCAAAAACTATGAAGAATGTCCAGATGGCGACAGCAGAGCCTGAAACCCCGCGGCCCCTGTGACTGTTCAGGTTGCATGCTCATGAAGTCAGCCCTGCTCTCGGGACCTCCTGGACTCCTGTGTCCTCCATCCCTTCGTTTCCAGTTTACTCGTGCAATTATTTAACGTTGGTTTATTCCTAGGAGTCCAGGGTCTCCCCAAGAGCAGGGCCTGCGTGGGGTTTACACACAGCTGTCTTCCCAGCTCCTAGCACGGCTCTGGCACGGAGATGCTCAGTAAATATTCGAGAATGAATGCAAAAAGGGATGGAGAGGAGAAGAGTGGGAGAAGGAGGGGAGGATGGAAAGAGTGGGCTGGACAGAGAGGGACAGGAGAGAACCAGAGGGAAAGTCGGTGGGAGACTGTGGACTGTAAGCTGGGGGGCAGGCAGCCGGCTGGGTGGCGGGGGGGACTGGTGATACTCACAGCTGGTCGAAGGGCTGTCGGTGCCATCCAGTTCCGCCCTGGGGAAGCCGCGCCCTGCACGGGCCGTGAGCAGCGCCGACTTGATGGCCCTCTCGTGGGCCGTGAGCACGATGGTGGGGGCCCGGCCCCCGGCCCCAGGGCCCGACAGGGACTGCTGCATGAAGGCCAGCTTGTCCTTGGTCCTCCGTTTCATGTCATCCCATCTGTGCTTAATGTCCTTGACGGAGCGGGGCACCTGGCTGACGGAGGTGATTTTCCGGGCTATGCCTTCCCAAATCTTGTCCCTGTCAGCATGGGACAGCCGCATGGTCTCCCTCCCAAAGAGCACTGCTTCATGGTGGGTCACCTCTGTGACAAGAATGTCCAGCTCCTCCTTGGAGAACTTGGGCTTCCTCTTACGCTCAGCCAGGTGTGCCACATTCCTTGGGTTGAATATCCCACAAAGCACAATTGGGTAAATGACCGTCAATGCAGGTGGTTCTCCTTCCTAATTGCTGGCCCCCAGCTGGGGAGCCAGGAGGCACCTGGGGCAACCTGGCCCCCACCACACCCTCCTCCTACTGAGAGGTCCCTTCCACTACTCCTCGGAGGGGAGGGTGGAAAGAAGAGACGGCGTTACATGGGAGGGAGCACTGAACTCAGAGTCGAAGGCCTTGGTTTCAGGGCCTGCTTTAGCTCTTACTAGCGGTGAGAGCTAGGGCAGTTCATGTTCAACCTTTCACACCTTATTCTCCCTGTCCAGAATAACAACCACAACTCTTCGGGTTTATTACTAAGGAGGGAAACACATCATGATGTAAGGGGCTTAAAATCTCTTAAAGATAGCAGTAAAGGATCTTATTGAAATTAGGATTAGCCCATTGCCTCTATAAAGCGATATTTACCTACAGCCCTACAGCTGAATGAATGGCTCGGAAGAATACGTAACCAGGGAAACTATTTACACTGGCTACCGTTGGGTGTAGCAGTGACAATGCCATGATTAGGGTGTGGCCACAGAAAGCTTATTCTGCCTAGTGGCTCTCTTCCCCTTCCCCGTCCCGGTCAGTTCTCCAAGCCCCCACCTTTGCATATGTGCAGGCAAACAGGTTTCCTTCCCATGGGAGTGCTTTCTTCGGGGGTGGGCTGCTGTGACTTTTTGGTAGAATTTGAGAAGCCCACGACTGTCCTGAGGGAGTCAAGTTCCACTTTGGTGGACACCAGGGGGACCTGGGATTCCCTCTCAACTGAGCAGCCAGAGGCCCTGGGCAAGGGGCACAGCATGGCCCTTCCATCCCACTTGGCTCCTGCTCTGGCTTTGGAACTTGATTTCTCCACATCGTGGCTCTGTCACCCTTTTAACTAGTGATAAAAGGTGAAAAAATCCACCCAAGAGAGGACATGAGGGTATGGAGGAAAGCTCAGAGCGCATTCACTCCTTGGTTTCCTTCTGAAACCAAGAGGGGAAGGCCGGCGGCACCAACATCCTTCAGCCCTCACCTTCCTACTCAAGCACCCAAAACACCAGGGCCCAGAAGATGGGAAGAAGGCTGGGGGCCTCATTACCCAGTCCAAGATGGTGGCAGGAATATGGGACTAGACCTGGAACTAGAGACTGAGTCTCCTTGGGCCAAGCCATGGGACTCGTGTGAACCCAGTCTCCTTCTCCATAAAACTAGGGTGACAATTCTAGTGTCACTGTCCAGGGCTATCAGGAGGACTTAATGTGGGTGTCTCAATCTTGCCACTATTGGCAGTTGGGGCTAGAAAATTTTTCGTTGGGGGGAAGGGGTGTCCTGTGTAATGCAGGATTTTATCAACATCCTTGGCTTCTATCTGATAGCATCCAACCATCAAACATGTCTCCAGGCCTTGCCAAATGCCCCCAGGGGCACAAAATAGTGCTCGGTTGAGAACCACCACAGACAGATCACCTAGATGGGGCTGTCATAAAGATAAGCTCAACACGACAGTGCCCATTCGCCTCCTGGCCCACCATTAATTTTGTTAAGAAACTAACAGAGTCCATTCAATCATCCCCAAGCGGTGCCATGACAGTGCAAAGGAGAGCATCTGCAAGTCAGAAAGAGCCACACCACGGAAGCTGGACATGAAGGGAAAGGAGGATTCCCAGGATTAACAGCTTTCCCGTCACTCCAACAGCAACAGGAGGGGCGTCTCCGTGGCAACAAACTGCATCCCTAACCCAAACCTGCTCTTTGAGTGGTCATAAGATGAGAGCCCACCAGCTGTGACTACCCAGATGCCATCTTGAATCAGGACAGGCTGGGAGCAGAACAGGACAGAAACCATGCTAGCAAGGTGGCAGTAGCAGAAACCCCCAAACCCCTGCTCACCAGTGCCCATCCAGGCCCAGGAAGCCACGCTTCACCTGGTCCCTTGTGCACAAGCAGGAAGAACACCGACCTAGGATTACAGAGCCAGGAGTTCAAATCCTGATTCTGCTACCCTGACTGTATGCTCTTAAGCAAGACCTTGCCCTGCTCTCAGCTTGACCACTGTGGCATGAAGATCTGTACAGAGCAGTGGTTCTCAATGCTAGTGGCACATCAGAATCACTAGCTTTAAAAATACCAAGGCCCAAGGCCAATCCCCAGCCCAATTAAGTCACAATCTGCGGGGTGCCAGAGGATAGATAAGTTAGTTTGGATGATAGCTCCCCTTTTTTGGGGTTTTGAGAAGGCCTTGTCCCCAGGGGGAAAGATCAGAGATGGGTGAAAGAGTGGAACAGATTCGGTTCTATGGGCAAAGCTCCCGGCGCCTTAAAAGCAATAGCACAGAAAGCCTGATTCCCAAGTGGACACACGCACGGTCTCCCCTGCTTGCCTGGAGCCAGGCTGCAGCCACAGGGCAGGCAGCACAGCAGCACAGGCTTGGGGTCCAAACTGAGCAGCCGCCCAACAGCCTGACTAGACACCACAACCCAGTGTCCCCAGACACAATCCTGGCCCCTTTGAAGGCCCATGTCAACGAACCCCTCCTCTTTCATCTGGGCCTCTGCAGCACATTGTGCCTCGGTGCAAAAACTACACTGGAAAGTCACCTCTGTGGTAGGAGGTGTGAGCCCGGGAAGGGCCAGCGGGGGTGGGGCATGGGGTGTGGTGGGGCAGGGCTGGGTGATCCACCCTGGTACCCATTTCACAGTCTGACTCAAACTAGGTGCTCAGTACACAGGTGATGAACTGTAAGTGCTCAGCTGACCTGGACCCCGTGGCAGTGAGAAGAGAAGGCAGTCAGGGTGTCAAGCCACCTCCCTGGGGCCACTTTCAGGGCAGTGTCGGATCAGCTGTGTCCAAGGAGGTTGGGGGCAGTCGGTGCTATTCTCCACACTGCAAGGCAGGGGGCCCGCTGGTCTCTGGAGCCTCTGTTCTGCACCCATCAAACGGCAATGAGAACACCTTCCCTAACCCATAAGAGGGCGAACGCTAAAGTAATCTGGGAGGTGTGAACTGCTGCTCAGCCACTCTCTGATAGGAGTATAGGTGGGCAGTGGAGCCACTGGGAAGGACACAGGAGCCCTCATCACATACTCTACGCCTCAAACCTGCTTCTCCTCATTTGCTTAGAAAGTCTCCGAGTTTAAGACAGCACACTCCTTTTTAGGAAGTTGCCCTCTCTCCAAGTACAATCCCACCATCAGCCTCAAGGCCTCATGGGTCAGAAAACTGTGCAAATGCCGGCAGAGGGCCCCAGGCCCATGGTGTGGCTGTGCCCCTGACTCCAGACATCTGAGGCTTCCTTCCCCTCCCACCCAGATCCAAATCTCCAGCCAGTGCTCCTAGGTCCCAGAGAGAGGCCACCAAGCAGGCAACAAGGCATGTCAGATCTCCCACCCCTGTCCACAAACCCCACCAGGCAGAGTCCCTCGCACATGGCACAGACCATCAGCATCACGCTGGACCCATGGTTCTGGGCTCAGCTCAGCCATCCCTGGGTGACCCTGCCTGGGGCCAGTCTCCTGCCTCCTCTGGTTGGCATTTAAGAAAACTTCTGGTGCAAAATTCTGTCCCAAACACCGGAACAGGGTAAAGTTGACACTTCAAAGTACTCAAACATAGGCAGCAACACTGTCAAAAACTGAGCTGAAGACTTTGTCAGAGCCCTTTCTTCCATGGAGGCTGTTTAAACAACTGCTGGGGCTGCACTGGGACGATTCTCACACCACCCCTGCAGGAGCCTGCTCTGAGGTGTCACAGTCCTAGGTGGGGGACAGTCTCCTCCTCCTCCCTAGGAATGCTGCCAGGAGCCTGGGGCCCAGGACCTCCAGACACACTGGCAAGTGAGCAGCCCGAGCGGTCCCTGCATCCCAACGGCCTGACCACACGCCGTCCTCTAGAGCCCCCTGATGGAGGCCTAGGGGAAAAGGTGGGTCCTTCAGAGCTAGATGCATCCAAACCCTGCAAACGGCAGCCTCCAGAAGTCTCCACCACTGGAGCTCCCACAGGTCCAACACACTCCCTTGGCTCCTTTCCAGAGGCCAGGCAAGACCCCCGGGACATCAGCAGAGCAGGGCTCACCTCATCCAGTTGGCTTTGGTCTCGTCTGAGCCATCTATGGACTTATAGCGGTTGTTCTTGTCCACAATCTGGAAGAAAGAGAAAGAGTCTAGGATGGGCCATTCTAGAGGGGTTCTCATGTCCCTGGGCTCCTTCCCAACCAGGGCCCAGGGCCTGGTCCCACCTGCTCCCTCCCCCTCCCCCTGAAATGTCACCACTGCTACAGAACTGAAATGCAGGCTGGGTTCAGAATCTCTGCTACCTGCCCTCCACCCATTCCCATTCTTCTAGAGACACTGGAGATCCTATTCTCCTAGACACACAAAGCCCTTCAGAGGTGTTTTGAATTCCTGGAAGATGGGAAGCAGATGGGACCATCTCCCTCCTCTGTCTTGATGGAATACTCAGCAACATGGCTGACAAGGGGCTTTTCCACTGGCCTCGCACTGCAACTACAAAGGCTAAACCAATCCTTCTCTCCTTACAGTTTCTGTGGGAGACAGAGGCCACTGCTGGATGACTGAATATATGTGATTTGAGAGGGTTCCTCCTCTCCCCAACCTCTAAATGTTCAAGAGCCTCAGGGTTTGAAGCTGGCTGGTTTCTCTTTCATTTCATCATCACTCTTTAATCAGAGTTCAGCTGGGTATGAAATTCTAGGCTAAGTTTTATTTTCTTTCAGCACTCTGAAGACTGCTAAAAAGACTGCCATCGGCGCAAAAGCAACAGCTGTCAGTCTAATGTTGTTCTTTTGTGGATAATCTGTCTGTGGTAAATTTTAAGACTTTCCTTTTACTCTTGATTTTCTGCAGTTTTGCTATGTGGTTTTGAAGTGAAGATTTACTTTCCTGAAATTCTCCTTACTACTTGATGAACACCTTTCAACTCCAAGACTCATATCCTTTTCAATTCTGGAAAATTCTCAGTCATTAGGCTTTTGAATACAGCTTCTCGGCCATTTTCTCCATTCTCTTTCAGTACAATTTCTGTTAAACACGTATGGCAAAAAAAATTAGCTGGGTGTGGTGGCGGGCACCTGTAGTCCCAGCTACTTGGGAGGCTGAGGCAGGAGAATGGTGTGAACCCGGGAGGCGGAGCTTGCAGTGAGTCAAGATGGCACCACTGCACTCCAGCCTGGGTGACACAGCAAGACTCCATCTCAAAAAAAAAAAAAAATTATGGGAGTAGCTCAATATATCCTTCATGTCTTTTAACTACTCTTCCATATTTTTCTCTTTATTATTCTGGGCACTCTCTGGAAAAATATCTCAGAGCTCTCTTCCAGTCCACTAATTATCTCTTTGGCTGTGTCTAATCCGGGGTTTCTCCCATCTACTGAGGTTTTTCCAACTTTCTTTGTTTTTTTTTTTAATGAGTACCTTTATTTTGATGAATATTTTTCATTCCCAGAATTTTTAATTAGTTTTTTTTTCAGGTCCACCCTTTTATACATCCTGCCTCTTTCTGTTTCATAGTGACATGTTCCTTCTTTTTCCTTTCTAACAGCTTTATTGAGGCATCATTGACATATAAGGTACAACTTGATAAGTTTTGACACATGAGCTAGATCAGGGTTGGTCCCCTGAAGACTTGGTGAAGCAGAGCCTGGGAGAACTCCTGGGAGATGGGAAACAGATGGATAGTCACCATGCCTAGACTCCTACCTAACCTAGTGCCATTCATAAGCCTCCATCGTTCTCTTCAAAGCAGCAGAGAAGCCCTTTATCAATGTAAATCAGATCATGTCCCGCACCAGCTCAAAATGGCATCCACTGCACTTACAATAAAACTCATATTTATGGCCACAGCCTTCATACCCTACAGGCCTGCCCCCGAACTTACCCTGGGCCTCTCACTTCCTTTTCACTTTTCTGCAGCCTTGATGCCCTGAGGGTGAGCCTAGAGCCTCTTTTATCTACCCTTAAAAATAACAATAATCATGAAATATTTCAAGCATTCAGAAATTATAAAGAAGAATGCAGCTGACAACCCTGTGCCCATCAGCTAAAGCCAAGAAAAATTAACACGAGTTATATTTGTCTCAGGCCTCTCTCTCCTTTTGCTTCAAGAAAATGCTGAGATGCAGTGGAAGACCCTCTCTGCCTCCAACTTCTTCTCTTTCCTTTCCTCCCTCCAAGAGTAACCACCATCCTAGAGATGGTGGGAAGCCTTCCCATTTTTATGACACAAGGACTTTTCAAAGAGCAACATACAGGACTGTTTGCATGTGTGTAAAGTTTACAGAAATGGCACCCAAGTGAACATATCCTTTTTCAATTTTTTCCCACTAAGCTTTGAATATGTGGTCCCTT
The DNA here is from genome assembly GCF_000001405.40 of Homo sapiens. NCBI lineage: Eukaryota > Metazoa > Chordata > Mammalia > Primates > Hominidae > Homo > Homo sapiens. The sequence continues at coordinate 45,202,487 of NC_000011.10, read as the reverse complement.
CTTAGCTTTTGGGTCTCAGATTATGTGAGTTTGACAGAAGAAGCCTCTCCTAGCCTTGACCCTAAAGGAAGTTCTTCCTGGCCATACCTCATCCCTGGTCTATCATGGCATTATCTCTGTTACATCATCCTGTAACTTCCCTTAAGAGCCCTAATTGCAGTGAGCATTTTGTTGATATCTATTTGTCGATTTGGTAACTGACTGCCTCCCTGGCTAGACCGTAAGCTAATGAGTGCAAAGCACGTGGCTGCCCTGATCACAATGGTGGCCCTGGTTCCTAACGCAGGGAGGGCATGGCACATGGTGGAATACTGGTTGAATGAAAGAATGATGGGAAAAAGAGCCTTTTAAGTAAAAAGCAAGTTAAAGAGAAAAAAATTGGTTAAGTGTGATGCTCACACCTGTACTCCCATCACTTTGGGAGGCTGAGGCCAGAGAATTGCTTGAGGCCAGGAGTTTGAGACAAGCCTGGGCAACATAGCGAGACCCTGTCTCTACAAAGAATTTTTTTTTTTTGAGACAGAGTCTCGCTCCATCACCCAGGCTGGAGTGCAGTGGTGCACCTCGGCTCACTGCAAGCTCCGCCTCCCAGGTTCACGCCATTCTCCTGACTCAGCCTCCCAAGTAGCTGGGACTATGGGTGCCTGCCACCATGCCTGACTAATTTTTTTTGTGTTTTTTTTTAGTAGAGACAGCGTTTCACCGTGTTAGCCAGGATGGTCTTGATCTCCTGACCTCGTGATCCGCCCACCTCGGCCTCCCAAAGTGCTGGGATTACAGGCATGAGCCACTGCGCCCAGCCTCTCTACAAAGAATTTTTTAAAAAATTAGCCAAGTGTGGTAGTGCACGCCTGTGGTCCCAGATACTCAGGAGGCTGAGGCAGGAGGATTGCTTAAGCCCAAGAGTTTGAGGCTGCAGTAACCCATGATTGTGCCACTGTACTCAAGCCCGGGTGACAAAGCAAGATCCTGTTTCTAAAAGAAAAGAAAAGAAGAAAGAAAGAAGGAAAGAAGGAAGGAAAGAAACAAGAAAGGAAGGAAGGCAGGAAGGAAGAAAGAAGAAAAAATTATAAAATGTTAAGATTTTAGTAAAAATGAAATGAGTGCTATGCTGGAGCCAGCTTATGTTGACTGAGAGCCAACTGTTAAATTTTCAGGAATTTTGTGAACCAGTTGTCAAACACAGCCATTATTGAAAAACTAAATGATATAAACTTACAATTCAATAAATGATATATTTTTAAAAGGCAATAAATACTCAAAACTTAACCATTCCCAATTATTTTACTACATTTGACTGATGATTTTCTATGCTCTCTAGGGTACTGGCCTCTACTGTAGCTGCAGAGTAGAAATACCATACAATAGTTGCGATTGCATATTTCTTCCCAATTGCACATTCAGTGATTTCATGCTAGTAGCTTGAAATCAGCCATGGGGGGAGCATTTACACCATGGAAATTGGCACATTGCCTCACCATCACCATCACCATCACCATCAGTTGTAAACATCTACCAGCACACCACTATGCATGTTTACATGAGCATAGATAGTCTAGGAGATACACATCAAAATCTCAACTCTCATTACTCTGGAGGGGAGGAAAGAGGGAAGCAGGGATGCTTTTGCTTAATTTGTCTATAAGACTGTACTGCCTTTGTGTTTTAAAAATCTCAGAAAACTAAAAAGAGAAAACATGCAACTCAAGCTTCCCCTTCCATGGCAGTTTCCCCAAGTGATGCTCCAGTCTGCAGGGACCCTCCCCTGGAATCTCAGAGAACCCTGGATTTTATCATAACACTACTCCCCCTACATTATCATTTCTGATTGCTCCCCTGTCTCCTGGGGGAAAAGAGAAGCATCTCTAGTTCCTACAGCCAGTAGTAGGAGCACATGGAGGGTAGTAAGAGCCATGGAGCCAGAGGAATTGGCTAGAATTTCAGCTTCACTGCACACAAGCTGAGTGGCCTTGGGCAGATCTTTGCTGACCATGCCTCAGTTTCCTTATCTATAAAATTGGATAAAAACCAACCTTGTAGCACTGCTGTCATAATGGAAGTGGAAGACACTCAGTGAACAGTCACTGTTAGCACTGTGATCATAATCGGGATTATTAAGAGTTCAAATATTAATTACTAATTTGGGGTGGTGGGAGGCCTGTGGTTCAACACTGAGTTGTAATCAGTCTTGGCAGTTTCATCTGGACAGAGAGGACTGGGTGAGGGCTGTGAAGGACATAGGAACCGCCTGAGACCACTGTCTGCTGGGTTCAGGTCTAGAGCTTTTCTGACAGGTGTTTTTGGCTTATCTTTCCCACCAATTGGGATTGTCTCATATCAAGCATTTATTCACTCATTCATTCATTCAACCAACAAATGTCATGGAGGGAGAGGCCACAGTGACAGGCTCTGGGGATAAAATGTTGACCCAGGCAGAGAGTGTCTTTGCTCTTAGAAAGCTCACAGCCTAGCGGGACGCAGAAGAGAGGCCACTGTGATATGGCATGGCCAGTCCCATGGTGGAGAATTATGTGGGATTATGGGATCTCTGAGCTGCAGCCCTGGACCTGGGAATCTACTGAGGACCTTTTCTGGGGACATGGAGTCTAAGCTGAGATCTTAGAGAAGAGAGAGATGGTGCCCTAGGCAGAGGGTGCAGGGCAGGCAGGATCTCGCAGGGCCTGTGGACCACGTTACATGCCACTGATGAGCCCAGGCCATCCTGAGTAGAGAGCAGGCTGTGGGCTTCCTATTCTGGGACTGACATGGGTCCAGGAATGACAGCAGGGCCAGATGCTCAGGACAAGCCCCCCAGAAGACTGGTCTCCCAGTGACTTCCCTTGCCTTATCCCTCAAGGTCAACTCCTTGGTCCCTCTGAACTCAGCACTTTGGACCAGCCCAGAAGCTCTGAGCATTGTGGTACAAGGCCTTTGATAACCCGGAACCAGGCTGATAACCTGGGGAACCTGCATGGTGAGAGGCTCCCTTAGCCTGGAGAAGAAGAGGCCTGAGAAAGCAGAGCCATCATCATCAGATGTGGGAAGGACGACCATGTCGTGGGGACAGGATGGTTAGAACGCGCATGCATCTAGAGGGATACAGGCCTGAACTCAGCACAAAAAGTGATGGTCTAACATGCAGAAGAGTCCTAAGATAGGACAAGAACCCTGTGAGGTGGTGAGCTTCCTGTTAATGGGAGTGTTCAACCAGGGGATGATTTGCTAGCAGGGAGGCTGAAAAAAGGACTTCCTCACTCAGTGGAAATCTGTCCTAAATGACCTCAAAGTTCTGTCTAAAATGAAGACTGAGAGATGCTCATAAAAATAACATAAAAGCATGGAGTTTGGCCCCCTGAGCGAAGCATGGTCCAGGTGGATCCACATGCTATTTTAGACCATGGTAATAATTAATAAAGACAATAAAAATAAAGCCTCATTAACAGCTACCACTTATGGAGTACCTTCACTATGTCAAGTGCTTTGACACACTATTAATTCTCACAGCTACTATGATTATCCTCCTTTTACAGATTGGAAAACTGAGGCTGAGGGCTGTTGGTAACCTGCCTGAGGCCACAAAGGAATTTTCCACACGGGAAGCTGGAGTTTAAACTTGGGTCTCTGACAGTACAGTCCATGCTTTAACCACTTTGTAGAGCAATGGATGTTAGCCCCAAGATTTTCCTAATGACTCCATTAACCACCCTCAACCATTCCTGAAACCCAGAATCAACCAGGACTCTTCTGGGCCCCTCTCTGAACTTCCAGCTTTGCCTCTGAGCAAATCTGCTATCTGCAGGTTGGCATTTTAATAGGGAAGAATGCTCTGCTTTGCAACAGAATGTCTGTCTGCCCCAGTCGAAGATTCACTGTTGGGCTCCTCTAAATGGTGTCATGACCAGATGCTGCAGAGATGGATTTTCAAAAACCTGATTTGTTTGCAACTTTCCAGGAATTCATTGAATCCATAAAGCATTCATAATTCAATCCTGCATTTCTTCATAGAGCAAAGTAGTTACAAGAATGACTGGTGAAGCCATTCACAGTTGATGAAGCACTTTGGCATACCTCAAATGCTCCTCTCCCAAGCCCCAGGAGGCAGATGGCATCACTTCTTTTCTCTAGCTACTCCCCAGCCCAGCCAACTGAAGACCTGAGAGATAGAGATAACCTGAACTTGAACTTGAACTCTGGCCTCTGCTATGGCCACAGACATGGAGTGAAGAATACTTAAGCTAGATGAGGGCATCTGAGATTATCCATGCTCTAGGTTTCTAACCTGGTGTCTGGGAAAGGGGGCATCCCTTAAAATGTGTGCAACATTTTGTGAACATTGGCACGTGAGTATAACTTCCTAGGTGATTCAAAAAAGCTCAAGAACCATGATTTAACCCATCTGCCCTAATTTAACTGATAAGGAAATGAGAACTTCCTTTTATTAATCCAAAACTTCCTTTTATTATTATTATTATACTTTAAGTTCTAGGGTACATGTGCACAACATGCAGGTTTGTTACATATGTATACATGTGCCATGTTGGTGTGCTGCACCCGTTAACTCGTCATTTACATTAGGTATATCTCCTAATGCTATCCCTCCCCCTTCCCCGCACCCCACGACAGGCCCTGGTGTGTGATGTTCCCCACCCCGTGTCCAAGTGTTCTCATTGTTCAATTCCCACCTATGAGTGAGAACATGCAGTGTTTGGTTTTCTGTCCTTGCGATAGTTTGCTCAGAATGATGGTTTCCAACTTCATCCATGTCCCTACAAAGGACATGAACTCGTCCTTTTTTCAAATTTCTTTTCGGTTTAGACCGCTTTTTGAGGTATGACTGGCATACAAAAAGCTGTATGTATTTAACATATCTAACTTGATGAGTTTGGAAATAAGTGTACACCTGTCAAACCGTCGCCACAAACTATGATATAAACATATCCATTACCTCCAAAAGATTCCTCCTGCTCTTATTATTATTATTATTGTGATAATACTTAACATAAGATCTACCCTTTTAGCAAATTTTTAAGCATGCAATACAGTAAACTATAGGCTCTATGCTGTACAGTAGATCTCTGGGACTTACTCATCTTGCATAACTGAAACTTTATACCCTTGGACTAATATTTCCCTATTTCCCTCTTTCCCAGCCACTGGAAACCACCATTCTACTCTCTGTCTCTATGAATTTGACTATTTCAGATTCCTCCTATAACTGGTATCAGGTAGTATTTGTCCCGTGTCTGGCTTACTTCACTTAGCATAATGTACTCCAGGTTTACCCATGTTGTTGCAAATGGCAGAATTTCCTTCTTTTTACTGCTTAAAAAGACTCTGGAGACCTAGTTAATGAGGCATGTTGACAAACAATCCTAAATTCCACATCCAGGTTTTATACACTTTGATTTCACCTCCCACCCTCAACCATTCCTGAAACCCATCTGATGATAACTGTGGATACTAAAGCTGGCTGTGATCTGCTCATCACATGCTAAGTACTAGGCATGCAACAAGCATTAGTATTTACAACAACTCATAGGGGTGTGTTCCATTAGACTGTGCATCCTCATTTTATGGATAAAACCACTGGAGCTCCGAGAGAATAGGTGAGCAGCCCAAAGACACATTTCTCGCAGGTGGTAGAGCCAGGATCGGAATCCAGGAACAGAGCCTATAACCAACTCAGACAGCTCTTCCCTTCACAAGTCCTTCTTTTCTGCCTGTAAAAGGTGCCAGGACTATGGACCAGCCTCAGGACCAACCACCCGCTACCCTGACCACACACAGCCTTGCTCTCCTTGGTAAGGAGGCAGGCTCCTGGTGAAAGGCAATAGCATTCTGAGTACTAGTTTGGACCCTTGGGGAAGAACTAGAGAAGCAGCTGTCAAGCAGACTGGCCTCAATCCCATCTCTTAGTTATGCCTTTTTATGAATGGTCTTGGGCAAGGGTGAGAGAGAGATCCAGGAGTATCTGGATCAGGAGTTTGCTGCCTATCTAGGGGGCAGCAAAAATGTAAACTGGAATGAGCCAGAGAGAAATCAGATAGAAATACACTTTAATTATCATGCTGCAGATTGGAAGAGTCTTCCAAGTTAACCTGGCAGAAGAACGTAGTTAACAGGGCTGACATGAAAAGCACCCCATGGAGCTGTTAAGTACACAACCGGCGCATCCATCCTGGGTAGCTCTCCCCAAATAACCACTGAAATGAACAAGAGATAGAAAAAAGGCAGAGCAAAACCCTCATGCTTCACAATGAGGTATCACTTCACATCCACTAGGATGGCTAGAATAAAAAAGTCAGAGAAAAACAAGGGTTGACAAGAATGTGGAGAAATCAGAGCCCTCATATACAACTGGTGGGAAAGCAAAATTGATCAGCTGCTTTGGAAAACAGCCTGGCAGATCTTCAAATGATGAAACCTTGAGTTACCATTCCACTCCTAGGTATTATGCCCGAAAGAAATAAAAACACGTGTCCGCATGGAAACTTGTACACAAATGTTTACAGCAGCATTATTCATAATAGCCAAAAGGCAGAGACTGTCCATCAATGGATGAAGAGATCAACAATATATGGAACATTTTTAGGCCATAAAAGGGAATGATACGGCCAGGTGTGGTGTCTCATGCCTGTAACCCCAGCACTTTGGGAGGCCAAGGTGGGTGGATCACTTGAGGCTAGGAGTTCAAGACGAGCCTGGCCAACATGCAAAACCTCATCTCTACTAAAGTACAAAAAAAAAAGAGCTGGGCATAGTGGTGTACACCTGTAATCCCAGCTACTTGGGAGGCTGAGGCAGGAGGATCACTTGAACCTGGGAGACAGAGGCTGCAGTGAGCCAAGATCGAGCTACTGCATTCCAGCCTGGGTGACAGAGAGAGATGATGTCTCAGATAAAAAAAGAAAAAAAAAAAGAAAGAAAGTAAAAGGGAATGATACATGCTGCCACACAGATGAACCTTGAAAACATGAAGCGAAGTGAAAGAAGCTTGTCACAAAGACCACATACTACATAATCTCATTTATATGAAAGGCCAGAATAGAAAAATCCATAGGGTCAGAAAGTAGATTAGTGGTTGCCTAGGGATGGGTGGGGGTGAGGGGTTGAAGATGTGGGTTAAGGGGATTGGAAGAGGGGAACGACAGCCAGAGGATACAGGATTTGATGAAACCGACTGTGATGATGGTTGCACATACCTGTGAATATAGTCAAAATCATTGAATCATACATTTTAAATGGGTGAATTATATAGTATGTGAATTACATCTCAATAAAGCTGTTAAAAAATAAAATCTGCCAAAGGTTCATTGTTACCAATCAAACAAGGAGAAGGGAACGATCTTACGTCCTACATATCCTATGCTTGAACAGTGACCCCCTAAAGAAACAGGTTTCCATGCAAGTGGGAAGACCAGCAATGGGATGCCAGGAAGGCATTCTAGATATTCACATCTGAGGCCTGGAGATGATGAACTGGAGATCTAGTTAAAAGTCCTGGCCCCATAAATGACCTGTATAACCTTAGATAAGTAACATGGCCTTTTAAGCCCCAGTTTCCCAATCTTTAAAAAGAAGATAATAACTGGCCGGGCGCGGTGGCTCACGCCTGTAATCCCAGCACTTTGGGAGGCCGAGGCGGGCGGATCACGAGGTCAGGAGATCGAGACCATCCCGGCTAAAACGGTGAAACCCCGTCTCTACTAAAAATACAAAAAATTAGCCGGGCGTAGTGGCGGGCGCCTGTAGTCCCAGCTACTTGGGAGGCTGAGGCAGGAGAATGGCGTGAACCCGGGAGGCGGAGCTTGCAGTGAGCCGAGATCCCGCCACTGCACTCCAGCCTGGGCGACAGAGCGAGACTCCGTCTCAAAAAAAAAAAAAAAAAAAAAAAACAGAAGATAATAACTATCCCACAGTACTGTTGTGAGATATACAAATCATTTAGTACTCAGTGAACAGCAGCTATTATTGTTACTACTATTATTGTTGTTATTGTTGTTCATCAACCCTAACTAGCATCTTTGGAGGACCCACTGGGGTTTGGAGTGCTGAATTAGGTTCAGAGAGCCTAGTTCAACAAGAGCTCTCCTTGGGGAATTTTCAAACACCAAGAAACCCCAAATCTTCTGCGGCAAAGCCAGGAAGTTTACTAAAAATTAGTGTCTCTCAAACTAGGGTCTTTGGATATATTCTCAGGATCTGAATGTTTTCTCTAAGAATTTTTAATTCCATGTTTTCATTTAAAAAAATCAATATGCGGGAATCCTCATGAGATTTCTGCACCCGCAAGAGTACTGCATTTATGGCTGAGGTGGCATCCGTGTCAGATTGAATCCCTGGCCCCAGCTCTTCAGCCATCCGTACCACCTTTTGCCACAGGATTCTGAACTAGACTGTTTAACAGGCAGCCTGCACTTCTTTGCTCCTTGACCTTACGTTCAACTGTGAAATTGATGTAGCCAATGAGATATTAGCAAACATGATATGAGCAAAGCCTCAAAATGTAGAAAAGCTCCCCCAGGGAGCCCTTGCTCCTTCAGCTGGGGCCCAGAACAGACATGCTCCAAGTGTCTGGAGCAGACCTGGCTCCAGAGAGAGAAGCCAAGAACCCCCAGCAGCTGGAGTCCGGGCAGCCCAGCAAGCCCAGCTATGTCAGCCAAACTGCAGCCAACCAGCAGATACACAAGTAGAAATGAGGAACGGCAGCTGACCAGCAGATACGTGAGCAAGAGTAAATGATTGTCGTTCTATGTCAGGGCTCAGCAAACTACGGCTTGTGGGCTAATTCCAGCCCACCACCTGTTTCTGCATGGCCCACCAGGCTAAGAATGATTTTTAAATTGTTGAAAATAAATCAAGAGAAAAACAATATTTCATGATGTGAAAATTATATGGAATTCAAACTTCACTATATATAAATAAACTTTTATTGGAACATGGCACACTGATGGCTGCTTTTGCACCATGATGGCAGAATTGAGTCATTGAGACAGACACTGTATAGTGTGCAAAACCTAAAATATTCACTATCTAGCCCTTTACAGAGAACACTTGCTGACCCTTGTTCTATGCCACTGGGTTTTTAGGTAGCTTGTTTTACCCCAACAGTTGACCATACAACCCCAATTATGACTACTTGCTATGAGCCAACAAAAAAAGAACAGATATAAACTTAATATGTAAATGTTGCACTCCGGCAAAGCAAAGGCCAAGACACATCATGGCAGTTGCAATAACAAAGATAGATGGGTGTGATGGCACACTCCTGTGATCGCAGCTACTCTGGAGGCTGAGGCAGGAGGATGGCTTAAGTCCAGGAGTTTGAGGTTATAGTGAGCTATGATCTTGCCATTGCACTCAGCCTGGGCAATAGAGTAAGTTCCCATTTCTAAATAAATAAATACATACATAAATAAAAGATTTCCCAGTGTTTCAAATAGAGACAAATAGTAGGAAAGTAAAGATATCACACTGAACACAAAAGTACAGGCATTCCAAACTCCAAAGACTCTTGCTGTGTCTCAGTAGTCACTACGATATTCGCCTTATAAATAGCAATTTTGTTTCAGTGACACATCATCAACTATCCCATTAGAATGACTTTGTTAATGTGTATTATGTTGAGGTTTTTGTAGTTAATTTTATATGTGTAAACTTGTTTTGGCTTTACAGTTGTTTAAAAGTTATAAGTACAAGACACTTTGTGTTTACCAAGCTATATGTTTATACCTTTTTAAGTAACATGAAAATAAAATTAATGTAACATGAAGACTCCAGGAACATTAAAAATCACCTGAACTTAACACTGTTCAGGTGTGAGAAACACAGCTACAGTAGAATGGACTGGAAAGCCAAGAAATAGAGGAGGTCAGGTTAGGAGCTGGTCTGTACTGGAAATATTATACAGGTTCAGAATAATTTTTCATGTTCTACTTTTGCTCTGATACAATAGATGTACAGACTTGGCTCCAGCCAGAACTGGTTCATGAGCATATTACATTTTCCTGGGGAAATCTTTGGTTTGGTTTGTGATTCAATAACTAAACTACCAGCACTTATAAAACAGCTACACAAGCTGAGCCCATTTAATGCTTCTGATATTCAGAATCTTTGGATTGAGGTATTCATTTTTACTCCTGGAAAAGCTGATATTGAATCAACAGTGTTTTATGATCCATTGCATCTGAGAACACAAGAAAAGTGACTTTCACTCTAGTCTCATCTTCCACTTTTCCTTCTAAACACACTTGGTACCTCTGTTATACCCTAATATTAATACCATCCCCACCTGACTGTTACGTGTGTGCCCCAGGGCCTTTGTAAATTCCATGACCACTGCTATGCTGCGTTCCCTCAGTTTCTGACATGGTAGGACATTTGCATCAACTCATCCATCCCTCCCTCAAAACCTAGTTCGGCTAATGAGAACACATGGACACAGGGAGGGGAAAGTCACACACGGCGGCCTGTTGCGGGGGTGGGAGGTGAGGGGAGGGAGAGCATTAAGACAAATACCTAATGCATGGGAGGCTTAAAACCTAGATGACGGGTTGTTAGGTACAGCAAACCACCATGGCACATGTATACCAATGTAATAAACCTGCAGGTTCTGCACATGTATCCCAGAACTCAAAGTAAAATAAAATAATAATAATAGTAATAATAATAATAATAATAAAACCTAGTTTGGCTTAGAAGCAAGGACACCCCAGTAGCAATTGCACACCTACCATTCAGAGATTTTGGCTCCTAAACACCATTTCCCACTGAAAGGAATCACAGCTCCTACGAGAGACAGTGGGAATATCTTTTTGTGCCAGAAAGTAAGGAAAAAGTGCTAAAATAATGATGGGGATGTGTCAAAAGAACAAGGAGCCAGTTTGAAAGCGTTCCCACTGGCCAAATCTAGGGCAATTTAAACATCAAAATGAATAATGACAGACATGGATTCCAACACATTGAATAAAAAAAGAATTCATGTTCATATGAATACTAAAAATAGCTTTAAATGAGGATTGAGTGGGGGTGAAGGTTGAGCACTATCTTTTTTAAACAGAAGAATGTCAAATAATAAATGTAGAAGAGAAAAAATAGAAAAATCATTTTAACCATGAATAATAATTGATACAGACAAGAATCATCAATAGTTGTTAAAACCATTGAGTAAAAGACAAGACAAACTGCCACCAGGTGCCTCCTGATGGCACACCGTGAGAAAGACCTAACATTGCTTGTGCCAAAAAGCTGTAATCGGAATCCACCATGAAGAAACAATCAGACAAATCTAAACTGTGGAACATTATGCAAACAACTAGCCTGAACTTTTCAAAAGTATCAATATCATGAAGAAAAAAAACAATACAGGGGAGACTTTTCTAGAATAAAGGAGACTAATGAGATGTGACAACTAAATGCAATGTGTGATACCTGCACGGGTCCTGGATGGGGAAAAAACCACAAAGGATGTTACTAATGGCAATTAGGGAAATCTGAATACGAACTATAGCTGAGACAGTATTGTATCCATGTCAAATTTCCTGGGTGTAATCATTATATGGTGGTTAAATAGCTCAGGGGTCAGCCAACTATGGCTGTAGGTCAAATCCAGCCCCCATTGTCTGTTTTTATACAGCCTGCAAGCTAAGAATCATGTTGCATTTTTTTAATGACTAAAAAATTATTTTTATGTAATTTTATTTCTATGACTTTCAAATTTCATTTGAAATAATATGCAATTCAAATTTCAGTGTTCATATAAAGTTTTATTGAAACATAGCAACACTCATTCATTCATGTATCATCTATGACTGCTTTTGCAGTGCAAAGGCAGAGTGGAGTAGTTATGACAGAGGCTGCACAGTCCATAAAGCCGAAAGTATTTACCAGGTAGCCTTTAAAAAAAAAAAAGTTTGCTCACCCTGGTATAGAAGAACACCTTGCTCTTAGGAATTTGGCTGAAGTGTTTTGAGGTAAAGTGTCATGATGTCTCTGTAACTATATCTCAAACAGTTCAGAAAAAAAAAAAAAAAGAATGTATGGCCGGGCGCGGTGGCTCATGCCTGTAATCCCAGCACTTTGGGAAGCCGAGGCGGGCAGATTGCCTGAGCTCAGGAGTTTGCGACCAGCCTGGGTAACACAGTAAAACCCCATCTCTACTAAAATACAAAAAAATTAACCAGACATGGTGGTGTGCGCCTGTAGTCCCAGCTACTTGGGAGGCTGGGGTGGTAAAATTGCTTGAACCTGTGAGGTGGAGGTTGCAGTGAGCTGAGATCATGCCACTGCACTCCAGCCTGGGTGATAGAGTGAGACTCCATCTCAAGAAAAAAAAAAAAAGTGTGTGTGTGTGTGCACGTGTGTGTGTAGGTGGTGTAAGTGTAGAAAGTGAGATAAAGCAATGGGTATAAAGTGTTAGCAATAGATGAATCTACAGGCAGGTGTGAGGGTATTCATTACACTATTCTTGCAACTTTTCAACCGAGTTTGCAACTTTCAAAATAAAGAGTAGAAATTAACAAGCAAGCATGAAAAGCACCTGCTCGTGCATGCTCACACACTGCACGACTACCCTGTCTCAAACGCCCCTTTTCTTTCTTCTCGAACAAACCTGTTACTCCTCACTTCTCTGAGCATCCCCGAACTTGGTAACACCTGCCTGTCCCCACCACATGTCATAGCACTGCAACTGTCTGCTTATTTCATCTAGCTAAGCACTCAGGGTCTCTCAGAGGCTTTTCTGGAGGATGTGCCATGAGCTCTGGCACGTCCACTTTCAAGTTTTAAAAGAAATTGTCAATTTACTATAAAAGCTGAAATGGGAAACACTAAAACACCATTTCATATCTGCTTCTCCCCAGAACGGTAGCAGTCTGGCAGGTGGGGAGGCTGCCTCGCATGGAGTGGACAATTCCACCACACAGTGTCCTCTTTATAAGGGCCCCTGGGAAACCTATCCAGTATCAGCGCCCAGAAGGGCGGACCTCCTCAGGAGCTCCCTGGTCCTTTTCACATTATGGACAGAATGTACCAGCTACTCTCCCAGTGGCTGCCAGATTTGGAGCCTGTATAGCTAAAAGTGCAGATAGAGGTCATTATAGTATGCATTTTTAGCTTCATTCCTGGCTTCACTTAGGGTCTCCACCCTTGTTTTCCTTTCTTCTTTCTCTCTCCCAGTTTTAATATGCCATTGTGGTATATTTTATGTATACTGCTAGGCTACCCTAAATCCCTTCTGGAACAAGCCAAGGTCTGAACGAAAAACTTACATAGAAACCCTGTGCTCGCGGCCGGGTGTGGTGGCTCAAGCCTGTAATCCCAGCACTTTGGGAGGCTGAGGTGGGCGGATCACTTGAGGTCGGGAGTTCAAGACCAGCCTGGCCAACATGGAGAAACCCCGTCTCTACTAAAAATACAAAATTAGCTGGATGTGGTGGCGCATGCCTGTAATCCCAGCTACTAGGGAGGCTGAGGCAGGAGAATTGCTTGAACCCAGGAGGCAGAGGTTGCGGTGAGCTGAGATCGTACCACTGCACTCCAGCCTGGGTAACGAGAGCAAAACTCCATCTCAAACAAACAAAAAAACAAACAAACAAAAAATCCCATGTTGGCTTCCTCTGTCTTCTGCCTCTTTACCAAACCACATGGCTGCGCAGCACCCCCAAATGCCTCGTGCCAGCAGCATGGTTCCTGGCCTGCAGTGTCTGAGGGTAGCCTGGGTGATCTTGGCAATGAATCACAGCATTTATAATTTCCAATAGGATGAAAAAGCAGAGCAAGGGGCATGTCTTTCCTAGACAGGCAGAGGTGAGTGTCCAACTCCTGCCAAGTCAGCCAGGCCACGAAGGAGAGTTGTGGAGTGGAAATGGCCATTCGGTCCATTATGACCCAGGCCCATGCCTTGTACCACTCTGCCCAAAGTCAGGCCAGCTTTCCTCCAGGTTAAGCGAAGACAAAGAGGGAACTTGTGCTGGGCAGGAAGAATGAGTAGAATAGAGTCTACCCAGGCAAGGAGGTAAGAAGAGGCGTGCTAAGTAAGGGAGGCTAGAGGGCCAAGAGGCGGAATGAGAGGGTAGGTTCTGGAGTCAGACTGCACAGGTTTGAACCCCAGCTCAGTGACTCACCAGCTGTTTAGCTTTGTGCAGAATGACTCATCCTCTCCAGGCCTCAGTTTTCTCAGCTGTGCAATGGATGGAATAATACCTATGTCACAGGAGCGTTGTTAGGATCAGATGAGATTATGCTATAAAGCACTGAGCACAGACCCAGACACATAGTAAGTGCTCAATAAACATTAACAGCTATGCTTGTCATGACCACCACCATCATTTCTACAGAGTAGAGTGCATATACTGAGGGAGGGAGTGTGGAGGGAAATGTGTTGTGCTGAATGGGGGCCAGAGCTTTTGCAGGCAGGCAGAAGGTCCAAAGAAGATGATATCCAGTATGGCTTTGGGACAGGACTTGACAAATGAGGGCAGTTTATTTAGGATATGGGGCTTCTAGATCTTGGTCCAAAAATCAGCACCACTGTTCACCCCACCTTCCCCGTACTCTCCCACCATTTGGCCTACCCATCAGCAGAGCAGGCAGGGCCGTTCTTCACGCCTGCTTTTCCCCAGTGGAGGCCAAAAACCCATGCCCAACACACACATACACACACACACACACACACACACACACACACACGAACTTTTCTTGAGCCACTTTAAGCATCTGGTGGCTCTAGGCCTTCAATGTCTCTCACCTCTTGGGTTCCCAAAGGTCAAAGCCCCCATATGGCCTTGCAGCCTCTAACCACTGCCTCCCTGTGCCCATCTGCTGGCTGCTGGCTGCTGGCTGCTGGCTGCAGCTAAGGCCCTAGGAAGAAACCTCAGAGGGAATAACCTCCAGGCCACCAGTCCCACCTCCTGAACTGGGGCCACGCCTACTCGTGACTGGTGGAGCTAGTCTAGAACCAGGTTGCAAACACCAGGGCCTTCTATTCCTCCTTTCTTCTCACCGTAGACCTGTGCCAGGCAGCCAACCTGGGAAAGTTCATCTGCTTTAAAGATTCTCAACTTTCCATGGCTGGGCTGTCCCAAGGTACAGACTCTAGCAGCTGCAGAAAGGGATCCTAATAGCCATTCCTTGGGCACAGTCTTAGATTTTTTCTCCTGCAATTTTCCAATAGGCTGTGAAGCCATAGGCTTCCTCTGTTGAACGTCTATCCATCCTTCAAGACAAGATCCATCTCCAATCTGCCCTGTTGAAACCAATCCCCCTCTCCCTACTGCTACAGCCCTCTGCAGCACTGCGATCACCAAGCAATACTCTGCCTCTGTATTACTTGGTTGGGAATAAGCTTCCTCCCCTCCTATCCACCATGGCCCCTGCTCCTCATAACTGAACCACAGGCTCCATAAGAACAGACAGCAAACCTCACGCAGCCCTGTTATCCCCAGAGCTCCCTGCTCAGGACCTAGTGCTCTGGAGTTGCTCTGTGTATGTGAGGTTGGGTTGAACCTGGACACATAACCAAAACTGGCTCAGGGTAGCTATTAACTGCTCCACCCCATTAGCAATGTCTCCCAATAAGGGAAGTCCTCACATGGTGGAGGGACACTATCTTTGAAGGAACCCAAGGTCTACTGTGGACCAGCTGTGGGAGTCCTGTGTTTCCTCGTCAGAACAAGAGGGGCAGCAACCCCCACCCTATGGACTGTTTCGAGGAAGAGTATGAGATGCCAGAGGTGTCCAGTATGCACCTGGCATATAATAATTGCTCAGTGGGCAACCAGACTTTTAAAACAAGCCATGCACCCTTGCTAGTTCCCTTTCCTCACCTCCCACTGACACCTTAATCCATGGCAATCTGGCTTCCGCCCATGAGACTGCTCCTGCCAAGGGGGCCAAGGAGACTTCCTACTGTCTCCTCCTACTGCTCCATGCCTCCTCAACTCCTCTCCCTCCAAGGATTCCTCAAACTCATATTCCAAAGGAAATGCCTCTTCTCTCCTCCCCAAGCACCTTTTCTGTAGGAAATGCCCTCCCTTCTCCGGGCTTCAGCTGCATTAATTTATATACTTAGTTTTCCCTGTCATCCCAGCATCTCTCTACTGCAGAGCCACACACACCAGAGTGCTCTGGACAGCTCCCCTGAGCATCTCACGGGCACCAGGAACTCTACTCATCCCAAGCAGAACTCACCTTCTCTGATCTCCTCGATTTCAGGCCACCTCAATCCACCTCCCTGCATATTTTAGTAGATGTCCCCCCACAAACATAAAAGCCTCCTATATGAGTTCCCTGTTGCTCCTGTAATAAATTGCCAATAAACTGCCAAAACCACAGTGGCTTAAAACAACACACATGTATTACCTTATAGTTCTAGAGGTCAGAAGTCCTACAATCAAGGTGTTGGCAGGGCCACATTCTTTCAGGAAGCTCTGGGAATTAATGTGTTTCTTTGACTTTTCTGGCTTCCAGAAGCTGCCTGCATCCCTTGACTCCCGGCTCCTTACTCTATCTCGAAGGCCAGCAGAGCAGCATCCTCCAATCCCTTTCTCTCTGACTCTGAGCCTCCCACCTCCCTCTTATTAAGATGCCTGTGATTACACTGGGCCCACCCAGGTAATCCAAGATCATCGCTCCCATCTCAAGATCCTTAACTTAATCACATGTGCAAAAAATCCCTTCTGCCATGAAGATAGTATATTTACAAGTTCTAGGGATTAGGACAGGGACATTTTTGGGGGGACATTATGTGGCCTACTATACCTAACTATCTCTATCTGCTCTAATCCTCTGGGCTAACCCTGTAGGGACAGAAATGATGCTGATCCACCCCCTTTTTTGTCCAGTATCTCCATGTGAACCCTCTGAGGTGATGTAAAAGGTTAGGAATCATGCCTTATCTCTACTCTACACTCAAGCACTTCAGCAGAACCCCTCCCTTGGCTTTTTGAGGATGCTAAAGTCTTTCTAATGAACAAACTCTCTTGACCACACACCCTCCCACCTCACTCTTATCTTTCTCCTCCACTTCTGATCTTATCTGTAACCAAACTTCTAGGAAATGACTATGCCTGGTCACCTCCATGCTAATCAGGTTCCACCCCCATCACTCTCCAGCAGGGTTTCTGCAGATAACTCTTTGTTATGAGGGACTATTCTGTCCATTGTAAAATGTTTACAGTAATCCTGGTCTCCAACTGCTAGATGCCAGCAGCTTACCCCTATGCTGAGCTGTGACAACCAAAAGGTCTCCAGACATTGCCCAATGTCCGGGGACAGGAGGCTGGGCTGCAAAATTGCCTCAGGTTCAGACCCACTGCTTTCTACAATAGCTCTTGCTAAAGTCACCCATGGCATCCCTGGTAGTAAATCCACGGGACACTTTTCAGTCTTTCTGGCTGGTTTCTCAGCAGCACTTGGCACTGACAGACATTGTGGCCTGGAGAACCTCTCTTCTCCCCTGACTTCCAGGTCACCCACTCTCCTGGTTTCCCTCCTACCTCTCTGGCTGCAAACCTTCTCTGTCTCCTTTGCAGGATCAAGCTCCCCTTCTAGACCATGAACTGCTAAAGTCCCTCAAAGCTTGCTCACAGGCCTTTCCACCTTTCACTCAGCACATTCTCCCTAGGTTCTGCGCTCCACACCCACACCCCCACTGACCACCCATGCACAGGTGACTCACTAAGCAACATCTCCAAGCCTCCTCTCCAAGCTTCGGACCCATATATCCAACTGCCTACTTGACATCACCACTTGGATATCTTGTTGTTACTCCAAACTCAACAAGTCCCAAACCCAAATCATGATTTTTCCCTCAACCCAGTCCCCTTCCAGCCTCCTCCATTTCTCAGAGAAAGACACCATTAACAACCTGTTGGGAGACTGCAGATGTCCTTGATACCTCCTGCTCCCTTCCTTAGGCCAGTTAGTCTATGTCTAAGTCAGAGCTCTCCTCTCTGATACAGTTCACAAAGCAGTTCGTTTGGCTCCAAGTCTTTGCCCCAACCCTAGCCCAGTCTTCCACCATTGCCGACTACAGAACTCCCACACGCTCTACCTGGGGAAAGGGGTGTGGGTACCCATTCTTGACCAGCACCCCTGAGCTCAATCAGTTCTCCAGGCTGTAGCCAAAGTCATCTTTTCAAAACATAAATGTGACCAAGTCACTCCCCCAACTCCTACATTATTAAAAGGACAGAAGTCCTAATTTGGTCCACTGGGCCCTACAAAATCAAGCCTCCATCATCTCCAGGCCCCTGTGTGTGCTGCACTCCAGGCACACTGACCTTCATCCAGTAGCTCAGATGTACCATGCTCTCCTGCCACAGGGCCTTTGCTCTTGCTGTCCAAGGCATCTGGATGCACCTCTCCAATCTTCACCTGGTAGGCATTCACCTCCTTCAATCACAGCTCAACTAGCAGGAAGGCTTCTCTGACCTCTACCCATATTACCTCCCCTGGTTGTTCACTTTTTCCCAGTCTCACTGTTTCTCCATCACCCTCAGAGTTATTATTTGACATGGATTTGTCTTAGTCTTTGATTAATTCTATCTTTCCCACAGAGAACTCCATGAAGGCAGGATTTATCTGATTGCCTTATCTGGCCCACCACTGTATTTCCAGGGCCAGCCCAGTGCCTGGCACAAAGGAGATACTCAAGAAGTGTTTTTGTAGTGAATAAGGATCTTCTTACCCTCTAGAATGCTTTTCTCTATTACCCCACCCTCCCCTATCTCTGTCTAGTAGCTCAAGCATGATTCCTTAAAGTTGCTTTGGTAACCCTTCCTCCTCATACCCTTGAAAACCCCTCTTCCTCATCTTTGCAACCCATCTATTGATAGTACCCTGTGTTGCAACTGATATCACATGTGTACCTGCTTGTTCAATGCCTGTCTTCCTACCAGATCGTCTGCTCCCTGAGGGCAGGAACCATGTCTGTCTTGTTGAAGGGTTTACCCCCAGCACCTAGCCCAGAGCCTGATATTACTGGTTTGGAAGTGGGAAGTCATGCTCTGCATCCCCAAAGGCCAGCTCCGAGTCACCCACTCTAGAAGATCGGTTGGTTCAATACTGCCCAATGGTCCACCAGACACACACATGAGGATTCATGGGGAAATTGCCCTGAGTTCTGCTTGGTGATTTCCTGATCTGCTGACTACTGCCAGGTGGGTGCTCTCAGCATTGCCCTTGGACACCAAGCGTTGCAGCCACTCAGCCGGGGCCAGGGGACAGCAAGATCCATCATCGACAGGTCCAGAAGCGATGGTAGAAAAGTTCTGGGGCCAAGCTGGGCCAGTATGGCTCCCCCTGGTGGTTTCCTTCCATGTTTCTTGGCAACCTCTCCCATGAATAGCCCAGGGCACACTCACCAGCCAGGAGAAGAAGCCAGCTGATTTGTCCTGGGTGGAGATCTGCCCCTCATAGGGGCCGAAGATGTGGCCCTTGGGGATGACCTCGTTTACACATCGCACGTCACTCTCTCCACTAGTGTCCTTGACCACCTCCATGCCCTGTGGGATGGTGAGCGCCGCCCGGTCTGGGATGCCCACGGGCACCGGTGTGTCAGACACAAACACCGGGGGGCCATGGTTTGGGCATTCATCCACGAAGTACTCCTGGCAGGACTCACAGACTGGAGGGATGGAAAGAGAAGGGAGGGCCTCAGTTGTTGCAGGGAGGTAAGACCCCCATGGGGGAGGTAGAGGGGCTGACAGGAGGCCCACTCATGGACAGCCAGCTGCAGGCCCCAGGGTCATCGGTAGCAATAACCCATACTCTCCCTGGGGGCTCCAAGAACAGGCCTGCCTACGTCAAGGAGGCCAGCAGCTACCTTTGTCTCAAGTTTTAAAAAACTGGAAGAAAGAGCATGGCTTTGGAGTCCAAGTGCAACTGTACCCCTTTGGGCCAGAGGACTCGAGGCGTGGGATACTTAACCCTCACCAAGACTCAGTGTGCTATCTGGAAAATGGGGCTAACAATAGCCATTTGGATGGCTAATGATGATGACGAACCAAGGCCTGGACCTGGGCCTGGTATATTGCAGGTGAGGACCTATCTTAGTAGCATTGTTGTGAATTCCCTAGCCAGGAATGGGGCGATGGGGGTGAAGGGAGGAGCAGCCCAGAGCCCCAAGCTCCACTTACACCAGAAGTCCACTTGCTGGAAGCTTTTGGGCACGATGAGGTCGCGCTTCCCCTTCAGTTTCTTGGGCTCAACTTCCATGGCCGAGGAGTCCGGTCTCCTAGAGCTGGCCAGGGCAGAGGCCCGCAAAGAAAGCAAAGAAGTCATCAGAGAGTGAGAGCCCAGTGGGGACAAAAGCTGGGGACCTGGCCAGGAGACCGAGAAGATGTGGGGTGGGCAGAGGAGTCCCAGCCAGCCTGCTGTTCAGTGCAGGAGGTGGTGGAAAAACTGGAGGATTGAGATGCGAGCACAGACCTCCCTAGGCCACTGCTTGGATTTTTCTAGAGCCTGCGCCCAGGAGCTGCCGGGAGCAGGGTTAGGGAAGGTGGGCAAGGAGTGAGAACGTTTCCCAGGGTTCCCAACCAACCGAGCCCAGGCACCTCCCACTCCCACTTCTCCCTCTCCAGTTCCCACACAGGGGCCTCACCAGGGCTGGCCATACTCCTGGTCTCGGAGTGGTGAGCAGACCTCCGTCTTCACCACCGTCACCATATCCCCCACGGCTGCATTGGTCTGGGCCAAGCACTCCTTCATGTTCTCGGTCATTCTGTCCTGGGACGCAGGAGGTGGGACCAGCACAGGAAGAGGATCAAAGAAACAGGGGAAGAGGAGTGAGCGGCGGAGAGGGCAAGTGGGGGTCTCGCGGAGTCTGGTTACCCTCCCTGCCATCCCCAGAGGAAGCACTTGAGAACACAGACAACAAAAACAGCTGTAGCCCGGCCAAGAGGAAATGCCGTTTCTATCCCGGGCTGGTCCTGGGGACGACTGGAGCCACCAGCCCCATGGGGTCAGGAGCCTAGAGCAGCTCAGGCCAGGAGGCCGCGCTGGGAAGCATAGCCTGGACCCCTAGACCAAAGGGCAAAGGGCAGGAGGATCCCACATGAGCCTGGGCGCAAAACTGCAAAGGGGAGAAGGGAGGGTTCACAACTCAAGCCCAACTTGGGCCAAGGGGTAGTGGGCAGACCGAACGGGCCCTCAGCGCCTGGCAGGGCAGCCCCTCACCCTGGGACTGCCGGGAGCGCAGCCAGGCCCCTTTGCCAGCTCAGAGCAGGTACAGGCAGGGCCTGGGGGCGCTGGCGAGGGCCAGCCAGGGCTCCAGCCCCACCCGACTCTCTCAAGGGGACACTCCCCAGCCCGCCGCTTACCGCCCTCCACCACCGCGCCGGGCTTCAGCCCCTCCCTCGGCACCCCGGGGTCCTCATGCCAAGCCCGGGGACACTCTTCGGGGCGAGGGTGGCACGCAGCCTGGGGCTGGGACGGCGCTGGGCCCTGGGACTGGGCGAGCGGCGTGTGTGACTCACTACCCGGGGCCCCGCTGGCCACACCCCTGCTCCTCGGCTAATCAGCCCCCTGCTCCCCACCGGGGCCCCAAAGCCGGCGGCGGCGACTGGGAGGGGTGCGGGGAAACGTGACGGCCTGCCCCCTCCTCCGAGCCAGCAGGGCCGGGGGCGCGCGGTGGGGAAGGGGAGGGCTGCCCAGGCCGGGCGCGCCGCCCCCTGCCCCGTGGCCGCCCCGTCTCGGGCCGGTGTAGGCTGCGGCCGGGGCGGGCGCGGGCGGGCTCTCCCCCTCTCGCCAGCCTTCCCGGCGGGGAGCTCCCTGCCCGGCCCGGCCCGCCCGGCCCTGCCCAGCGCCCGCCCCCCGCCCGCCAGGCCCGGCATTCCTTGCGGGGGCATGTGGCTTCTTGCCGGCCCTGGGGGCACGCAGTTGGCTGGCGGCCGGGAGGGGGGCGCGCAGGGAGCGGGAGGAAGCGGGCGCCCGGGCGGGGCGGTGGGAGAGGGCGCCGCGGGGGGTCGCTCCGGGTCAGGCGGTGGACGCATTCCAGGGCCTCCCACGGGGCCCGATGCGCACTCGGCCCGGGGGGTGCCAGGGCTGGGCGACAGCGCCGCGGAGGCCGGGCGGGTGTCCCCAGCCTCCGAGCTGCCTTGGTGTGGCGGCGACGACAGGGCCTGCGCTGCCACCCGTGCGGACACCGGACACCCGCTCGCTCAGCCGCGGCCGCACCTGCACCGCCTGGGGCGCCTGCCACTCTACTGCCTCCTGGCTGCGTTATGCCAGGGACTCCCCGCTGGGTGCTCGACCGACCTCAAAGCCTGTGGGATGGCCCCCTGCCTCCTGTGAGGGCGCAGGAATTGGGGCCTGGAAGATGTCAAGCGACTTGCCGAAGGTCATGCAGACCACACCCGATGGCTGCTTAGTAAATTGGAAACTGGCTGAACCCCCAGATTCAAGTGTTTCAAGTTGGCTTCACCATGCAGTATCCTCAGTCCAGTCCTCTACCGAACAATCGCTGGGATCACCCTTAAGTGGGTTCAGGTCCCAGCTCAGAAGTCCAGCTGCCAGGTGGGAGCAAGGCCCTGTGGATTTGTGAAGGATCCCTGAACACCTGCTGCCCTGAGGAACTCTCACTGGGATGGGCAGTACCCCCCACCATACATCCTGGGGTGGAGCCTCAGTGGTTAGGTGCCTGGGCACTGGACAGGCAGTGCCTGAGTTCAAATCCCACTGATGGGCGGTGTGATCCTGGGCAGGTGTTATGGACCCCACTCCCCTTCATATGTTGAAGCCCTCAGCCCCAGAGTATCTGTATTTGCAGATGGGGCTGTGAGGAGGTGATCAAGATTAATTGAGGTCATAAGGGTTAGGTGCCCTTATAAGGAGAGGAAGACACACCAGGGCCCTCTCCACCATGAGGACACATCCAGAAGGCAGCCATCCACAAGGCGGAGTGCCACCACCAGGAACCAATAGGCTGGCATTCTGATCTTGGACTTCCTAGGCTCTAAAACCGTGAGAAATAAATGGCTGTTGTTTAAGCACCCCCATCTACGGTATTTTGTCATGGCAGCCTGAGATGACTAATACAGCAGGTTATCTAACTTCTCTGTGTTCTCATTTCTTCATCTAGAAAATGTGGCTAATAATAGATTCTATCACAGACATAGCTGTATTCCGTGGACACAGACGAGTGTGGAGGGGCCAGTCTCTGCACATCCCACTAAAGAATGCTGATCAGGAAGATGAGTGCTAGTGACATCATCAAGGGGTGGCTTCAAATTCTCTCCATTGGCTGGGATTTATTTTTTTTAAGTCAGTCATTTGGAAACTCTGACGCTTTATTGGAACGGACTGCTGAGGACTGCTTTGCATGGGGCTCCCTTGCTCTGGCCCCTCTGCCCTCCACAAGCCCCACCTGTATGCCATTCTCCATCCTGCCATGGGGCCTGTGAACTTGCTGAGTCCTAGCCTGCAGAACACCTGGGGAACTC
Organism: Homo sapiens; assembly: GCF_000001405.40. Classification (NCBI taxonomy): domain Eukaryota; kingdom Metazoa; phylum Chordata; class Mammalia; order Primates; family Hominidae; genus Homo; species Homo sapiens. The sequence continues at coordinate 45,179,046 of NC_000011.10, read as the reverse complement.
CTATCCAGACTTCAGACCTCACTGCCCCCCTCCAACTGCCACCAAAAACACCCTCTCCTAGCCCCATGTCACACTTCATGGCAGTGTGACATGTATAACCGTCTTTTGTTAGCAGGATTACTTGATTAATATCTGTTTCCCTTAATAGACTGTAAGCTCCCCGAGGACAGGGTGCAGGCCACCATTGAACTGCCAGCACCTGTAACAGTGCCTGGCACCAGGGCCAAGACTAGGGAAAGACAAGCCAGGTACTAGGAGGCTTTCACTCTGAGGGTCATACGCTTGCAGGACTGGCACCTGAGAGTGAGAACCTCTTTCAATTTTGCACCCTGAGAACCTTGCTTGGCTGACTCTCCACTTTGCCCAGCACACAGCATATTCTCAGTAAATATTCACCAAATGTTCCCCTTCATATCTCACTGGTCCCTCTGATGTGTCCCACTGGTCCCATTGGGAATCTCAACTCTGAAAGAGACGTCAGCAGGAAAAACAGGGTGGGGGTTTGATTCCCTATGGAGCTCTCTTCCAGTGATCTCCGCCAGGCAGAGCAGGTAGTGAGAGATGCTGGCAGGGTGGGCACTGAAGGGTGCAGAGGTGCACTGGGGGGTAGGATGGAGCACTAGGGGGTAGGATGGAATTAGACTCATGAGACTCAGAGCCGGATTCTGACGATAAGTTGGGGAGGATAATCAGTGTGGCCATGGCACGTCACTTACACTTTCTAGGGCCTTAGTGTCTTCTTTTGCAAAATGGAAATACTGATACTTGCCAGGAGGAGGTGGTCCCCATTAGGAATAAACGAGGAGGGCACAGAGGGATGCGGAAGGGGTTTGGAGGGAGGATAGGCAATAGTAAGAGAATAAAGGACGGAGGGTAAGACAGGGAGAGAAGGAGGAGAGAAGGGAGAAAAGAGAAGATGAGGAGGGGAAGGGAGATTGAAAGAGAAGGACCGAGGCATATAAACGTTTTCCTGTCTTAAATCATTCCCAGCAAACCACCCCCTGTGGGCAAAGTATTACTTTGTATCTCAAAGTAGAGACATCTGTGGGCCATTTGCATTTATGTCCTATCTCTCACATCCCACCTTCACCACACAAAAGATTTGCAATGTTTTATAAAACAAACACATACTAAACAGGACAGTTAAGAAACAACCAGAGATAGTGTTAGAGGCCTCATGGAGAAAGAGGGGTGTTGGTTATGCCGGGAATCTGTTGTAAAAGGGTTAGTGATTGAGTTCTTCATTCAATTCTGAGCCTCCTGGCAGCCAAAGCATAAAGGGAAACATAATGAGTTACCGAGTCCTTATTATCTGACACCTATTTATTGACTATATGCACATATAATTTCTTTCTACTCTTGGAGCTGGCTGCCCGGAGAACCAGGATCAAGCCTCAAAGGACTAATGTGCATTCCAACTCTCAAGTGGCCCATAGACATCTCTACTTTGAAATAGACAGACTTTTGTGCTTGTGATAAAGGCCATAGGGACAGGGAGGGAGAAGATGGGATGTGGCAGGACCAAATGAACTTCCACTGGGGAGAGAGAGAGGGAGAACATGTGCTGGTGTCCTTCACTGAGTCCATCTCAGCAGACACTCTAAGGCCTGGCCCAGGTAAAGCCCCTGTTGCCTTTTCTGAAGAATGCTCTAGTCCTACCTGCCCAGCAAAAGTCTTGGGGGAAGGGGGGTCGGCAGGCTTCATGGAGGATTCCAAGCTGCTGGCAATGCTCCCTCTCAGCTGGCTCCTCTAAGTCTGCACATGCAGAGATTAGGCTTGTTGCAAACCCAGCAGTGAGCTGCAAACCCAAAAGAAGGGGGCAGAATGCAGCCCAGGAGTCTGCAGCTCTGTTTTCACCCTTGGCAGGGTGCCAGGATCCTGGAATGCCCAGGAGCCAGTGTAGCCAGGGAACTGGGGATCTGTGCCCACTTGGTTTCCCTAGAGGCTGGCACCATGAGAATCTAGAAGGTTTACTCTGGTACCTACCACAGCATCTCTGTTGTTCCCATTGATACCAAAAGGACATGAGGTTAGGGTGCTGGCCCAAGCCACATGCTGACCTTGACTTGGGCTGGGAATCCCAAGCCCTGGGTCTCAGTTCTGGCTGTGCTGTCAGTTTTTTAGGTGACCCTGATAAAGTTTCTGCCTTGCCCTCAGTTTCTCTTTCCTGTAAAATAAAAGGTCCAACTCATAGTCCTTAACAGTATACCATGTGAGAGGTGGGCAAGGGCTTGGAATTATTATAGGGAGTTATTGAATTTATATTCTCAGCAAGCATGCCTATAGAGAACATAAATATATGCCTTAAACTTACATGTATAAGACAGATTTGCAAATGAATACTTTTGTGATGAACACAAAAGATAAATGTATTTAAAAGTGTTATTGAATTCATAGAAACCTTATGTCACCATGTATTTTGTTAATCAATTAACACCAGCACAGCCACTCACAAACTGTGTAACCTTGAGAAACTGCATTAACCACGCCTACCTGGTTTCCCCATCCGTCCTGTGGCACTGATATCAGAACCTATCTCATAGGGCTGTTTAACACAGCATAATGCCTGACCTATCGTAAGTACCCTATAAATATTATCATTCATTTTATTAATATTTAAAAGTATAACAGACATCAGATGTGCACATGGTGGTGAAATTTCTGTTTTTTTAGATTGAGTCTCGCTCTGTCGATCAGGCTGGAGTACAATGGCACGATCTCGGCTCATTGCAACTTCTGCCTCCTGGGTTCAAGCGATTCTCCTGTCTCAGCCTCCCCAATAACTGGGATTACAGGTACCTGCCACCACACCTGCCTAATTTTTTGTATTTTTTTAGTAGAGACAGGGTTTCACCATGTTGGCCACACTGGTCTCGAACTCCTGACCTCAGGTGATCTGCCCTGGGATCCGTGCTGGGATTACAGGCATGAGCTACCACACCCGGCCAAAAATTGTTTGACATTAGAAGAGGGCCTTTACAAGCAGTGAATACCCCTAATAAATACTTTTTATAAATATATGCTCTGAAGATGCTTACCTCAATAGAAAAAAAAATGGATAAAAAGAAAACATGAACAAGCAATCTGCAAAGACCAATAGATGGCTAATATGCTTTAAGGAAAACCATGAAGACATTAATACTCAAATAAATACAAATTAAAACAAATAAATATCATTTCTCCTCTAATAAATTGGCAAAGATGAAAAATCTTGATGTTATTCAGAGTTGGCAAGAGTGTAGGGGAAATTAGTACTTCATATCCCACTGGTTGGAGTGTAAATTGGTGTAACCTTTCTGGAGGGTAATTTGGCACATGTATCAAAATCCTCAAAGTAAGTAAACCCTTTGTAGGAGCAAGCCCACATCCAGGAATGGATCCTAAGGATGTATTTAAATTGCGTGCAAAGATTTACCTACAAAGCTGTCCTCTGCAATATTATTTTTAAAAGCAAAAAATAGGAAAGAATTTAAACCTCCAAAATGGGGGAAATTGCTATGCTATATCACAATGAAATATTAGCATACAATGAAATAACAGACAGCAATTAACAATGCTGTAGAGGAATATTTATTGACATGAAAACACACGTTCAACATATTGCTAAATGATAATGCAAGTTATTATGTGAAAGATGCCAACCTGAAAAGGGTACATACTGTATGATTCCAACTATATGACATTCTGGAAAAGGCAAAATCACGAAGGCTGTAAAAAGATCAGAGGTTGGCAGGGGTTGCGGGGAGAGAGGAACAAATAGGTGGAATATAGAGGATTTTTAGGCAGTAAAATTACTCTGTATGATACTACAATGGAAGGCACATGTCATTGTACATTGGTCAAAACCCACAGAAGGTACAACACCATGAGTGAACCCTAATGTAAACTATGGACTTTGGTTGATAACGATGTTTCAATGGAGGTTGATCAATTGTAACAAATGTTCCACTTTGGTGTGGGATGTTAATAACCGGGAAGCTGGATGTGTGTGGGGGCAGGGTGTATGGGGAACTCTAGTTTCTGCTCAGTTTTGCTGTGAACCTAAAACTGCTCTAAAAAACAAGGATTTTGTTAATGAAAGCTATGAAAAGATAGATACAAAATAATTCCATTAAAACACTTTTAATTTCCCACACTACACAGGTGTACAAAATAATTCCACTTAAAGTCTATACATAATGATGCAGATCTGTACACATGGGTCTGGGAGGATATATTTTAAGGTATCACTAGTGGTTAGTTCAGGAGGAGGGTTGTGTATTTCTGTTTTCTTCTTTTTGCTTCTGAAAAATAGTCACTTAAATATTCTTTAGAGGACCTCTTCATAATCATTTAGTTTAGAAATTGCTAAAGAAGATAATTCCAATGACCTTTACCCACTTGTCATTAGATGCTGAGATCCTGCCAATTGGTTAGGAGAAAGGAGGAATCCAGATTAGAGACTGAGTATCAGGCACACAAGTGGCGCTTGATGCATATTTGATGAACGAATGAATCAATGACTCAATGAATCAATCAATCGGTAAGGACCCCCATATCTCTACCCGAAGCATACCTGTTTTTATTTTTGTTTAGGATTCCCATTTTGGAAGATCATGTCTACTAAAAAGACTGCATGCATTAGGTAATAATTAATTCATCTTCCTAGTTCTTTGTATACACACAGGGTGCATGATAAGCAGAGTTAATACACTGGTTAGCGGCCGTCATCCTAAGCAAAAGCAAAGAAATTTGACATGTTTGTTCACTTGTCCTACCTGATCATAGGATACTGTACAATATTCACCAAATTCAGTGGATAGAATACTATGCAGAAATGAGAATAGACAAACTACAACTACATGCTATAATCTGGATGAGTGATAATGCCAAGAAAAGAAAGGAGACCCCCAAAGAGTACAGACTCATACTGTATGATTCCATTTAAATAGAGTTACCAAAAAAAACCAACCAGCCACAACTATGGTGTTAGAGGTGAAGTTTGTGGTTATTCTTGGGAATAACTGGAAAAAGGCAGGAAAAGGAGTTCTAAGATTCTGGCCATGTTCTATTTCTTCATCTGGGTGCTCATCCCATGGGTATAATAAGTTTGTGGAAATATACTCAGCCAGCTTTTACAATATGTGCACTTTTCTGAATATATATATGTTAATAAACATAAAGAAAAACCATCTGCTGGAGCCTCCTGAGGGCAAGGAACTCCCATATGGGGACCTCTAACCCTGTCCAGTCCCTGATTTTGCAGCCGCAGGAACTGGGGTCCAGCCAGTGGAGGCTCCTGCTGGGGTCATGGAAAATGAGGTTTTGAGCTTTTACCCACAGGGCAGTCGCCACTAAGCATCATGGGTATAGCTGGCCAGGGCTGGTGGAACACATTCTCCCAAGGCGGTCCCTCCCGCAGAACTTTTTTTTTTTTTTTTTTTTGACGCGGTGTTTCTCTCTTGTTGTCCAGGCTGGAATGCAGTGGCGTGATCTCGGCTCACTGCAACCTCCGCCTCCCGGGTTCAAGCGATTCTCCTGCCTCAGCCTCCCGAGTAGCTGGGATTACAGCCGTGCGCCACCACGCCCAGCTAATTTTTGGATTTTTAGTAGAGACAGGGTTTCATCATGTTGACCAGGTTGGTCTTGAACTCCTGACCTCAGGTGATTCACCTGCCTCAGCCTCCTAAAGTGCTGGGATTACAGGCGTGAGCTACCGCGCCCAGCCAGAACTTTTTTATGTGTTTGCTTCTCACAGTGGATCCTGCTGGTGGCTTCTATGGTATCCGTTACCTCATTACTCCCCACTGGAAGTTGGACTTTGTTCAGGTGCCACACCTCCCTTATAGGACCAACTAAGTGAGATTCAGAGACACCGAGCCTTTGCCCAGCACCAGGGCTGGGCTCAGGTTCATCTAAGCCAATTCTAGCAATGCCACCTCCCTCCCCAATGACTGGATCAGGAACCTGGCCTTTAATCAGCACATGACATTTCCCTCCAAGATCAGACATTTGACTTATTTTGACCAAATCAAAGGGAAGGGAAGGGCTTTTATTTCATGACTAGAAGGAGAAAGCACACAGCCATTGTTGCAAATGGGAGCCATGTCCTGCAGAGGACCCCAGCAGGAAGCATCTTCAGCATGAAGCGAGTTCCTCAGAGCAGGGGGACAGGGTGGTAGGACAAGAAACACACATTCATTTGCACCCTGGTATCTGAGGGGAATTGGTTCCAGGACCCTCTCTGATACCAAAGTCCAAGGATGCTCAAGTCCTGGATATAAAATAGCATAGTATATGCACATAACCTTTGGATATCCTCCCATATACTTTAAATCATCTCTAGATTACTTATAATGCCTTATACAATGTTAATGCTATGTAAATCACTGCTATACTGTATCGTTTAGGGAATAATCACAAGGAGAAAGTCTGTTGAGCCATGGCTGGTTGAATCCATGGATGCCCATGGATAGGAGGGGTTGACTGTATTTGGTCTTTGTCCCTGGTTCCTGGCTAATAAAACAGAGCTCCTAAAACCTTGGAATTTCCTGGGTTATAGGAGTGTCTTTGGTGCTTCATAAGGAGCCCCACCGGATCATACCTGAGTTTATGCTAATGAGATGACTGAGGGTGGGACCCCCCAGATAGCTTCAGGATGAGGCTGAGTCACCAGAAAGAACACGTGATTGGAAGGTTGGAACTTTCAATCCCAACCACTGGCCTCTGGCAACAAGAAGAGGGGCTGGAGATGAAGCTCTGTGAAGACTCTTGAAGGAGATTTAGAAAACTTCTGGATTAGTGAACACAGCAAGGTGCTGGAAGGGTGGAGGGTCCAGCGAGAACATGGAAGCTCCAGGTCCCTTCCTCTACACCTTGCCCTGCACAGCTCTTCCATCTGGCCGTTCCTGAGTTGTAGCCTTTATGTAAACCAGTAATAGTAAGTAAATCACTTTCCTGAGCTTTGTGAGTTATTCAAGTGAATTATCACACCTGAGAAAGGGGTTTGTAGGAGCCCTGGATTTATGTTGGTCAGAGGTACAAGTCCCCTGGGACTTATGACCAGTGTCTGAATTGAGGGCAGTCTTGTGTAACTGAGCTCTTATCTTGTGGGGTCTGCACCAGCTCTAGATAGTTACAGAATTGAATTGAATTGAATTGTTGGACACCCAGTTGGGTTGGAGAATCCAAGAAGGGGCTGGTGTTGGGAACCATCTCAGAGACAGAAACTGTAACTGACACGGTTGAGGTGCTGAACCAACAGGTCCTGAAATCCACGCTACCTCTGCACTTCCTCTTACACTGCTTTATTGCCTGGGCCTGTCTGCAACAGGGTTTCTGTCACCTGCAGCCATGAGCCATCCTCACTGGGACACTGCCCTATCAAAGGGGCAGATTCCCTCTATCCCCAGTCCCATTCCAGATGGGCCCAGCACTCTGCCTGTGCCTCTGTAAAGCATCTGCCTTGATGGTGCCTCAGCCTACAAAGGGGCAAACAGGGTGGGGCCACAGCATCTCATCACCAGCCACCCCTCTCCCTTAAGCCCAAGATCTGCACTGAAGTGACATCCTGGGCATTCTCTCCAAAGCATTGCTGGTGGGAGTGTAAACTAGTAGCATCAGGGAGAGCAATTTGGCACTGGGGAACTTTAAAAAATCCACATAACCGGCTGGGCACGGTGGCTGAGGCCTGTAATCCCAGCACTTTGGGAGGCCGAGGTGGGTGAATCACCTGAGGTCAGGAGTTCAAGACCAGCCTGGCTAACATGGCAAAACCCTGTTTCTACTAAAAATACAACAATTAGCTGGGCGTGTTGGTGGGTGCCTGTAATTCCAGCTACCCAGGAGGCTGAGGCATGAGAATTGCTTGAACCCAGGAGGTGGAGGTTGCAGTGAGCCTAGATTGCACCATTGCACTTGAGCCTGGGTGACAGAGCAAAACTCCATCTCAAAAAAAAACAAAACAACAAAACAACAACAACAACAACAAAAAACCCATAACCTTCAATCCTACAACTTCTAGGAATTTCTCCAAGACATCTGTGCAACAGTATTCCTTGCAGCACTGTCTGGGATAGCAAAAGACTGGCAACAACCAATGTACCCATGGAGGGGGATGGGGTGGTTGGTTAAATACCACACAGCACAGCCACACAACAGAGAGTGAGCAGTTTCAAAGAAGGAAGCCATGGAACAGACCTAACCCCTCCTCCATGGCTGCCACCCTGCTCTAAGCCACTACTCCCTCTTCCCGGAATGGCTTCAGAGACAGCCTGACTCGTGTCCCTCCTTCCACTCTACCCCTACTGTCCATTCCCCACCCACAGTCAGGGTGTACCTGTTATAACATAAGGCAGGTCAAGTGCCCTCTGCCCTCCACTCAAAACCCCCATGGTGCCCCATTTCATGCAATGCAAACACCAAAGCTCTTCAGCAGTGTGCTGGCCTGACAGTTTGTTCCACTCCCTCTGAGATTTCCTCCCTTCCTACTCCCCACCCCACATCACAGCCACAGGGGCTGCCCTGCTCTGCCTCCAACATGAGCCTTAGCACTGGCTATTCCCTCTGCCTGAGATGCTCTTCCGCCTTATACCCATGTGGCTTGCTCCCCTACTCCCTCTAGGCATTCACTCAATGTTACTTTCTCTGGCTTCCCTATATAATATTGCAACTCCCTGATGCTTGCTACCACTCCTTCTTTGCTGGATTTTTTTCTTTTTTTTTTGAGACAGTGTCTTGTTCTGTCACCCAGGCTGGAGTGCAGTGGTGTGATCTCACCTCACTGCAACCTCTGCCTCCTGGATTCAAGTGATTCTCCTGCCTCAGCCTTCCTAGTAGCTGGGATTACAGGTGCCTGTCACCACGCCTGGCTAATTTTTGTGTTTTTAGTAGAGACGGAGTTTCGCCATGTTGGCCAGGTTAGTCTCGAACTCCTGATCTCAGGTGATTTGCCCGCCTCAGCCTCCCAAAGTGCTGGCATTATAGGCATGAGCCACCCTGCCTGGCCCCTTGCTTTATTTTTCTCCAGAGTGTGTGTCACCATCAAACTTAAGCAGCACTTCTGTCTGCCTCCCCAAATAGAATGTCAGCTCCAGGAAGGTAGAGATATTTCTCTGTTTTGTTCACTGCTACATCCCCTGAAACTAGAGCAGTGCCTGGTGCAAGATAGGCACATGATAAACATTTATCGAATGGATTACTCATTTGGTGGTGAAACAAAACCAAAGTTAGGAAGAGAACACGTCATGGGAGAGACAGCAGAAAATGGTGGTTAAGAGCATGGACTCTGGTGCTGGGCTGCCTGGATTCAACTTCCAGCTGCATTATACCATCTGTGTGACACTGGGGGAGTTCCTTAACTTCTCTGGGCCTGGGGATATCAAAACCCATTTATGCCTAGTGTTCTATTATTGGAAAGCTAAGCATGTGGGAGTTATTTACATCCTACTGCTCAAGGTCATTGCCAAGGTCTGATTGCAAAAATTCAAAAACTTGCAACCTCAGGCATAAATGGGTTAATAGCACCTACTTGGTAAGGCTGTTATGAGAAATAAATGAATTAACATGTGTAATACACTTGGAACATTATCTGGCACAAAGCCAGTAAGCGGTAAGTGTGTTATATAAAACAAACAAGCCCCAGTTGCATAAAGTGTTAAAGGACATACACATTTAGATGTGCTCATATATTCTCAAAACAGCTCTAGGCTGTGACAGTTGATGCTCCTAGACTGAGGGCTAGAGGAGGAGAGGTAGTTACTGCTTACTGAATTTTATACCAGATGCATGCATTTCTGATTTTAAAAATATACTAGTGATGCCTAGGGGCTATTAATTGTTGAGGTTGGGTGATAGGTATGTGGAAGTTTATTATACTTTTCTATCTACTTTTTTTTGCACAATAAAAAGTAACAAATACTTATCAGTATTACTAGAATTAAAATACAAGTCCCAGGTTGCCTCTCCCCCACCCCCACCCCAAGCATGTCAGTGATTCGGGGTGAGGCAGGCAGAGGGGGCTCCTCCCAACCACTGCTGTACCTGTGGAAGAGGGCCCTGAAGTCCTAACAGTTCCCTGAGGCCAACCTGGCTCCACAACTCCAAGTACCCGGTCAGCCACAGCCAAATAAGAATTGGGGAGAAGGGGGTGTGGCCTGTGGAGGGCCAGGGTCAGGCTGCCAGGAGTGCAGTCTCTGGGCTGAAGCCACACTTTCAGATGGCAAAGTGGCGGCTGGGAAGATCACGACTGAAAGAGGCCTGGATGTGTAGATTCCTCTAAGGAGAATCAGAGCTGTCCTGCATTGACCACTTGCCGGGTGCTGGAGACCCAGTGTGTCCTCGTCTAGCCAGCTCCTTAACCCCATGATGTAGTGAGGAAGCCAGAGAGTGTTAAGTGATCTCCCCACACATTACACCTGTGGCTCTTAGTGGGCAGGGCTGGGATTCCAACCTGGGTAGAGCTGAAAGGATGCCCAGAGATGCCCTGACCCAAGCCCCACCTTTCTAGACAAGGAAAGTGAGACCCAGAGGGGAGGAAACCTCAAGGCCACCGGAGGAGGCAGAGGGAGACAGGAACCCACCGCCAGCCACTCGGCGCAGGCAGCCCCTACCCTTCTGAACATTGTGCAAGGCCCTCATACCTACACTCCTCCCAATTCCTGGAGTTGGGGGTCTCTATTTGGGGATGTAGGACCTGAGGAAACACCATGAGGTTCTTTTTCAGTGTTTTGGTTACAAGGAAAGGGGACCCCTGTCTGGACCACAGGACCCAGAGGAGAAGGCTTGTAGATGGAGGGGCTGCAGGGGCATAAGGAGTCCAGGGAACCTGACCACGGCCCACAGCTCCTGCCCCCATCAACCTTTACTTCTCCCCCATCCCCTTCTCCTCCCTCCCTCGCTGTTCCATCCTGCCCTGCTATTCTCACTGGCTGTGTATTTGCCCAATCTTGCCCAGAATCTCAGAATTAAAGACACCTCAACAGTCATCTAAATCCTTGCTTCTCAAGCTATGGTCTGTGGACTGGCAGCCTCGGCATCTCCTGAAACTTGTCTGAAATGCAGAATCCTGAGTTCTGCACCGCAGTCCTCCTGACTCAGTTGGCCTAAGGTGATTTGTACGCACATCGAAGTTGGAGATGCACTAGTCTAAATCAGAAGATGCTTGAAACCACAGTATACATCATCCCGAAGCATGCATAAGTACCTCCAGCAACAGGGAACTCACTATCAGGCAGCCAGCTCACCATTCCAATGGACGAGTATGGCGTGTGTGTGTGTGTGTGTGTGTGTGTGTGTGTGTGTGTGTGTGGTGTGAAATGAGAGAGGCAGTCCTCCTTGGGTCCTAAGCATCCCTAAACATCCTTGCTGAGTATATCCACCTGCAAGGCCTCACTATCCTCTGACTCTGAATCATTTCTGCTGCTAGTGATATAGGTAATTAAGTTGGTCAAGGAGACATTGGTGTGAACACTGTGCAACTGCTCACTCCCTGGAGAAGGGAAACTTAGTTGTTTATGGCTTGCTACAAAAGCTGCTGAGCCCTCAGCCCTGAGTTCTTCTGGTGCAACACAGCCCACTGTGAATAGTTGCCATCTGGGCCAACCCATGGGACTCGGGAGTAGGGTAATCCCTACTGATGATCCTGATGTTTGCTGTGAATAATAAACTGTCTTGCTGATCCATTGACTCTTGGCCACTTTTAGCACCTACACTATGTGACCTAGGGTTCTTCCATGATTGTGATAGTGTGTATGTGTGTGTTTATGTGTGCACGTGTGTGTCATTAGTGGTCATTACTGAGAATTAAGAACCTTCTCATGTATTCATGGAAAGGCTCATACATGTAAGCTCCAATAAGACCTTGACTTAAAAGAATTCAAAGGGAATCTGACCTTTCTTGAGCACCTACTTTGTGCCAGGCTTTGTGAAAGTGAATTCCATTTTTGTATGATCTCACTTAATCCTCTCTATAACCCTGCAGGGTGAATTATACCCCCTTCCTACATTTGATGAAATTGAAGCTGAGTGCAGCTCAGTCTCACAAGAGTAACAAACAATATGAATGAGCTGGGCTGAGCAATAAAGAAGTAAACAAAGAATGAGATGATTTCAGAGAATAATATCTGTGAATTCAAAGTGATGTGATCACTAGTGATTATAATTACTGTATGTCAAGTTTGCCAAAACAAATGGGCATACTTGGGCTTCTCTGGCTGATCCAGCAAGTGGAGGAGGAGGCACTGTGGAGCTGTGACACTCGACCAGGAAGGCAGGTGCAGCTCAGAAGGCGGAAGTCCTCCAGGAAGGAGGTGGAAGGGGCATGGATGTGGCTGATGCCCAGCTCTGTGTCGGGTGTTTTACATACTCTGTGAAGCATTATCTGTTCACTCACTCTTCTGTGTTCACATCCTACCAAGTGCCAGGCACTGTCCTAGGTGCTAGGAACCATGGGTGAACAAGGTCGCCACCCTCAGGGGGCTTGCAGCCCAGTTAGAATATTTATGCATTTGCCTGCTGGCATCCAGGCCCCCTGGTGTCCCTGGGGAGCCCCCATCTCCAATGCTCCACTCCATGGGTAAGAGTGCCACTGAGGACTGACCAACCAGTGCTCGTATCTGCAGGCCAGCCACAGTGATTGGTGCAAGAGAGGATACAGGGTCTAGCCAATTTGTGAGCTACAATTCTGGGGCTCTGGGGGACTCTGCTGGAAAGAGAAGGGCCCTTTCATTGCAGGGATTGCTGAAAGGATAGAAGGGCGAATCTGCTGTGGGCAGGGGCACAGCCAACCACTGTGCCACCTCATACAACAGCCTGCCCATGAATGGAGCCATACCTAAGAAAGCAGGGCAGGATGGACGGAACAAGTCCTGAGGACAGTGTAAGCCCCTGGATCCAACTGTACCTGAAGCTCTCAAGATCCTCCTAGAGCTTCTGCTGAGCCCATAAATTCCATTTTTTGACTACTCTTGTTTGACTTGAGTTTCAGTCAGTTTGTAATTAGTCCTGTCCACAACCTAGTAAGCAGTTTTACTTTGTTTTTCAGATAGGAATGGAGGCTCAGAGAGGTTAAGTGGCTTGAACAAGGCTGCACAGCAGCTGTCTGGAGTCTGTGCAATGCAAAGCCCACACTCTTTTCTCTACTCCCAGGTGGCAGTGTAGCATGGCGGGGAGACAGGCTGCAATGGGAGGGGGTCTTCCACGGCAGGGAGTGAAGGGCCCATTAACTAGAAGGAAAGCCTGCTCCCTCCTAGACAGGCCTGCAGAGAGGCAACGGCAGAAAGGAAGCACAGGCTGCAAACTGGTGACTGTTCTTTTTTTCCATTTTTATTTTTGCCAACTTCGAAGAAACAGAAGATTCCATGTAAAAACGTGGATGTTCAGCTTTTCTGGGAAATCCGAAGGGCTGGCAACACCACGCGGGCAGTCCCACATGGCAACGATCCCCTGGAGCTGGGTGGTGGCCCTGCTCAGATGGGCAAGGGCAAGGCACTCACTCTCCAGGTCTCCAGTCAGCCTGTGTCATTCACATGTGCCCCCCGCCTGGGCTGGGCATCTGAGTGTGCGGCCTGCGTGGCAGAGACCACAGTGCTGTGCAGATGCCACCCCCTGAGAACCCAGCCTCAGAGGAGATGAGGGTGCTGGGCTGGGGACTCACCAGCCCCCCAGTCCCTCCCATTCTGGCTGCTTCCAAATCCCCAGCACCCAGAACGGTTGCTGGCACCGGCAGGGCTCAATACATATTTGGTGAATGGATGAAGACAATGAGAGGGCATCAGTTGGAGATTTCCAGGAGTACCCCATTAGCAGCCCTGTAAATCCACTCCCAAGGGGCATGGGAGAGGCGAGGAGGGCAGGAACAAGGGCAGCCCTGCAGTCCACTGGCAAGAGGCAGCTTGGTGAAGAAGCTGGGAACATGGGCTCTGGAACAGGACTCCCTGGATGAGAATCCCAGCTCTACGACTTACTAACTATGCGATCTGGAGAAGTTATTTCACCTTCTGTGCCTTTCGTTACCCCCGCCCCCTGCCACATAAAATGGGGATGAGAGTGAAATCAGGTTGTTGTGAGTGAAGTTATAAGCAGACGGTAAATAACTGTTACTCCAACCTTGTCCACAGAGGCATAGACCTTGGATAAATCCCTTTCCCTCTCTGAGCCTCAGTTTACCCATCTGCACAATGAGGCCTTTGGGATTTTCCTTTAGGATCTGCTGGCTCTGGCATTCTGTGAAACTCAGGGTCATGCAACTCCAGAAGCTGGGCCCCCAAGAAGCATTCAAGCAGATCTCAGGGGTCTCTCTGCCAAGCCGTTCCCACCATCGAGGTCAAAACACACCCGAAGGACCATCACGGTGAAACCACTGATTCGAAATCCCTTTAGATTTAGCCCAAGTTCCAGCCTCAGGATCTGCTGTGGCTCATTTACCCCAAATCATGATAACCCAAAGGCACAGGGACATGGCTGGAAGGAGCCAGCCCTGGTGGCTGTCCTGAGGACGGCCCTCCCAAGAACCTGCAAGAGGGGCTCACCACAGCCCTCACGGTGGCTGGCGCCCTGGCAGCCAGCTGGCAGAGCCATTTCCATTTCTCTTGCACGCCCCCAGATGGGAAATGATTCATGAAAACCAAGAAGGTAAAATTAGCCCAAAGGCTGCCGAGTAATTTATGCAGCCAACAGCCCCAGGAGGGAGGGGAGGCCCGCACTGACAGCTCAGGCTGGCCTCCCAGGGGCTGGCAGAGCGCAGCCTGGCCAACTGGAGCCTCTGTCTCCGGGGTCTTCTATTTCTGGACTCAGCTTCCCAGGCTGTTGGCAAGGCTTCCAGCGCTTTCCCTGACCTTACGCTGCCCACTCACCAGACCTAAAGGATGCTGGATACACTCCACCGGGGACCCGCGGGGTGCTGGGGAGTCACACATACCCACCTGTTCTATCCTCACCTCAATCTCAGGAGGAAAGTTTCAGATCCCCCATCTTTCAGGTGCAGAAACTGAGTGAGGTTCAGAGGGGTTAAGTGGGTAGCCAAGGGTAAGTGGCAAAGCCAGGATTCAAACCTGGATCTCATGAGCTCCGTGAGCTGCGCCTTCCCTGCATGCTGGCTGCTGGCTGCCAAACCTCAGGTTCTCCATGGGGTGAGGGGAGTGGATCCTGGCGAGCCCCACCACACCGTCATGTGCTTTTCACAGTCTCAGGACCATCCAACACCAGAATCTGACCCTCAACTCCAAGCCCAGTTGTCCCAATGGACAAGGTATTCAATATCCCAATCTCTTAAATAGGGGCTGAGGAAGTATTGGTCTGCAGCTCCTTCTTATGGGAGGGACAGAATAACAGGTATCAGCAAGCTCCATAGTCTCACTTTACAGGGTGGTGCACCAAGGCCCAGAGAGGGAAAGGGACTTACTCAAAGCCACACAGCAAACATGTGGTTGAGCCTAGGCTAGAACTGAGTCCTCCTGCAGAGATCCTGCTGTCAGAGCTATTTAGGAAGAGTGCAAATCTGAGTGGAGGTGGGGGAATTCCCTACGATCAGGAGCAGCTGAGGTGGGAGTTACTTCCTGGGACCACCGGGTACCCCCCCCCATCCTCAAGCACCTGCTCCCACCTTTGGGACACACAGGGGCCACCTGAGCAGCAGAGGAGGGCTCCTCAGAAGGCAGTAGGTGAGGCACACTGGAATCCCGCTCCATGCCTGTGGGACCTTGTCCAAGACCTTGGTTAAAGATGGGCTCGTTATTGAAAAGAAATGAAATCGAAATGAAAAATGTGTGCATTTAAATCACCCAGTAGGCTGGGAGTGATCCATAGGAACTTGAAGGGTCAGCACGCATGCTGGCCCAGTGCCTGTCTTCAGACCCTCTGGCTCCCCTGGTTTTGCCCGGAGGAAGACCAAGACCAGCCACAGGTGACACACACAGCTACCCATGGAGAGGGAATTTGCCTCTGTTCCCCGGGGGCACACAGCTGAGCTCCAGTGTGGACAGCTGGGAGCAGTACCACCCACTCCTTGGGACACAGTTGAGAGCATCCCAGTTCAGGCACCGTCTCCCCAGAGTAACTGCAACTGCCAGGGCCCAAGCCCTGAGCTCAGCACTTCCAAATATCACCACACTGGACCCTCCCCATCAGTGCTGAAGGAAAGGTGAGAAAACCGACATGCAGAGAGCCTGGAGTTGCTTGCCCAAAGCTTTCCATTCATTCAGAGATTATTTATTCGACACATTTACCAAGCACCTGCCATGTGTCAGGCATGGTGCCAGGAGTGAGAAAGGCGCACTGCCACCTTAATGATCCCCCGACCATCAGAGGCTTTATAGCATCGTGGCTCCCATACATCCTCTGAAGCTATACTGCCATGATTCAAATCTCAGCTTCCTCCAATATGATCTTGGGAAGCCACTTAACTTCCCTGTGCCTCAGTTTCCTCGGCTGTATCTACCTCATGATGCTACCCTGAAGATTAAGTGAAATGTCACAGATAGTGCCTGCCACATAAGTGCTCAGTAAATATGAGTGGTTATTGCTGAGCCAGAACCCAAAGCCTGTGTCCCTCTGACACTATGTTCTTAAAACTAGACCAGGTCAGTTTCTTTGGTGTGACCCAGCAGCAGGCTCTGTGAGGGCCTACATCTAGAATTAGAAGGTGGGTTTGAGGTTTCCTTCTGCATCCACTAGCTCAGAGAGGCCCTTTGGGCCTCTCTGAGCCTTACTTTCTCCAGCCTAAAAATGGGTCCAATGATGGCTGCTCACCTGCCTCCCTGGGAGAAGCACTGGAGCCCCCAGGGCTGCTGCAACCCCTGCCCACACCACAGGACAGGTGTAGAGAGCGATACCTCACCCCAGACGGGTAGACAGGCCTCAGCTGAAGCAGCCACCCTCTGCTGCCTGCCCCCTCTAGGTACCCAGAGGGTCCAGGGCTGGTGCTGGGGAAGGGCAGGGCCCAGGGCAACCCATGGTGCTTCTCGCCTCTTAGGAAATAATCCCAAACCTCTGTGCTCAATGAACACACACGCCACTGCCCAGAGGGCAGGAGGCCAAGCTGTGTGGCCAGGAACCTTTTGCCAAGACTGTCACATTAGGTCGCCTCATGAAAAAGAACCGGACAGGGAACCAGATGGCCTGGCTACCATTCCCAGCCCTGCCGGTGGTGACCTATGTGGCTTTGGGAGAGTCGCATGACCTCCTGGAGCCTCAGTGTCTGCATCTGTGAAATGACCTTGGCCAGGCTGCCTGTTTTTCCAGCGTGGCTGCAAGGAGCTGCTTAGGCAGCAGCATCAGTGTGGTTTGGAGCCTGAAAGGGGGGTGTGAGGAAAACAGCAAACAGACCATGCTTTCCAGCACTAAATAAATCATCAGCTGCACCAATTTGCCCCCGGGGCTGCGAGGCCAACCCTGACCTGGATCAGCCAGTGTGGCCCAGAGCCGTCCCGGGACTCTCAGGGGAAAGGCTGGCCCCAGACTGCTTTCTTCTCCTGCCCACCCTGCAGGCCAAGGGAGATCAAATCCGCAGCCACAACGAACCTCATTGACAGCCGGGAAACCTGCCTGAAGGATGGGGTTACGGTATGAGGCTCCTGGCCACCTGTGCCAAGCAAGGGGTCAGGGTGACCTTCTTCCCTCCCCGTAGGCTCTGGTCCAGACCCTTCGGGGCCAAGCCAGGATGAAATCCGATTGCCCGCTGCATTCCCAGGCAGCAGCCTCCACCAGGATGTTAGCGGACAGCGGGACAAAGCCGTCACCAAGTCCGGAGCCACGCAGACTGCCCTCTGGGAGCACAGGCCCCCAGCCCATGGAGGTGGGATCCAGGGCTCATTCAGAGAAGACACCCTGGGAAAGTAACATTACTGGGCATTTACTGTGTGTCTGCATGGCACATGGTAAACACTTCACATGTGTTAGCTCACTCGGTCCTCAGCAGTGCCAGGATGTAGGTGCTGCTGTTATCTCTATTGGACAGAGGATAGAACTAAGGCACAGAGAGGTTATGTGGCATTCCCAGAGTACCCAGTTGGTAAGGGGCTGAGCCAGGATTTGAACTGCGGCATTATGACTCCAGAGCTCACTTCCTACAACAGCTGCCCAAGAGAGACGTCACACAAAGCCATGCCTTTGAATGAGGGCAGAAAACCCTGTATGTGAAGGAAAGAAGGCTCCAGGGGCCACAGCCACTGTTTTCAACTCTCTGAGGGCTAGCAGGGGCCAGGAGAGCTGACTTTCTCTCTGGCTCTAAAATGGAGAACCAGCAATAGTGAAGGACTCACAGGGAAACATTTGGTTCTATGCAGTCTCAACAGACAGATTTTAAACATTGTACAATAAACTTTAAAAAGTGCAAAAGGTTCCCCAGACCCAGCAGTAGCTGCTCTAGATATGTGCAAGGAGGCACTAGAATAAAATCAGAATTTACCCAAATGTCAGTGGTGGGGGGATGGTTAAATGACGATCCTTTCTAAAACCTACTGTGTGGCTAGATTTCCCAGATACAATGTTAAGTGAGAAAAGCAATTTGCAGAATAATCTGTACTACATGAAACCATTTGTTTAAACACATACACACACACCCACACACTCTGCAGTGGTACGTATTCCTATAAATTATGTGTGTTGACATATAGAAAAAGATCTAGAAGGATATATACTAGAGTCATGACCATGACAGTCAACGCTCCAGAGAAATCTGGAATGTTGTGATCATCAAGAAAGACTTTAGTTTATTTGTTAATATTTGATTTTTTTTCAAAGTAAAAATGTATTTGTATATTCCTTATATAATTGAAATGTAGTAAAACAAAAATTAAAAGATCCAATGAGCTGCCTTGGGAACCAGTGGGCTACCAGTCCCTGGAGGCATGCCAACAGCTCTCTTGGGGTGGAGGGAATTAGAGGAAATTTAAACACCACAAGGTATCTAAAGGGGTGAACACCCATTCTGAACCTCGGGAGCCCCAGCAGGGAAGTCAGAGCAAAAGCCTTTACTCTCTCTACTCGCATCAAGAGTTGCTATAAGGAAGCACAGAGCATCAGACCCTGCAGAAGGGAGAGGCTGGAGTTGTGGATCTTCAATGTGACTCAAGAAGAAATGGGTTGGGCAGTCAGAGGCGCACAAGCCAACTCTTCAGAGTCTACCTTGCCCCAGCCATCTTCCCCCAGTGACTCCTGGCCCATTCTGTTTCTGCAGCCCCCAGCCCTGGCCAATTGTGACCAGCTTCAGGGATGCTTCAGGGATAAAGGCTGTGTCCCTAAGAGGATCTGACACTGGTGTCAACAGTTCAGGAAGGAAGGAGGAGAAGAAAGCAGTTATAAATGCTCACAGAGCTAACTGCCACTGACGGTGACTAGTACTAAGCCCAGGCAAAGGCCCAGGCAGGCCCATAAGCCCCGACCCCAAACATAGACTGAGCCTGTGAGCCCTGGCCAGACCCTGACAATACAGCAAGCAGAGGCCAAGGAGGCCATTACCTCCAAGACAGCTATGTGGTCACGAGGAGAGTCAGGACATGTGGGTCTAAGTCCCTGATGTCCCACAAGACCTTGACAAAGTTGCTGAACCCTCTGGGGCCTCAACTCCTTCATCCGCAAACTGGGCGAACAGTAGCTACTCCCAAGCTTGCTGCACAGATGAAATGAGACCAGGCCCACTTAGCCTCTTTGTGAACCACAGGGACTCCCACAACATGTGAGGCCCACCCACGCCTCAGACACTGGGCTCTGAGAAAAGGGGGTGGCAACAATTGAGCTCCAGAAGCAGCCAGACTGCTGCCAGGCCAGGAGCCCAGGGCAGCCAGGAAGGAGGCCACTGCTGGGCCCAGGAGGCAGCAGGCGGAGGGTTCTCCAGGATGGAAGGGTCCAGGAAGAAATGAGAGTGAGTCTAAAAGGGCAGAGGAGACTTTCTTGGCCACTGTCCTGGGCCTGGGGCCAGGGTGCTCAGGGAGGGCAGGGGAGCCACTGGCAGGTGCCAGGGAGGAGTCTGGTTTCTAACCGAAGCCCGGGGAGCAGACCCCTGGGAGCTGGGCCAGTGGGTCCTTTCCTCACCGGTAGCTGAGGGAACTGGGACAGGGCAGGCCACAGAACTAGGAAGGGGGGGCTCAAGGAGAGGGAGGGCGGAGCACAGTCCCCGGGAGAAGCCAAGACAGGCTGCGATGAGCAAAGGGGCCAGACTGTGCCCCTGGACCCGGACACGGACAACCTTGGAGGATTTGATTAGGAGGTCTTGCTGAGAAGTGGCAGAAGCCATGCACAACAGGCTCAGGGTGTCTGTCCTTAGAGAAGGGGGGGCACCGAGAAGCAAGGAGGTCTCAGCAGGCCTGCACAGTGAAAGGATCAGCTTTGGGGAAGGGTGGAGCAGAAAGACGAAGCCTGAGTTAGGCTCAGCTGTCCCAGGGCCTGCTCCCCAGCTCCCGTCAGGGAGGCCCTCGCTCTATGGCAAGTCATGAGTTCAGTGTGGGACCAACCAAGTCGGGTACAGCAGACAGGGTGAGGACTCTAATCCTGAGCCTCCACACATGACCAAGACCACTGTTAAAACTAAGGCACCTCAACAACTCCTGCCTTCCTGGCCCTGAAGCCAGAGCCTGGACAGAGAAGAATGCCTGCCCAGCCCCGTTCTGTAGGACCCCAGGCAGCTGGACTCCCTGTTGAACAGCAGCCAGACAGCCCGGCCTGCTGCTGGGGCCCAGCCTGTCTGGGAGCTGCAGGGAGGGAGGCAGGGGCTGGGCCACCCTGAACTGGGGCCCCAGAGGAGGGTGGAGGTGGGGCAGGCAGGAGAGGCGCTTCCAACAGTTCCTTCCCAGGCAGGGCCTCCGTGGGCTTGTGGCCACATGCAGGCCCAGGCACACCTTGGTCTGTTCCCAGCAGCCCTGGGACAGGGCAGGTCAGTTACTCTAGGGACAGGAGGCTGTGACAGAGTTGAAGACCAGCGACTCCCTGACACTGCACTGTCTGCTTTGAACTGGGCTGGGTTGGGAATGACTTTAACTTTTCCCTCGCTACCTCAACCAGATGTTTGCTCCTCAGGCCACAGAGGCAGGTCTCAGCCCTGGCCCATCAGAGGATCCATGCAGGAAGCCACTTCAGCCTGCTGCCCACTGCTCACCTCCTGCACAGACCCCATGCCATCAGAGACCAGGTACCCAGGGCCTGGGCAATGGCCCAACCTCAGCTCAAACTTCAGCCCTCCCTTCTGACAGCTTTCCCTGAACACGGCTCTGGACTGTACCCCAAACTGTACCCAGCACCCATTTGACAGCCCACCAGTCCACGTTCCTGCAGCTCTAGTAGGGCAGGCAGTGTGGACAAGAGAGTTCTGCCATGGCCAGCCCATGACCCCAGGTGTGACCCCACCAACCAGGCCAGCCTGGAAAGGCCATGCTGCTCACACCCGAGGGCTGCCTGCCCATCAGCCAGGACCGACTCAGGGGACAAAGAGAGGCCTGTGCATCAGCAACCTACTCCACAAGACACAATCGAGGAACAGCCTTCTGGGAGGTTGGCGGTGGAAAGGAAGCATACACCTGGATGGCCTCTTTGGTCCTCTAAGGCGTAGGTCCCCAACCCCTGGACCACGGATGGGTACTGATCCATAACCTGTTAGGAACCAGGTTGCAGAGCAGGAGACGAGTGGCAGGCGAGCTAGCAAGCATTAACGCCTGAGCTCTGCCTCCTGTCAGATCACAGGCAGCACTAGATTATCATAGGACGCGAACCCTACCGTGAACTGCGCATGCGAGGGCTCTAGGAGTGTGCTCCTTTGAGAATTGAACGAATGCCTGATGATCCGAGGTGGAACAGTTGATGATCTGAAGTGGAATAGTTTCATCCCCAAACCATCCTCCCCGACCCCGTCCATGGAAAAATTGTCCTTCATGAAATGGTCCCTTGTGCCCCAAAGGTTGGAGACCACTGCTCTAAGCCACCTACTCAGCCATGGCCACCTCAAGTCCACTGCCACCTGGACAGAGTTTCTGTGGCGCAAAGCTAACTACTTCTCTCCCCTGCTTACAAACCACCGACAGCTCCCCCGTGCCTCCAGGGCAAAGTCTCAATTCCTTCACACAGCATTCAAGGCCCTCCCGGCCTGGCCCTCACCTGCCTCTCCCCAGCCAACTCCACTGCTTCTCTAAACACCCATGACCGCTTGCCATTCCTGAACCATGGGGTCCTCCTGTTCCTGCCTTTGCACATACTGTTCCCAGTGCCTAAAATGCCCTTCCCTCTCCCTCCGCCTGGCAAACCCCCGCTCCTCCCTCAAGGTCCAGCTCATCGTCACCTCCTCTGGGAGGCCTAACCAGATCCTCCCTCTCCACCTCCAGGGCGAAATGACTTGCTCTCCTCTGCCCCATATCCATGAGCAAGCCAGGCGCATCCTACCTTCAATCCCAAGACCCAGGCAAGAGCTGCTCAAGAAATTTGAGGTGAAGTGACTTCTTTACTTTTTAAGTTTTCCAATCTGATGCCAACAGATATTTTTGTGAAATAAAATTAAAAATGATGTGGCAATGTCAAGTTGCCAAACAAGTTTCTCAAGGCTTTCTCTCAAAGTCTGCATGTCTCTCACCATACACCCATCCAGCACAGCTCAGGATGGGCAGAGGTCTGCGGACCACGGTCTCCATTGCCTGGCAGAGCCACTGTGCTCCCAGTGTTCCAAGAGGAACCTGGTGCAGGGCCCATCAAGAGTCAGGTGTGTACGTCTGGACCCCAGAGCACAAGGGGCCGCTCCATGAACATCTGCTGACCCAGACAATGGATGGGAAGGTTTGAAAATGCTGTAACATGGCCGGTCCTTATGCTAGGCATCCCCATTCTTCAAGTGGCCGCATAAAGGCACAGAGAGGGTGACCTGCCTGAGCCACAGTGGCTCATATGCTGTACTTTCTTTACACTGCCCATCATCTCAGGGGAAGGAACTTGGAATCTGTAAGTTAGCCATCCAAACTCCTGCCCAGCATGGATGGCTGACCTTATCTCCCACTGCAGTCCCAGCAAGCCAGTCCCATGCTGTGATAAAGAGCTCAGACTCTGGAATCAGACAGACCTAGGTTCATATCCTGGCTCAGCCTTTCATAGCTGTGTGACCTTAGGTGAGTCACCTCACTTCTCTGGGCCTCAATGTTACCTCTGTAAACTGCACCTAATAACACTAGCATCATGGGACAGCTATGAGGGTTGAATGGAACATGCCCGTCCACACTCATTTGGGCTCGGCTGTCGCTGATGTTTATAAAAGGCCCAGGGTCTGGCAGCCAGACACTCTGCCCTGGATCCTCCTTTTCTGCTTGCTCTTCTGGAGACCCAATATCTCCTCTCTGGGGTCAAGAGAGACTGCCGGTTTCCCTGGCTGCTAAGCTTGCTGATTTCCCTTGAGGACTTCACCTCCCTGCCCTCTGCCTCCCTCAGGCTAAGGGGCTTTTCCTTCCTCCCTCTCCACCCCTCCTTGAGGCACCCCTGCACCCCCTCTCCAAATGCAAACCCCCTCTGGCTGGTCTTTCTTTCTCTTGGAACACAGCCGGCCTAAAGAGGGGCACCCCTGGCCCCTGGGAAAATGACACTCTGTTTGGGTTGGAACAGTAAAGGGCTGTGAGGTCAGGGACAAGCCCCAGCCAACCACCTCCCGGCAACCCCCAGAGCCCGCCCTCTCTGTACCTTGGGCCATGACGGTGCTGAGTCCGCCCTGGCTGGGTCCCAGTTGGCTGCTCCCAAGAGAAGCTCACTTCCTTCTGGGGCTGAGGGTCTGGTGGGCTCCTCCCCATGCCCCTTGGCCATCGTGGAGCCTCCCAAGCCGGCCATCTCCATCCCCTGGCATCGGGCAGCCAGATCCTTTCCTGGCCCTCACCCCTTTCCCTTGGGGAAAGTGAGAGATAGTGGGAGAAGCCACTCCGGGAAAGCTGACATTGTGGGGGCGGTTCCATATTTACTTGCTCAGTGACGTCCATACCAGCCCAGCTCAGTGCCCTAGTCAAAGTGATCCTCCTGCCTGCTGGGCCCACTCTCGCCCTCAACTCTGACACAAGCCTGGGGGAAGGCGCCCACCGGCCACTACCCCCCTTTCTACCCCAAGCTCCTTCCAGCCACACTCCCTGCAGTAGCTGGACAATCTCTCTGTTTGGGAAGCAGGGTACAGAGGCTACAACAACACTCTCTGGGGTCCCCATTCTGCTCTGATTCCAGAAGGACTGGGGTGCAGAGGAAGGGGTGCTAGATTTGGGGTTAGAATGTTAGCTTGGTTACTTCCTAAACTGTATGAGCTCTAAGTCACTTCCCCTCTCTGAGCCTCAGTTTTCTGAGCTATAAAATGGGGGTTTTAAGAGCCAACCTGCCTGGGCTAGTGATCAGGGATCGGGAGAAGGTGCAGTTGGGAGGAGGAGAGTTCTGGTTGCTCTTATGGATCGGATGAGGTAGGGGAGACAGGACTGGAAGGGAAAGCTCTAGAAGGCACTGAAGGCTCCAGAGGCCTGGGGTGCCTCACTTTGCAAGCAGGGACCCCCCTACCACTAGCACCAACCCCTGATCTAAGGCTGCTGCTTGGGAGCAGGATGGGCAGCAGCTATCTGCCCCCACCCCTACTCCACTTCCCGTACCCAGTATCATTTCAGCGGAGGCTCCGGGTCTGTTTGAATGTGTCCGCAACTTCTGACCTGTGAGGTTCCTGGGATGGGGAGAAGGTCTGAAACCAACACTCTATAAATCAAATCCTACTTTTATTGATTTATTATTTTTTGAGACAGGGTCTCACTCTGTCTCCCAGGCAGGAGTACAGTGGTGCGATCTCAGCTCATCACAGCCTCGATCTCCCAGGGTCCAGTGATCTTCCCGCCTCAGCCTCCCAAGTTGCTGGGACTACAGGCACACATCACCAAGCCCAGGTAATTTTGTTCATTTTTTGTAAATACAGGGTCTCACTATGTTGCCCAGGCTGGTCTCAAACTCCTGGACTCAAGCGATCCTCCCACCTCAGCCTCCCAAAGTGCTGGGATTATAGGCATGAGCCACTGTGCCCAGCCCAAATCCTATTTTTAAATCACCCAAGAAACCTTCTGGGAATTATTATGTAATACAAATAGGCAACCTCAAAGACTTCCTTTATCAATGTGGTTTTCTTAAGAAGATTGGAAAAATGAGATGATAGCTGTGTGATCTTCAGTTGGTCATGTAACCTCTCTGAGCCCCAAGGTTCCTCATCCATATGTGGATGCGGGAGTAACCTCACGGGGCTGTTGTCAGTGTCCTGGTGCTCCATACATGTTCCTTCTAGGTGTTTACTGCCCCAGAGATAACAGCACCTTAAACTCAGTCCTGCAAACACAGAGGAAAAAATCTTCCACAGAATGTAGGGCAGGACTGATATTACTGAGTCCATTTACAGAAAGGAAACTGAGGCGCAGTTAAATATTTGGCCTTGAACACAAGACAGTGGGGCACCATGAGTGTCTGAGGCTGTGGCCAGATCACCTTTAAGTGCAGATATGCTCATTGTCTTGTATTCAGGCACTGCTGTCCCATCGCCAGCAAGAGGCATGAGAGGACCCCCATGCCTCCCCCATGTCCACTGGCCTCACACCCAGGAGATGGCCCAAGACTGGCCCTAAGCCATTCACTGGTGCTCCGTCTTTCTCCGGAGCTGTCCATGCAGCCCTTGGAGGCCAGTAGTGGCATTGCCCCCGTTCTGCAGATGAGAAAATGGGTAACTCCAAGAGGGACAGCCTCCTGCTCAGATCTCACCGCTATCTGGTGCCAGAAGCAGGACTGAACCTGGGGCCCACGCCCTCTCCAGGGAACAGTGTGGACCCCACCAGCTGGCTCCCTGGCTCCTTCTCAGTTCCCTTTCCCTGCCAAGGGACCAGCCTAAGGCACTTTGCTGGATTTTATCTGCGGGTCCCCTCGCTACTCAGAAGCAGAAGTCAGGCACACTCGGGGAAACAACTGGCCTCCAGAACCAAGCCCCAACCCATCTGCTCTGACCTTCGCTGTAGAGGGCCAAATTCCCCTACTTTTCCCTGGGAATGGTCACTCTCAGCTCTCACCTTCATCCTCTCCTACCTCAATTACTACGAAAGCCTCTTATTTGGCCTCCCTGCCTCCAGCCTTATGCCCAAGCCACTGCTGTTTTTCGGAACATGGATCTGATCACCATGTCAGCTTCCTCCTCATAAAACCCTCTGAGGCTCCCTGTGGCCCAACAGACAGATTGTAAACTCCTCAGCACAGCAGTCAGGACCTGTTACAGCCTAGTCAAGGCCAAGTATCCGGGTTAGGCCGGAGGGCTCAGGAATCAGGTGCCCTGAGTTTGAATTTCATCACCAACTGTGAAACTGTGGGCAAGTGATGCTACCTCTCTGAGTCTCAGTTTCCTAAACTGTAGAATGGGGAAATAACAATACCATGATCAGGGCATCGCTGTGAAGATTTAAAAAGACAAAGCAGATAAAGCACTTTGAACACAGTAAGTGCTCAATTAATTCACTCATTCCACAAGTATTTGAGGCTCTAGTTACCATATGGCATATACTATTCATACAGCAGTGAACAAAAGTAACAAAAAACCCAGCTCTCTGGGAACTTGCATTAAAATGATGGGAGGCAGACAGAAAACAAAATAAAAAAGTAAAACATGGGGCATGGGATAAGTGCTATGCACTAAAAAGAAAAAAGCAGGAAGCAGAGAGAGGGTGTTGGGGTGGGTTGCAATTTTAAACAAGAAAGTACCCATGGCCAGGCCCGGTAGTTCATACCTGTAATCCCAACACTTTGGGAGACTGAGGCAGGTGGATCACTTGAGGTCGGGAGTTCAAGACCAGCCTGGCCAACTGGTGAGACCCCAGTCTCTACTGAAAATACAAAAAATAGCCAAGTGTGGTGGTATGTGCCTGTAGTCCCAGCTACTCGGGGGCTGAGGCAGGAGAATCACTTGAACCCAGGAGGCGGAGGTTGCAATGAGCTGAGATCATGCAACTGCATTCTAGCTTGGGTGACAGAGTAAGACCCTGTCTCAAATAAATAAATAAATAAATGTGCCCATGAGAAGGTAGTATTTGAGCAGAAGTCCTGGGGGAGGCAAGGGGGCATGCCATGGAGATAACTGGGGTAAGAGTGATCTAGGGAGAGGATGCAACCAATGCCGAGGACCAGGATTAGTGTTACTCATACTATTATTGTTATTTTCTTTCCAGCCTCATCCACCTCCATCTCCTCCCCTTACACTTACTCTCTACCCGAATGAACTACTCAAGCCTCCCCAGTCCCTTACATGCATCCATGCTTCTGGACAAGCCATGCCCTGGGCCTGAAGCCTCTCCCCTCCTGTGCTATCCAAATCCTACTCACTCTCCAAAGGCCAACCTAAAGGCCTCCTCCTCAGCGAAGCTTTCCCTGACTTATAGTCAGTGGTTGTCTCCTTTGCGTCCTTCTGCTGTAAGCTGCAACTGCCTGGTTATTTGCCTATCTCCCAGGCTGATCTGTGAGCTCTGGAAGGGCAAGGACTAACTTGCACGTGGTACCCCCTAGGCCCAGCACAGTGCCTGGCACAGCAATGGCATACATGTCCTGACCACCTGGTCAATGAATGAAGGACCGAATGGTACCCAGATGGGGGTCCAGGCCTCCCCACTTACAGAGCCACAGTCTGGGGACACCACCAGCAATGTGGCTGCATTAAGTGAACATTGGCCTTTTCAACACAGATACAAATCTGCAATAGGAAACAGGCTTTTTAGAAAACAACAGCACAATTTTCTTTTTTCTTTCTGCACGGCTTGTTTTTCCAGCACAGCTCCAGGGTCAGCTGTCGGGAAGCCCCTCCCAGGCCTCACTCTGAGAACATGGGGCTCTGTGGCCTCCAAGGAGTCTCAGCCTCCAGCAGGAGGTAGAGATGCACCAGGCAGTTTTAGACCAGCCCTGGCACCAGGGCCACCAGTCACCTCTGAGCCAAGAACCCCATGCTCAAACCCCGATGTTAGGTAGGTGTTACCCCACTGGAGGCCCGCTCTCCCATGACAGCTTTATAACACCACATGATGCTTCCAAATGGGTTTGGGGTTCTCTGCCCTCACTCCAAGAAGACATACCAAGGAGATGGCCTCAGACTGCCAGGGTTCTAATCCTGGCCACACCATTAACCCTGGGTCCCTTACCTCATCTTTTGTAGCCATAGTCTCTCAATCTGTGAAACAGAAATAATATCTACCTTGTGGAGCTGTTTTCAGTGCAGGGTATGTGACATGCTTAGAACCACAGATAGCACACAATAAGCCCTCAAAAAACATTAGCTGCCATCATCAACATCTTCTTCTTCCTCTTCATCTTCCCCAGATCTCCTGTTCTGCAGCCCCTTCACTGAATCATATACTATCCAGATGAGCAGGGACCTCGAGTCAATGTTGAATCTCATCCTCTTGCTTTCCTGGAATATCCTATGCTACATCCCTGGCACACAGTCCCCCTGGGCCATGGACACCAGTAAGGATGGGGAACGTACCATCTGTACTCTACAAGCCAGTCATTTTGCCAGCTATGCCTAACACCTCCTTCCAGCTGGACCCACCAGCCCGCAGCTCAGGGAAGTGGTGTTCCCTCATCCTGTCCCCAGCCCTCAGCACACAGTGGGCCTTCTATCTATGCTTAAGGATTCAACAGAAGGTGTTTGGTGAGCAACTCTCAAGTGCAAACCCAACAGCACACTCAAAGCAACCCTGGTAGAGTCTGATGGAAGAGCAAGGCTGCAACCAAATCATTACACCAATAAGTGGGAAATTGCTATGGATGTGAGTGCTCCAAAGGAGAGGTAGGTGGGCCAAGAAAGCTATAAAGAAGGGAATTCAGCCTAATCAGGGAGGGCTTCCCTGAAGAGGGGATGTGAAGATGGAGGAGGAAGGATGAGGAGGCCTCATCAGGAGAGGGGGTGGAATGCAAGGTCAGGGCAGAAGGAACAGCATGAGGAAGGCCCATGTGAGGCAGAACATGACAAATGGGAGGGACAAAAGATGGTGTCCCTGCAGAGTCTGGAGGGCAGCTGGATTTCTGTCATTCTCCTCACAGCAGGGGGAGTCCCTGAAGGTCTTTCAGGCAGGGGTTTATAAGCTCAGATATGCATGTCGAAAAGATCACCCTAGCTGCTTTCCAAGTCAGGGTCCTCTCTCTGTGCATTAACTGCACATGCACTACTTGTCTCTCTGCCTAAAATGCCTCTCTAGTCCCTGCATCGGTCAGCACAGGCTAAGTTATGCTGCAGTAACAAACAGCCCCAACAGCTCAGCAGTTTAAAACAGCAAAGGTTTAGTTTTCACTCATGTTGCATGTCCATCATGGGTCACCAAGGGCTTCACGCACGGAGTGACACAGGGACTCAGGCTGGCAGCAGCCACCACCATCCCGCCTTACTACCAGTTGCCATGCCACAGGGAAAGTGCACTGTGGAGGGTCTCACACCAGCAATTAAATGCTGTGGCCCAGAAGTGACGTGAATCACTGTCATTTATAATTCACCAGCCAGTCATGGGGCCCCCACCCAAGCGCAGGTAGAGCTCCAGTCAACCTACTGTGGAAATGGAAGAACCGGAAATAGTAAGAGGAAAGCACTAAGGACCACCAGACACTCCCATCCCACTGTGCCCTTTGCTAACCTTAATTTATTCATTAGATGACAACAGCTCAAGGATTTGAGGAGGAAAGGCCAGCCTATGTAGGAGAGATCGGGGTATGGAGTTCAGAGAGATCTAGGAGAGGATAGAAGATGAGGTCAAGGGCAGGGGCCAGATCATTCGGTAGCTTTTAGGTCACTACACCAATTTGGTTCT
This sequence comes from Homo sapiens, assembly GCF_000001405.40. NCBI lineage: Eukaryota > Metazoa > Chordata > Mammalia > Primates > Hominidae > Homo > Homo sapiens. The sequence continues at coordinate 45,149,284 of NC_000011.10, read as the reverse complement.
TTATCCCCAACACACTGGAAAGACTTCTAGGTGTTTAAAGCAGGAAATGGGATGCCTGATATGATCCTATTTGGAATGGATCACTCTGACTGCCATGAGGGGGTGACTGCAGGTAGACATTAGGAGGCTCTTGCTGTTGTCCTGGGGAGAGACAGCGATGGCTTGACTACAACACTGGGGAAGAGGGGATGGAGAGAAGTGGATGGGTTCATTTGAGAGGATAAAGTTATCTGGGTCTGGAGATGGAGTAGATTGGGGTGACAGAGACAGAGACACCAAGGCTTCTGCCTTAAAGAGTAGTGGGACAGTGTGCTCTTGGCCAAGATCAGAGCCCTAGAAGAGGTTTAGAGAGGAAGATTATGGACACCTTTGGCCACTGTGGGTTTGTCATGCCTATGAGACAGCCAAGAGAGCAGGCCAAGAAGGCAGCTGAATCCACAGGCAGGACTCCCGACTCCTACCCCAGTGTTCTTTACTTTATACTTGCCAACAACCTGGAACCAGGGAAACTCCCTGTAAGTCCAGGAGAGGGCAGATCCAAATAGGAGAAATCCTACTTGACACCAAGGAGAAGAAATTGATGGAACACATCAACCCAAGAAGTCTAGACGACAGAACTGTAACTCAGGTCAAATGAGTCCATAAGTGCAGAGGTGATGGCTATCATGACCAATCTAGGACTCCTAGGACAACTGAGGGGAGTCCCTCATCTTTGTGAACGTCACCAGGGAAGGAAACGAGACCCTGCCACCAGCTGTTCCTTGGGGCCCTGTCAGTTTGAGACTGGATGGACCACGGTGGGGTCTGTGGGGGCAATTCTGATATTCCCAGGTCAGTACCTTCTGCCGTGATTCTGGGGGAGAACACTTCTTAAACAGTATGCCAGGCCCTGGAACAGGCATTTCATCTTTGCTATCTCATTTAATTTCACAACTTCCTTGCCGGGCAGGTTTTGTTGGACTCAGGGATGGAGACACAAGGCTCAGAGAGGCCAAAGACAACGATGTGAAGTCCAAAGTCAGACAGTGACTATGAGGAGGAGGTAGAATTCAAAGAGAGAAAGCCTTTCCATTAAACTGAATACAGCAAGAGGTCTGGGCTCTATTCCCAGAAGGGAAGGTTTCTACACGTGCCCTATAGAACTCTGCTTGTCCACCTTTCAGAGAGTCGGCGGGCAAAGACTGTGCCCTGCTCCCCAACTACGACCCTACACCTCCAACAATGACCCTAGGAAAGCCCGAACCTTCCTCCCTCCCAAGAGGAAATGTGGGCAAGGACCAGCTTGGTTGCTACAGGCATCATGCTCCACAGAAAATTCTTCTGTCCCCAAACCCCCAAAGTTTATAGGGTTTCCAGGTACCAAGAGCAATCTCTCATCATTGCCTCCTGGCCCCACGCACAAAGGGCTGGGTGTGTTTCCTTACAGCCACTCTAAATTATACAGCACAGCCTTTCTCCACACGAAGCAAACGTCTAGGAAAGAGGAGACGTTTCACATTTTTCTCCCCTAAATCCCAGCCCAGCCTGGGGGGTTCTAAGCCCCCATCTCCCAACTGGGCTCTAGACACACACCAGCAATTTTTCACCAGCATCGCCCAAGACATTGGTATTCTCTTTGCAGCGACTCGCCTAGAGCACGCTGGCCTTGACCGGAGAGAGGTCATTGGCCGCTAAGTTTCTGCAGTTTCTGCATAGGAGAGTACCTTGGGGACTGCGAGTGGGGGGTGGAGGCTACGCTCCGGAGAGGTTTCCCGAAGAGTCTACACCGCAACTGACACTTAAAACGCATTCCAGAAATGCCCTCCGGCTCGGCCACGCTTCGCGGGCAATCGCGAACCGCGATGGAGAAGGCTTCGTCGCATCCCAAAGGACGCCTCCCACCTTCATCCCCGAGCACCCCGCAGCAGCCCCCGGCGCGGGGCCGAGGGCGTCCGCGAGAACTAGGCCGGCGGCCGCGGCGAGCCCTCTGGCGTCGGCGTCCGCGCCCCGCCCCGTCCGTGTCACCGCGTTCTCATTCCGAGCGCTCGGCCCGGGCCGCCACTCCCATTGGTCGGCGGCCACGTCCGTCAGCGGGCGCGCCGCTTGCGGAGAGAAAAGGCTACATTGTAACAAGGCGAGGAGCGAGCGAGCTGGGAGGAAGGAGGCGGAGGGCGGCCCCCGGCTCCCGCGGCGGCGGCAGCTACCTGCCGAGGGTTCACCCACCTCGCGGCCACGGCGGGCCGCCCCCCACCCCGCGCCGGCGCCGTCCGGACCCCCGCCCCGCGCCCGCGCCGAGACCCCCGGCCGCCCCCGCCCCCAGCCGCCGCTCCCGGCCCCCGCACCGGCGGCCCCCGCGCTCGCTGGCAAACTGCCGAGCGCTCTCCGAAGCCATTTTCAATGGCCACATTGGCTACCGGGGCTGACTCACCTTCCCGGGAATGCTGCGGCAGCCGCGGGGCCCGGGCGGCGAGAGCGGCCCGGCGGGCGGCTCGGCGGAGGCGGCGCGGCCTCGGCTGGCGGCCCCCGCGGAGGGAGCGGCCGCGCTGCGGGCGCGCTGGTCCCCGGCGAGGCAAAGTTTCAGCGCCAGCCTCGGCGCGGCGGCGGCGGCGACTCGCTGCTGCTCTCCTCCCCTGCTTTGACCACCATCTTATTAGTACAGGAAATGACATGGAAAACGGAAGAAAGCGGCGTTTGGGGCAGACGCGGACCCCCCAATTCAGGGGCCGGAGCCGGGACTCACCAGCCGCGTCCCGACCCGGCCCCGGAGAAAACTCCCGGGGCCCCTTAGGCCCGCGCCCTGCCCGGAGGGGGGAACCCGGCTCTCCAAACCCAAAGGGAGAGGGAGCGTTTTATAATCCAGCCCGTGGAGAAATCGAGAAAAAAATAGATGAAAAAAAGAAAAGGTTAAGAGAGAACTTTCGAACTGGGATACTTTTTTGGGGTCAGAAGTAAAAGTTCTCAAATTTTAATAAAGTCATTGTGAGGGGGGCTCCCTGGCTCTCCCGGTCGCGTGGCTGTCCATTTGGAACCAAATAGTCGGGGGGAGTCGACGCGTTTGGATTTTTAACCCTTTCAGGGCTCCGCGGCTGGCCCCCTCCCGGTCCCATTTAACCCTTTGAATGCTCAGCAGTTTGGAGATACAAACTGAAGTTGCGAGACGCAGGCGTCCCGCGAAGGCTGAGGGTGAGGGGCTTGGGGTTCGTTAAAAATATTAACTCTTTATGTGGGGTTGCGGTTTTGTAGTCACGAATCGCACATGTTCTTCAAGTCAAAATATGTTACAGAGGGAGAGAGATTCTGAGAACTGGAGGGGCTGGTCCCTGGCTGGCTTGGAAAAGATGTTTAAGCGGCATTCACTTGCTCGATTCCTCAGTTTCTCCATCTGTGAAATGGGATTCGACATCACAGAGAGGGGGTGAAGAGGGAAAGACTGGGCCGGGGGTGGAATTGTCACAGAGTGCTTGAGTGCTTGACATGCTTTCCTGAGCGCCTGGAAAACTGACAGGTTGCGATGGGGCTGGAAGCCTTGGAGGAGGGCAAGGGACACTGCAGGGTGGCGTAACCAGGACAACCATTCCCCAATCAACCCCTTTCTCGTGGCGTCCTCTACAAGTCCTGTGGCCCAATGGCGACGTCTCTCCTACCAAGGGAGGATGCTCTGTGCAAGCTCCAAAATTGGGGCAGTAAACCCCAGTTGGTGATTCCCAGGAAGGCACCTGGGCGAGGCGCTGTCCAGTGCTTTCCCCAAACATCCACGAAGCCCTGCAAGAGTTGCCCAGACGGCCCCCAGAGGGTACTACCCCAGGGAAGCCTCCTCCCAAGGCGGAAGGAGTTCCGTGTCAACCTTGCTGCTGGCGATCCGCAGATGGGCGTTCATGGTCAGATGGGCGTTCATGGTCAGATGGGGGTGCTCATGGCTTTTGGAATCTGGATGTGGAGCTGGAGGCGGTGGGGGTGATGAGGGAGGGAGCACTGTGGGTACCACATCATTTGTTTCCCTTGACTCTGGCGTCACAAACACAGCTTCTTGGAATCTCATGCCTGTTACTGGCTGTGTGATCTGGAGCAACTGGCTTCACCTCTCTGAGCCTTTATTTCCCACATCTGCAAAGTGGTGCACAGTAATACCCACGTTCCTGGCTCTGTGTAAGGAGCCATGAGAGTGTATTTAAAGGGCCCAGCACCCAGCTGCTCTCAGTAGATGCTCAAGAGACAGTAACAACCCTATCGTTATATGAGGTTCAATGCAACTGTAAGTTTCCTGAGTATTTCTCTGCTTGGTGCCAGGCAGAGTGTCGGGTACTGGGGGACGGGGGTTGGGGGAGGGGTTCCACGATTAGAATGACAAGATCCTTCAGGCAGGTCTTGGTCTGCCCAAGAGATGAAGGCACTCGCAGATAACTTCAATTAATTCAGAACTGAATGCACCTCCAGTTGCACTGAGCATGGTTTTGGATGCCAAGTGCCCGGCCGAGAAAAGAGCACTGAGGAAGGAGCCATTTGTTGTTCCTTTTGAGGAGAAAGATTCACCAAGGAAGTAATGTCAGAGGTAGGCCTGGAATTTCCACCAATGGTAGGATGGCATTGCCAGGAAGGCAAAGAGCAGAAGCAAAGACCTCGAGGCGTCAACGTACCCAGGGTGTTGGACATGTGTCCTGCAGTGACTGGGGTAGAGGGTGAGGCAGAGATATCGGAGATGAGGGCAAAAAGAGAAGTAGATAAAGGAGGGGAGTGGTCCCATCCTCCAGAGAGCAAAAAGATCTTTAAGAGAATGAGCTGGCAAGTTGGAAGTGAGGTAAGGAGGGAATTTCTTGTGGCATTGGTTTTCTATTTAAATCTCCCCATCCATTTCTATCCTGGCTTCCTTTGCCAGGAAGCCGTAGGTCCTCAGCTGCATCTGTAGGGTGAGACTGGGTCCTCAGGCATTGCAGGCTGGGGAGTCAGCGCTTCAGGCGTCACACTGGGACTTGTCCAGGGGCTGTGGGGAGCAAAGAGATGCGGTGTGATCCAGAGACCCAGGTCTGAGTCCCAACCTGTCGCCTGAGGCATTTGACTTGTCCTCTTTGGGGGCCAGTGTTTTCCTGCATGGCATGAAGAGTTGGGACCAGGGGTTCTATATTTTGCCCTCAAGAAACTGCCCCTGTAGTTACATAGTCAAGGCCAAGGCACAGGAAGGAATCTGAAACAAGGCTGGGGGAATTGTTGGAAACATCTCAGAAGGGAAGCCCTAGGCAGTTGGAGGGTTGACACATGTGCTCTGGGTCAATGTGGGCAGAAAGTGGGCAGAAAGTGGTCCCAGACCCTGAGTGTGATCACCACGGACAAGCAGTCTAGACAAAGCACGTCTTGTGAGGCAGTGCCTCAGTTTCCCTCTGTGGGCTGAGTTGGGCCTGAAAGTCAGAAGTAGGGATGAGATAAGAGCTCCACTGGCATTTCCTGAGAACTTAAGGGAAGGGGAAGGAGAACAGGATTGAAGCGAATAGGGCATATGGTACACACCTTCTGGGTTATTACCATCTATACTCAATAATCTCAATAATCCAAGAAGGATATCATCATCACTATTTTTTGCAGGCAGAGAAACCATGTTCAGAGAGGTTAAGAGACTTGCCCAAGGTCACACAGCTAGTTTGAGGCAGGGTGAGATTCAAACATAGGTCTGCCTGACTCCATTGCTCAGTGTCATCTGCTGTTAGTCATTTCTGGTTCATTGTCCTTTTCCATAATGCAGCTTTTCAGCCTAATGGGTGGTGAAATATTTCCTTAATTTCTCCCTTGAGCGTATCTCACAAAAAGGAGCTGACCAGAACTTTGTGATTCAAGGCCAGGTACATTATGACCTCTTCTTGCAAAAAATGTACTAACAATCCCAGTCACCTCCAGGTCCCTGTGAAGGCTACTGAGATACTCTAAATGAATAGAGTTCACCTCTTTAGAAGGAAAAGTCCATCTGAGGCCTTCCCTCCACCCCCTACTAGTAATAATGACACCAAGCAAAATACTTCCTGTTAGCTCCAAGGTAAATGCCCCCTGGATCCTAGAAGGAAGAGTCACTGGGGATTCACTTCCACATTTGTTGTAAAACAAGGACATTGTTTATTGCACATATGACCTTTCCTGAAAGCACAAGGGCAAAATTTCAATAAGGATTTAGTACCTGGAAAAAACTAAGACTGAAACACACTGCATCTTCCCCAAGGAACTGGCAAGCATCTTCCTTGCTAATAAGAAGAGCTCCGTAACTGATCAGCCTTCCCTTCTTGCACGGGTTGCCAGGAAGCTCAGAGCCAAATTCCACCTTCACTTCTAACAGCTTTGGCAGTTGCATCCTTATTACTGCTTTACTGCTTCTAATCCTACTGGCTCAGCCTTGCTTTCTCTGCCTTTTATTAAAGATGTTCCCCTTTTTAATGGTAAGAGATAAATGCTTTAAATAAATCCACATTTGGAAGAGCTGCTGAAGGGACCTGGATTCCACAGGCCTCATGTTAAGCCAGGCACAGTTCTGTTCTGATCTTGTCCATTCACCCAACAGCTGAGGGATCCGTCTCTTGGAAGGAAGGAGGGACTGGCTTAAGCCCAAGGAATTGCTCATCCAGCTGCTGACAGTGGCTAAGATCAAAATGCCTTGGGTCAGATCATCATCGCCATTTTTTGCTCTACTGACAAGCAGCTTGCCTTGCTCCTACCAGCTCCCTGGGAGGCCCAAACCACTATCCCCTACCTGTGCTCCAGAAAATCTCCCCCATTAGTCCCTCCTGTTGAGGCATGGAAAGGTGGAGAGGTATGGGAATAGTGGCGTGGGAGTGAGGGGCATCCCTAGATCATGAGGACAGGGAAGGCATCTCTGAGGAGGTGGCATTTCAGTGGGGGTCTTGCTAGATACAAAGGAGCCAGCTCCACCAAGAGTTGAGTAGCAGAATTCCTGGGAAGGGGACACAGCCAGTGCAAAGGCCCTGAGCAGGATGGAATTGGCTTGTTCTATGAAGTGGCAGAAGGCTAGTGTGCCCAGGGTGCAGTGTGGCAAGAAGGACAAGAAGCAGATGTGGGGAGAAGTGGGTGGGATCTCTGCCAGGGTTTTCCAGTTTGGCTTTCTTTGAAGTGCAGTGGAAGCCACTGGTAATTTTAAGCTGGGGAGACCCGGAACTTGATTTGTTTTCATGAGATCACCTTGGTTGCCATCTGGATGATAAACATTTACTGAGTCCCAGTGAGTTTGTAGGCATGCTCATAAACCATCTCATTGAATTATCCCTGAATTCTAGATGAGATTGAAGCAAACGTGTGTCTTTTTTTCTGGCTTCCCAGCATCTGATTCCCCTTCCAGTGGCTGGAGAACATCCCACCTTCTGAGCCTTGGGGAGAAGCAGAGTGTGCCCTTTCCCTGCCCACTGGAGAAGCTGAAACAACAAAAACTCCCTTCCCTGGCCTCCCTGCAGGTAAGGCACTGGTCCATGACCCAGGCTGTCAATCAGATGCATCTTCCTGACTTTGAATTGGGAGCTAGAGATAATAGAAGCATGGATCATGGACAGTCCTTTCAGGCATGGGTGGGGTGCAGTGCAGTCCGTTCTCAGGAGCAGTAATGTCAGTGGCTGGATCCAACAGAGCTTTGGCCTAGGGCTGGTGGTGCAGGCTTTGGCATCTGTTGGTCAGGTTGGGGAGCAATGTCTTTACCACATCAGGTCTCTAGCATGATCTTGGCTGTGGCTCTGGCTGTGTGCACCCCACACCTGTTTCTCCAGCCTTCCAGAGGATCATGAGCTACCTGAAATCCTTTCACTGTGTTCCTTTTCAATTTACAAGTTGTCTATTGCTGCATAACCAATTGCCTGAAACTTAGCAGCTGAAGACAGTAAACATTTATTATCACACAGTTTCTGACAGGCCAGGAAAGCCACAGCCCTTTATAAACTAATTTCAGAAGTGACATGACATCACTGCTGCCATATTCTGTGGTCACACAGACCAACCCTGGTACAGTGTGGGAGAGGACTACACGAGGGTGCAGCCACCAGGAGGAGGGATCCTTGGTGGTCACCTTGGAGGCTGGTGACCAAAATCAGCCAGAGCAATTTCTGTTGCTTGCAACATTAAAACCAAGACTTTATGGAGCTTGTAGATGATCATGCAGTTATTCACCAAAATTTCTTAACAGTGTGTCTAGCCAGGAGAATAGGCAAAGGAAACCCCCAGATATCAGCTGAGAGCCAGCGGTAGAGCTTGCCTTGTTAGACAGGACCTTGGCAGACTGGTAAAATCAAAGAGGTTGAAATCACTGATTGGAGTACAAGTTGTGGAGTACTCTTTCCAAACTTGGGACTCTGGGCAACTCTCTCCATTTTGGAAGTCCTCAATGGTGTTGAGTATTGGAATTGATGGTTTCTCCAGCACTTGTTCAGTCTCCTTCTCTGTAAATAGGGCTGGGAATGTTGGATTCAATCATCATTCAAGAGATGAAGTATGTTCTCAGTCTTGTAGAGGGTTGCTAGAGAAAGGGATGGGGACTGGGGCATTAGAGAGGTTGTTTTTTTTTTTGTCCCAGGAGACTCCAGGAAGACTCCTGAATGCCACACACTCCTAAACCTGAGAGACCTTCATGCAGATTGGGGAGCAGCTTTAGGACTGCTGGGTGGAGCCACAATGAGACAGATAAGCTCCAGGAAAATAAGAAGTGCCGAAACAATGGAGCCACCCAACAAAAAGGGCTGCCACTGCAAGTGGTGAGCTTCCTGTTACTGGAGGTGTGTAAGCCAAGGTTGGGGGCTCTTCTGAAGATAATTTATGCCCAGGTAGATGTTATGTTTAATGATCTCCAAAGTCCCACCATAGGGGAATATTCTTGATTCCAGAAATGGTGCAGCCACATTGCTGGTGGAGAGCACTGTCGTGAAAGAATAGAGATCTGGGCCAGGAGCCAAGAGATGTGGGTTCTAGTCCCACCCCTGTTATTTGACTCCTGGGGGACTACAGTCAGATCCTGTATCTGCTCAGAGCCTCACTGGTTTTCTCTCAATTTGTAAAGTGAGGGACCAGTTTCCACATGTCAATCCATACAGCCACCCTTGTCAGAGAACATTTCCCTTGTCCTTGAGAAGATGAAAACCATAAAGCAATGTAGCATTGTTTTCATAAAGCTAAAGCTATTCAATTTAAAGGATGATCTTCATTTTGAGATAATATATTTCCTACTATTTTTGGTGTTCAAATGTCCTTTTTCTTTTATGCAAGGGTAATAATAGCATGTGTAGAAGATGAAAATGGTGTTATTGTTTTTCTGAGGGACCCTACTTGGCAAAATAAAAGGTTGACAAACCTACAGTAGTTCCCTCCAGTTATGAAAGTAAGAAATATAGGAATCACTGGGCTTAATGATTCCAAATAACCTTCAACATTGTTTCTCTCTCTTTCCCTGAACTCATCCCTCCATTTCTAAAACACTGATTGACACGTCAGACACGAGAGCCACTAAGATGAGTGAGACACCTACAGTCCCTTCCTATGTGAAGCTCAGAGTATCCCAAGGAAGACCAACACATAGGCACATAAACGAATGGATATTTAGGTTAGATCACATTTTTTATCATAAAAATACGACAGTACACATCCTTAGTTGTATCTTTTGTTTGCTTCTCTGGTTATTCCCTTAAGATGAGTTCCCAAAATGAAATTTCAGGGTCAAAGGATATGCCCTGCTTTACATCCTAAAAACATTTTTTTTTTTTTTTTTTTTTTTTGTGAGTTGGAGTCTCGCCCTGTCACCCAGGCTGGAGTGCAGTGGTGCAATCTCTGCTCACTGCAACCTCCGCCTCCTGGGTTCAAACGATTCTCCTGCCTCAGCCTCCCAAGTAGCTGGGATTAGAGAAGCCTGCCACCATGCCCAGCTAATTTTTGTGTTTTTAGTAGAGATGGGGTTTCACCATGTTGGCCAGGCTGGTCTTGAACTCCTGACCTCATGATCCATCTGCCTCGGCCTCCCAAAGTGCTGGAATTACAGGCGTGAGCCACTGCCTAAAACATTTTGCCCAGTTGTCCTAAAACATTTTGCCCAGTTGTCCTGCAAAGTGTTCATGCCTGTGTCAGTTCTCATTGATTTTGTATGAGCCTGCTTGTTTCCCCGACACCCTTATGCTGAACACCATCAATCTGCTTAATCTTCAGTGGTTTGCTCTGCAACTGATGTATCTCATTGTTGTTTTAAATTATATGACACCACTAGCAAGATGAGCTTATTTTAATATGTTTACTCATCTTTCATGCCTCTTTTGCAAATTGCTTGATTATGTCCTTTGTCCATTTAAAATTGGGGCCCTTATTTTTCTTATTGATTTAGAAATGTAGTTTACATATTAAGGATAGCAGAATGCTTTGTTTGAAATATGTAATGCAGTTTTCTCAATGCAAACAATTTTTGTAACTTTATTTGTGATGTCTTTTGCTGTATGGAAATTTAGATGTTTTCTGTTTTTCCTTTATAGTTTTGTGAACATAGTTAGAAAGGCCTTCTTCAGTATATTGTAAAAAAAAAATCTTAGATTTTCTTCTGATTGCTCTTTTTGTTTGTTTGTTTAAATATCTGACACAGCTGGAATTTACTTTGGTGTAGAGTATAGCATAGGGATGTGACTTTATGTTTTCCTTAGTGGAGAGTTGCCCCAACACCAATTATAGAATAATCCATCTATTCCTCATTATTTTGTAGTGCCATGTGTATCATGCACTAAATTTATTTATTTTTGAGACAGAGTCTCGCTCTGTCACCCAAGCCGGAGTTCAGTGGCATGGTCATGGCTCCCTGCAGCCTCAACTTCTTAGGCTCAAGCGATCCTTCCACCTCAGTCTCCTAAGTAGCTGGGACTACAGGCACATGCCGCCATACCTGTCTAATTTCTAAAAGTTTTTTATAGAGATGGGGTCTCACTATGTTCCCCAGGCTGGTCTTGCACTCCTGAGTGTAAGTGATCCTCCCTCCTCGGCTGCCCAAGATACTAGGATTATAGGCGGGAGCACCACACCCAGCCTCCTTCCATTATTTTGAATGACTGCAATGTTTTCTCTTCTCTAAGAATATCTTTTTTTCCTTCTGTTCTCTGTATTACCTGCTTCTTCAAGTTTTTCCCCCCTGTTCATTGGGCTCCCTTTCAGGCAGTGGCTTTCTTCAAATATCTGGTGATCCTTGGCTGCGTTTTCATTTTTGAGAGCAAGTTACTCAACAAGCTTGGTACACCCAGGTGGTTGGGATTCACAGCCTGAATGCTTTACTGGAGGGTGAAGCTGTGTTTTCCCCGTGTGGTGTAGGTCTTCCTTTCTTTAACAAAGAATGACCCTCCACTTTCTCACGTACGTGTGTGTATGTGTGTGTATGTGTGCGTGTGTGTATGTGTGCACGCAGAGAGAGGACACAAGGGTTGAGAGTCATAAGTCTAGTCCTGCTCTGACTTCAAGGTAATGCTGGGTCAGAAGGGATCTCTAATTTTGGACCCGAGTCGGGAAGGAACTGGAGGGCTCAAACAGCTCCTTACCCATCTGTTTGCTTGCTTGCTTATTTTCTCTCTTTCTTTACAGGGTCTTACTGTGTCACCCAGGCTGGATTGGAGTTCAGTTGCACCATCTCAGCTCACTGTAACCTTGCTGGGTTCAAGCAGTCCTCCCATCTCAGCCTCCTGAGTAGCCAGGGCTACAGATGCACGCCACCATGCCCGGCTAATTTTATTTTTTGTAGAGAGGAGGTCTCGCCATGTTGCCCAGGTTGGTCTGGAACTCTTGGGCTCAAGCAATTCTCCTGCCTTGGCCTCCTAAAGTGTTGGGATTACAGGCATGAGCCGCCACACCCAGCCTCCCATCTGTGTTTTCTTTTCTTTTTTCTTTTTTTTTTTGAGACGGAGTCTCTTGTCACTCAGGCTGGAGTGCAGTGCTGCGATCTCAGCTCACTGCAACCTCCGCCTCCTGGATTCAAGAAATTCTCCTGCCTCAGCCTCCCGAGTAGCTGGGGTTACAGGCGTGTGCCACCAAGCCTGGCTAATTTTTATATTTTTAGTAGAGACGGGGTTTCACCATGTTGGCAAGGCTGGTCTCAAATTCCTGACCTCAAGTGATCTGCCTGCCTCGGCCCCATCTGTTTGTTTGTTTGTTTGTTTGTTTTTGAGACAGAGTCTCACTCCCTCGCCCAGGCTGAAGTGCAGTGGTGCGATCTCAGCTCACTGCAACCTCCGCCTCCCAGGTTCAAGAAATTCTCCTGCCTCAGCCTCCCGAGTGGCTGGAATTACAGGTGTCTGCCACCACACCCAGCTAATTTTTTTTCTTTTTTTTTTTTTTTGTATTTTTAGTAGAGATAGGGGTTTCACCATGTTGGCCAGGCTGGTCTCGAACTCCTGACCTCAAGTGATCCACCCGCCTCGGCCTCCCAAAGTGCTGGGATTACAGGCAGGAGCCTCTGTGCCCGGCCCCCATCTGTTTTTGATTCAGCAGTTTCCCACCCTCCTCAGTGCCTGGTGAAAACAACTTAGAAGTCTGTCTATGACCATCGCTCTAGGAAAGGACTATGGTGGTCCACAGGGACAGCAAGGGAACTGCCTTGGGTGGGGTTGGGATGGGCAATCTGGGGGTCTCAGTGCTTCTTTAATAAGGTTTGGAAAATGATCCTTCTATTTTCAGCCGCAGCCCTCACCTCGGCCTTCTAAGGGACCTGGTTCTTGCCATTTCTAAGCCTTTCCTGTGATTCCTTGTGGGCAAATTGGCTTTCTGTGTTCCAGTGCCCCGCATTGGGTACTCAGATTTGATTCCATCTTCTCTACTAAGGCAGCCCTTCCTCCAGCTGTCTTCCACCTGCCTATGTTGCAATCTGGTAATACTTTAGATGCCTCCTTGTTTTATCCAAGGTGGATTTTGTGTTGTGTTTTTTGTTCTGCTTGTTCCAGGATGGTTTTTCAAGAGGAGAAGGAGATGGACACCTTTTCACTTCACCTTGGCTTACTAGGCACACATTAATTTTAAAATAGGAATTCTGTCCTGTTATCACTCTGTTATCATTTCAGGTAACATTTAAAATAAAAATGGAAACATTTTCTCTTCTTCCCCTTCAAAATCCAATGGAACTTTTAAAAACTAGATATTATGTTTTAAAACAATTTTAGGTTTACAGAAAAATGGCAAAGCTATTACAAAGAGTTCTCATATACCCTGTACCCAGTTCCCCCTATTACTAACACATTCCATTGGTACAATACATTGGCCACAAGTAATGAACCAAAATCCTACATTAAGTTCATAGATTATTCCAATTTCCTTAGCTTTTTACTAAAAGTACTTTTTTCTGTTCTAGGATCTCATCCACATTATATTTACTCATCCTGTTTTCTTAGGCCCCTCTTGGCTGGGACAGTTTCTCATACTTCCCTTGTTTTTGATAGCTCATTTTTGAGGCGTCCTGGGCAGGCCTTTTGTGGAAGAATCCTCTATTGTAGTTTGTCTGATGTTTTTCTCATCGTTAGACTCGGATTATGGGTTTTGGAGAGGAAGCCATTGGGATTTTGATGGGAATGCCATTAAATTTATAGGTTAATTTGAGGAGAATTGACATTCCCATAATATTGAGTTTTCCTTCAGGGACCTGGTGCATTTTTCCATCGTATTTAAGTCTTCTTTTATGATCTCCAGTGAAGTTTTATAGTTTGCTTCTTATAAACCTAACATATTTCTGTTTAGGTTTATTTCTAGGTACGTGATAGTTTTTGCTGCTATTGTGAGTAAGATCTTTTTCAACTACATTTATTTTCTAAATTGTCCTTGCTGTTGGAAAGCTAGGATTTGGAAAGCTATTGATTTTTATAAATGTATATTCTGACCAGCTATCTTACTAAATTCACATATTGTTTTCATTAGTTCTGAGTTGATTCTTTGGGACTTTTTTGGTAGACAAGAGTATCTCATGCAAATAATTACTTTGTGCCTTCCTTTTAAAAAATATTTATGAATCTTGGTTAATTTTCTTATATTATTGCATTAGCTAGAAGCTCCAAAACAATGATTAGGAATGGAGACAGCAAGCATTCTTGTTTGCTAAGGCAGGTTTTCTCCTGTTTTCATGATGTTTCCTGCAGCCTTCTGATAATCTCATTACATTCTAGAAATGTCCTTTTATTCCTATTTTAGTAGGAGAGAGAGAGAGAGAGAGAGAGTATAATTAAAATTGGATTCTTCTTTTTAGAGATGGGGTCTCACTATGTTGCCCAGGCTGGGCTCAAACTACCCTCCTGCCTCAGCCTCCCTAGTAGCTGGGTCTACAACTGTGTGCCACTGTGCCCAGCTAAAATGGAATTTTTACCAATGCCTTTTTTTGTATCTATCAGTATCAGCACCTATTTTTCCATATTAACCTCTAGATGTAATGATTATTGCTCTGCAATAATTTGCAAACATGGAAAACATTATAGGATTTGATAATTATTAAGTCATCTTTGAATTTCTAGGATAAAATATGTCAAGTTCTTCCTTAATATGCTGCTGCATCAAATTGCTATTATACATTTTTTAAAAATTAAAAAAAATGTGTGGCTAATTATAATGTTGAAATACTATTCTTTTTTTTTTTTTTTTTTTTTTTTTCGTGAGACAGGGTCTCACTCTGTTGCTCAGGCTGGAGTGCAGTGGTGCAATCTCAGCTCACTGCAGCCTCGACCTCCCAGGCTCAAGCGATTCTCCCACCTCAGCCTCCCAAGTAGCTGGGACTACAGGCACGTGCCACGACATCCAGCTAATTTTTGTATTTTTTGTAGAGACAGGGTTTTGCTGTGTTGCCCAGGCTGGTCTCAATCTCCTGAGTCAAGCGATCTGCCCACCTCAGCCTCCCAAAGTGCTGGAATTACAGGCTTGTGCCTCCACACCTGTCTGCTATTCTAAGTTTTTGTGTGAGTGGGCTTTGTTAGTTTTGAACTCAAGTTTATACTAGTCTCTATAACTTTTTTTGTAACTGCCTGAGATTATTTTGTCGGGGAGTACGCTTATGAGTCTCAAGGAACATGATCGTAAGACTAAAGTTTTCTTCTATATCTCCTGCATTAACCCTATTTCAGCATGAGCTATTTGGTCCGAGTATTCAGTTCAGGCCACTGACTCACTCTCCTTGCATGTCCAGAAAATTTTCACTGTCTCTTCCCATTTTTAAACAAAGGACTCGCCTAATCACCATTGGTAGCTGATGTGAGCTTTCCCAGCAATTGTGTAGGTGAGTCATTGATTTCCCATGTGTGCCTTGCCCTCTGGGGGTGTATAGAGATGTAGGGTAGTCTTAGGTGAGCTTCACCCAGCTGCAGAGGGCAAAGGCTGGCAGAGAGATTGCCCTTCAGGGTTCCTGTGCCAGGAAGCAGATTGGCATTTGGGGGCCCATCTCAAACAGTGCTGATGGCTGTGGCAGTGCTTAGCTGGCAAAATCCATTTGGTTTAGCCTGCTCTCTGCATCAAATGAGACCCGTGAGCTGGGGTGTATGTTGAGGCAAGCTGCTCTGTTTGGAGGATCCAAATTTGCCATTCTTGAGTTACTCCTCCCTAACTGTATGTCTAGCCTCCACTATGTGCCCGTTGGGGATCTGTGTCTAGTTAGTACTATCATTAGTGCTGCACATGCCAGTAGAAGAAGGGAAGGAGTTACCAAGGGAGAGGATTCCACTGCTGTGCTGAGCTCCACTGGCCAGTGCCCGAAACTCAGCGAACACTGGTTTGAGCAAAAAGAATAACGTGTTGGCTCCTATAACTAAAAAAATCTGGGTCAGGCTTCAGGCATGGCTGGATCAAGCTGTTAAAACAATATCATCAGAAATATGTCTTTATCCATCTTCCCACCTATGAAGAAAAAGTTATGGCCAGAAAGTTATGAGAATTGGGGAAAGCAAGTCATCTTGGGAACCAAGAGAGCAGAGCATTCAGAAAGAGAAAGTGGACAATAGGGTTAAATGCAACAGGGAGGTCCAGTAAGATAAGAACTTAAGGATTTCCTCAGATTTCATGATAGGAGTCACTTATGTCCTTAACAAGAACAATTTTAGTGGTATTACCCCATGGAAGTGGTATAGCAGATTGGAATGAGTTGAGGAGAAAATGAGAGGTAAGGAATTAGAAAAAGAAAGCACAGATTATCTTTTTGAGCTATTTGGATGAAAAGTGTTAGAAAGAGAAGGCAGAGTTAAATATTTTTATTGTTTAAAGGTTGGGAGAAAATTGGATGTGTTTCCAGCTTATGGGAATGCAGCTGGCAGAGAAGGCAAGGTTAACAGCAGAGAGGTAACACCAGAAAGAGGACTTTTACTTTAATTTGGGGATGGGGATGGGGATGGGGTATGTGTGGCACATTCTTAAGCAGGGTGTTGCTCCTCTTTCCACAGCAAGATGGCTGAGCCATCAGTATTTTCCTGGGTTTTGCTCAATCTTTGCTGTCCCTGGGCTGGCTTTAGGAATTGGAGAAGTATACTCATCAGAGGATTTCTAAAGCGCCAATCACTATCTTTGGGTCTTCTCCCTAGGTAGCTGGGTGACCTTGAGTAAGCTGCTGTCATTCTGGGTTTCCTGTAAGAGGTTGACTTCGATGTCCTTAGAGGTCCCTTCCATCCAGCATCACTTTGAAGTCAGACTTTGAGTAGCTCAGAGGCAGATTGTGAAAGGATGGAGGAACAGAATGGAAACAGAAGTAGAAAGGAAATGACTGTGGCTTCATAAGCATTACTCTACCTTTCAGGAACATGTCTTTTCAATTTGCAAAGTGCTGGGGATGTGCTTAATGATCTGCAAGCTCCCTTTTATTTTTAAATTATTGTTTTAAAAATAACATTTAAGACTTTTTTATTATAACATAATACATGTCCAGTGACAAAAACCATGAGCAAAACACTAAAATAAATCAACCACAGTTTTACTACCCAGAGGTGAGGGTTATGAGCAAGTTCAGAGCTTGGTTTATGCCTTTTTGGTATGTATTTGATGGGGTGAACACTGTGGGTTGCCTATTCAGTGGCAGTCTGTCTTCACTTCTGCTCACTTCTTCTTGGCTGGCAAAGCTCTTGTTTTGTAGAAGTGTTCAAGCTCCTTGTTGTCATGGGCTCAGGGAAAATGACCCCCTGCACAGCGCAGCTCCAGGGAATCCAATCATGATTGGTTTAAGATAATGACAGTGATCCCATTTCCCTTTTCTGTGAATAGTTTAGACATTGGACATGTGATACAGTTCTGGCCAGTGAGATGCACAAGAATGACTTTGAGGGAATGTTTTCCTTGCTCTTAGAGGTCCACAGAAGATGATGGTCCTCTTTCTGTTGCTCAGCTTGGCTCTATAAGGTGGAGATTCAGGGAACTGCTGCAGCCATCCAGCAAGCAAGGAAGAACTAGGCTGAAAACAAAAACCAACACCAAAGAAAAAATCTAGATCCCGGATAACATTTTTGAGCAACTTCATTAGCCAACCCTGAAATTGCCCTATCTTTGGACTCCTGTTATTTGAGATAATAATCTGCCCTTATTTTAGAAAGGTATTTCATTATTTGCAGCTAAAAGCATTCTAACTGTTGCAAATAGGATCATATTGCTTGTATTATTTTGAGCATGCTCTTTCATTTCATAATATACCATGAACATTTTCAAAAGTCAATAACTTACTCCTGTAATAGGATTTTGAATGGCTGCACTGTATTCAACATGTTGTGAGACATTTAGGTGTTGCCAGTTTTTGCCATTATACATAATGGTGTGACAACACCCTGCACAAATCTTTGCATATTTGTTTGGTTTCAGGGGTAATTTTCTAGAAACAAAATATTGGGTAATGGTTGTATATATTATCAAGGCTTTTCCTTAAATTTCCCTCCAAAACTTTGCATTGATTTGTAATCTGCCATTGTTACCAGCTTTCCTTGTTAGCATTCTATTTTTAACTTTGCATTGAAGTATAACGTATATACAGAAAATTACACAAATCATGCTTAATTCTCACAACCTGAAAACCCTCATATAACCAACACCCAAATCAAGAAACAGAGCATTTCGAGTCATGGGGGAATCATTTGTTCCTCCACCCAGCCAGTACCCACAGAAGTAACCATTACTCAGATTCTATCACCACAAGTGAGTTTTGCCAATTCTTGAACTTCACATAAATGAAATTACATGTATGTTGACTTTTACACCTACTCCTTGTGCTCATCATTGTATCTGTGTGATTCATTCATGTTGTTGAGAATAGTAGGTTTGTTCCATTTTTTGCTGTGTGGTATCCCCATTATATGACTATACCAATGATCCATTTTACTGTTGATGGACATTTGAGTTGTGTCTAACTCTTGGCTATTTTAAACAAAGCTGCTGTAAAGTTTCATACATGCTTTTTTGATGGACATGTGTACTCTAATGTATCTTGGGTAGTTACCTACAATTCAAATTGCTTAAATTTTTAATTCAAACTGGCAACACCTAAACGTCTCATAACACGTTGAATACAGTGCAGCCATTAAAAATCCTATTATGGAAAAAGTTATTGACGGATGAAAATGTTCATGGTATATTGTAAAATGAAAGCACATGCTCAAAATAATATAAGCAATATGACCCTATTTGCAACAGTTAGAATGCTTTTAGCTGTAAATATCAAAATTTGGTGTACACTTAATACGAAATTTCCAAACAGTTCTCCAAAGTAATTGTATCAATTTACACTCTCAAAAACAATACATGAGTGAGTTCCAGGTGTGCCACGTTCTTGCCAACACTTAATATTCACAATCTTTTTCTTTTTACTCATTCTAGAAAGTTTGTAGTGATGTTCATTGTGGTTTCAATTGACTTTTTCCTGATGAGTGATAATGTTGAACACCTTCTCATGTGTTGATTGGCCATTTGAATATCCTTTCTTGTGAAGTGCTTAAGTTTTATGCCCAAAGTTTAATTGTTTTTTGTTTTATTGATTTCTCAGATATATGTATTGCCAATATCTTATCCCAGTGTATATTTTGCCTTTTCACGCTCCTGATGTCTTTTAATGAACAGAAGTTCTTAATTTTAATGAGGCCTATTTTATGGGTAATGGCTTTGGTGTTCTAACAACTTTTTAACTATCCCAATATCATAATGATATGATTCTGTATTTTCTTTTGGAAGCTTTATTGTTTTGTTTTTCACATGTAGATCTAGAATCCATTTCAAATTAATTTTGGTGTGAGGTAGGGATCAAGCTTCATTTTTTTCCCATATGAATATCCAATTGATCTAAGACATTAGGCCATTTATTTAAAAGGCATTCTCCACCCACTGGATTGCAGTGGCACCACTGTCAAAAATCAGTTGACCATGTAAGTGTGGGTCTGTTGTTGGACTCTATCCTACTTCATTCTTCTATTTATCTGTCTTTGCACCAAACCCACATAGTCTTCTTAACTACTGTAGATTTACAATAAGTATATCTGATGGTACGAGTCCTCCAACTTTATTCTTCTTCAACATCATTTTGGCTATTCTGGGTTTTTTTTGCATTTTTATATGTATATTTTACAATCAGCTTTTCAATTTACTTCCAGTATTTTGATTGAGATGTCACAAAATCTGTAGATCAATTTGGAGAGAGATTGCTATTTGGAGAGAAACAATATTGATTCTTCCAATCTGTAAACATGAAGTGTTTATGTAAATCCATGTGTTTAGGTCTTATTTAATTTCTCTAAACACTGTTTTATAGGGTGGATATCTTGCAATTTTTCATTGTATGTATTCTTATTTGATTTTAAAAATTCAGTTGTAAATGGTGGTTTTTAAGGTTCTATTTCCAATTTGTTTTACTAGTATATAAATATACAATTGATTTCTGAAAAGTCACCTTGTTTAAACGACCTTTCCAAATTTGCTTATTAATTCTAATAGTTTGTTTATAGACCCTTTTGAATTTTTTGCATACATCACCATGTATGTGAGCAAATAATAGTTTTATTCTTTCGTTTTAAGTCTCATACTTTTCAATTTTTTTCTTGCCATATTGCACTGGCTAGGATCTTCAGTACGATGATGAATAGAAGTAGCGATAGTAGCCTTGTCTTGTTCCTAACCTCAGAGGAAAAGCATTCACTAGTTTATGTTAAAAGATGTTAGCTAAGGGTTTTTGTAGATATCCTTCATTAGATTAGAAAAGTTCCTTTCTATTCCTGTTTTCTGGTAGTTTAATTTGAAAAAGTGTTGAATTTGTCAAATAATGTTTCTATATCTATCAAGATGATTATATGCTTTTTCTCCTTTATTCTGTTAATGTGGTGAATTACATTAAAATAATGTTAAAGTAACTGCATTCTTAGAATAAACACCATGTGGTCATGATATATAATTTTTGTATGTCACTACGTTTGATTTGCTAATATTTTAGTTAGGATTTTCACATTTATGCTTATGAGTGATATTGGCCTGCAATTTTTTCTTTCCTTTCTTATAAAATATAATAATAAAATGTCAGATTTTTAAAATCAGGTTTATATTGGTCTTGTAAAGCAAGTTTGGAGGTGTTTTTTATTTCTCTTTTTTCTGAAATAGTTTAAATAAGATTAGCACTGTTTCTGCCTTAAATATTTGTGGAAATTCTCCAGTGAAGCTATCTGGCCCTGGAAGCTTCTTTGTAGGAAAATTTTCAATTACAGATTCAGTTTTTAAATGAATATTAGACTACAGTATTTTTTACTTTTTTTATATGGTAAGTTGTGTTTTCAAAGAATTTGTTCATTTAATCTAAGTTGCCAAATGTATCAACAAAAAGTTGTTAATACCATGATATCAGCGGGGGGAGGGGGGGTGCGCGGGGTGTAGCCAAGATGGCTGAATAGGAAGAGCTCCGGTCTACAGCTTCCAGCGTGAGCGACGCAGAAGATGGGTGATTTCTGCATTTCCATCTGAGGTACCGGGTTCATCTCACTAGGGAGTGCCAGACAGTGGGTGCAGGACAGTGGGTGCAGTGCACTGTGTGCGAGCCGAAGCAGGGCGAGGCATTGCCTCACTCAGGAAGTGCAAGGGGTCAGGGAGTTCCCTTTCCTAGTCAAAGAAAGGGGTGACAGACAGCACCTGGAAAATTGGGTCACTCCCACCCTAATACTGCACTTTGCCAACGGGCTTAAAAAACGGCACACCAGGAGATTATATCCTGCACATGGCTCGGAGGGTCCTACGCCCACAGAGTCTCACTGATTGCTAGCACAGCAGTCTGAGATCAAACTGCAAGGTGGCAGCGAGGCTGGGGGAGGGGCGCCTGCCATTGCCCAGGCTTGCATAGGTAAACAAAGCAGCCAGGAAGCTCGAAGTGGGTGGAGCCCACCACAGCTCAAGGAGGCCTGCCTGCCTCTGTAGGCTCCACCTCTGGGGGCAGGGCAAAGACAAAAAGACAGCAGTAACCTCTACAGACTTAAACGTCCCTATCTGACAGCTTTGAAGAGAGTAGTGGTTCTCCCAGCACGCAGCTGGAGATCTGAGAACGGGCAGACTGCCTCGTCAAGTGGGTCCCTGACCCCTGAGCAGCCTAACTGGGAGGCACCCCCCGGTAGGGGCAGACTGACACCTCACAGGGCCGGGTACTCCTCTGAGACAAAACTTCCAGAGGAATGATCAGGCAGCAGCATTTGCGGTTCATGAAAACCCGCTGTTCTACAGCCACCGCTGTTCTGCAGCCACCGCTGCTGATACCCAGGCAAACAGGGTCTGGAGTAGACTTCTAGCAAACTCCAACAGACCTGCAGCTGAGGGTCCTGTCTGTTAGAAGGAAAACTAACAAACAGAAAGGACATCCACACCAAAAACCCATCTGTACATCACCATCATCAAAGACCAAAAGTAGATAAAACTACAAAGATGGGGAAAAAACAGAGCAGAAAAACTGGAAACTCTAAAAAGCAGAGCGCCTCTCCTCCTCCAAAGGAACGCAGCTCCTCACCAGCAACGGAACAAAGCTGGACGGAGAATGACTTTGACAAGTTGGGAGAAGAAGGCTTCAGATGATCAAACTACTCCGAGCTACAGGAGGAAATTCAAACCAATGGCAAAGAAGTTAAAAACTTTGAAAAAAATTAGACGAATGTATAACTAGAATAACCAATGCAGAGAAGTGCTTAAAGGAGCTGATGGAGCTGAAAGCCAAGGCTGGAGAACTATGTGAAGAATGCAGAAGCCTCAGGAGCTGACGTGATTAACTGGAAGAAAGGGTTTCAGTGATGGCAGATGAAATGAATGAAATGAAGCGAGAAGGGAAGTTTAGAGAAAAAAGAATAAAAAGAAACGAACAAAGTCTCCAAGAAATATGGGACTATGTGAAAAGACCAAATCTACATCTGATTGGCGTACCTGAAAGTGACAGGGAGAATGGAACCAAGTTGGAAAACACTCTGCAGGATATTATCCAGGAGAACTTCCCCAATCTAGCAAGGCAGGCCAACATTCAGATTCAGGAAATACGGAGAACACCACAAAGATACTCCTCGAGAAGAGCAACTCCAAGACACATAATTGTCAGATTCACCAAAGTTGAAATGAAGGAAACAATGTTAAGGGCAGCCAGAGAGAAAGGTCGGGTTACCCACAAAGGGAAGCCCATCAGACTAACAGTGGATCTCTCGGCAGAAACTCTACAAGCCAGAAGAGAGTGGGGGCCAATATTCAACATTCTTAAAGAAAAGAATTTTCAACCCAGGATTTCACATCCAGCCAAACTAAGCTTCATAAGCGAAGGAGAAATAAAATACTTTACAGACAAGCAAATGCTGAGAGATTTTGTCACCACCAGGCCTGCCGTAAAAGAGCTCCTGAAGGAAGCACTAAACATGGAAAGGAACAACCGGTACCAGCCACTGCAAAACCATGCCAAATTGTAAAGACCATCAAGGCTAGGAAGAAACTGCATCAACTAATGAGCAAAATAACCAGCTAACATCATAATGACAGGATCAAATTCACACATAACAATATTAACTTTAAATGTAAATGGGCTAAATGCTCCAATTAAAAGACACAGACTGGCAAATTGGATAAAGAGTCAAGACTCATCAGAGTGCTGTATTCAGGAAACCCATCTCACAAGCAGAGACACACATAGGCTCAAAATAAAGGGATGGAGGAAGATCTACCAAGCAAATGGAAAACAAAAAAAGGCAGGGGTTGCAATCCTAGTCTCTGATAAAACAGACTTTAAACCAACAAAGATCCAAAGAGACAAGGCCATTACATAATGGTAAAAGGATCAATTCAACAAGAAGAGCTAACTATCCTAAATATATATGCACCCAATACAGGAGCACCCAGATTCATAAAGCAAGTCCTGAGTGAACTACAAAGAGACTTAGACTCCCACACAATAATAATGGGAGACTTTAACACCTCACTGTCAACATTAGACAGATCAACAAGACAGAAAGTTAACAAGGATACCCAGGAATTGAACTCAGCTCCACACCAAGCGGACCTAATAGACATCTACAGAACTCTCCACCCCAAATCAACAGAATATACATTTTTTTCAGCACCACACCACACCTATTCCAAAATTGACCACATAGTTGGAAGTAAAGCACTCCTCAGCAAATGTAAAAGAACAGAAATTATAACAAACTGTCTCTCAAACCACAGTGCAATCAAACTAGAACTCAGGATTAAGAAACTCACTCAAAACCGCTCAACTACATGGAAACTGAACAACCTGCTCCTGAAAGACTACTGGGTACATAACAAAATGAAGGCAGAAATAAAGATGTTCTTTGAAACCAATGAGAACAAAGACACAACATACCAGAATCTCTGGGACACATTCAAAGCAGTGTGTAGAGGGAAATTTATAGCACTAAATGCCCACAGGAGAAAACAGGAAAGATCCAAAATTGACACCCTAACATCACAATTAAAAGAACTAGAAAAGCAAGAGCAAACACATTCAAAAGCTAGCAGAAGGCAAGAAATAACCAAAATCAGAGCAGAACTTAAGGAAATAGAGACACAAAAAACCCTTCAAAAAATTAATGAATCCAGGAGCTGGTTTTTTGAAAAGATCAACAAAATTGATAGACCGCTAGCAAGACTAATAAAGAAGAAAAGAGAGAAGAATCAAATAGATGCAATAAAAAATGATAAAGGGGATATCACCACCGATCCCACAGAAATACAAACTACCATCAGAGAATACTACAAACACCTCTATGCAAATAAACTAGAAAATCTAGAAGAAATGGATAAATTCCTCAACACATACACCATCCCAAGACTAAACCAGGAAGAAGTTGAATCTCTGAATAGACCAATAACAGGCTCTGAAATTGTGGCAATAATCAATAGCTTACCAACCAAAAAAAGTCCAGGACCAGATGGATTCACAGCCAAATTCTACCAGAGGTACAAGGAGGAGCTGGTACCATTCCTTCTGAAACTATTCCAATCAATAGAAAAAGAAGGAATCCTCCCTAACTCATTTTATGAGGCCAGCATCATCCTGATACCAAAGCCTGGCAGAGACATAACCAAAACAGAGAATGTTAGACCAATATCCTTGATGAACATTGATGCAAAAATCCTCAATAAAATACTGGCAAACTGAATCCAGCAGCACATCAAAAAGCTTATCCACCATGATCAAGTGGGCTTCATCCCTGGGATGCAAGGCTGGTTCAACATATGCAAATCAATAAATGTAATCCAGCATATAAACAGAACTAAAGACAAAAACCACATGATTATCTCAATAGATGCAGAAAAGGCCTTTGACAAAATTCAACAACCCTTCGTGCTAAAAACTCTCAATTAGGTATTGATGGGACGTATCTCAAAATAATGAGAGCTATCTGTGACAAACCCACAGCCAATATCATACTGAATGGGCAAAAACTGGAAGCATTCCCTTTGAAAACTGGCACAAGACAGGGATGCCCTCTCTCACCACTCCTATTCAACATAGTGTTGGAAGTTCTGGCCAGGTCAATTAGGCAGGAGAAGGAAATAAAGGGTATTCAATTAGGAAAAGAGGAAGTCAAATTGTCCCTGTTTGAAGATGACATGATTGTAAATCTAGAAAACCCCATTGTCTCAGCCCAAAATCTCAAGCTGATAAGCAACTTCAGCAAAGTCTCAGGATACAAAATCAATGTACAAAAATCACAAGCATTCTTATACACCAATAACAGACAAACAGAGAGCCAAATCATGAGTGAACTCCCATTCACAATTGCTTCAAAGAGAATAAAATACCTAGGAATCCAACTTACAAGGGATGTGAAGGACCTCTTCAAGGAGAACTACAAACCACTGCTCAATGAAATAAAAGAGGATACAAACAAATGGAAGAACATTCCATGCTCATGGGTAGGAAGAATCAATATCGTGAAAATGGCCATACTGCCCAAGGTAATTTATAGATTCAATGCCATCCCCATCAAGCTACCAATGACTTTCTTCACAGAATTGGAAAAAATTACTTTAAAATTCATATGGAACCAAAAAAGAGCCTGCATCGCCAAGTCAATCCTAAGCCAAAAGAACAAAGCCGGAGGCATCACGCTACCTGACTTCAAACTATACTACAAGGCTACAGTAACCAAAACAGCATGGTACTGGTACCAAAACAGAGATATAGATCAATGGAACAGAACAGAGCCCTCAGAAATAATGCTGCATATCTACAACTATCTGATCTTTGACAAACCTGACAAAAACAAGCAATGGGGAAAGGATTCCCTATTTAATAAATGATGCTGGGAAAACTGGCTAGCCATATGTAGAAAGCTGAAACTGGATCCCTTTCTTACACCTTATACAAAAATTAATTCAAGATGGATTAAAGACTTACATGTTAGACCTAAAACCATAAAAAACCCTAGAAGAAAACCTAGGCAATACCATTCAGGACATAGGCATGGGCAAGGACTTCATGTCTAAAACACCAAAAGCAATGGCAACAAAAGCCAAAATTGACAAATGGGATCTAACTAAACTAAAGAGCTTCTGCACAGCAGAAGAAACCACCATCACAGTGAACAGGCAACCTACAAAATGGGAGAAAATTTTTGCAATCTACTCATCTGACAAAGGGCTAATATCCAGAATCTACAATGAACTCAAACAAATTTACAAGAAAAAGACAAACAACCCTATCAAAAAGTGGGGGGAGGATATGAACAGACACTTCTCAAAAGAAGACATGTATGCAGCCAAAAAACACATGAAAAAATGCTCATCATCACTGGCCATCAGAGAAATGCAAATCAAAACCACAATGAGATACCATCTCACACCAGTTAGAATGGCGATCATTAAAAAGTCAGGAAACAACAGGTGCTGGAGAGGAAGTGGAGAAATAGGAACACTTTTACACTGTTGGTGGGACTAGTAAACTAGTTCAACCATTGTGAAAGTCAGTGTGGCGATTCCTCAGGGATCTAGAACTAGAAATACCATTTGACCCAGCCATCCCATTACTGGGTATGTACCCAAAGGACTATAAATCATGCTGCTATAAAGACACATGCACATGTATGTTTACTGTGGCACTATTCACAATAGCAAAGACTTGGAACCAACCCAAATGTCCAACAACGATAGACTGGATTAAGAAAATGTGGCACATATACACCATGGAATACTATGCAGCCATAAAAAATGAGGAGTTCATGTCCTTTGTAGGGACATGGATGAAACTGGAAGTCATCATTCTCAGCAAACTATCACAAGGACAAAAAAACCAAACACTGCATGTTCTCACTCATAGGTGGGAATTGAACAATGAGAACACATGGACACAGGAAGGGGAACATCACACTCCAGGGACTGTTGTGGGGTGGAGGGAGGGGGGAGGGATAGCATTAGGAGATATACCTAATGCTAAATGACGAGTTAATGGGTGCAGTACACCAACATGGCATATGTATACCATGTATACATGTATACATGGTATACATGTGTAACAAACCTTCACATTGTGCACATGTACCCTAAGACTTAAAGTATAATAATAATAAAAAAAATACCATGATATCTTTTAAATGTCTCTAGAACCTGTACTGATAACCCACTTTCTTAGCTGATATTCTGTTTCTCTCTGTGTGTGTGTGTGTGTGTGTGTGTGTGTGTGTGTCTGTGTGTGTGTCTGTCTGTGTCTCTCTTCTTAGTAGGGGTTTATACATTTTATTTACTTATTTAAAGGCCTAACTTTTATCTTTGCTCATTTTCTCCACTGTGTATTTTTTTTCCTATTTGATTTCTGCTTTCATCTTTACTATTTCTTTCCTTCCACTTTCTTGAGGTTTAATTTGCTGTTGTTTATCTATCTTCCTGAGAGGGAAGCTTAGATTCATTAATTTTCCGTATATCTTTTTCTCTAAGAATTGCATTTAAGGCTATAAATGTTTCTGTAACCACAGCCTTTAGATGCAGCTCACAATTTTCATTATCCCACTCTAAATATTTGCTGTTGTAATGTTTCCTTTGGCCCATGGACTATTTAGCAGTGTGTTGCTTAATTTTCAAGCATTTAGAGATTTTCTAGTTGCCTTTTTATATAGATTTCTAATTAACTCCACTCCAGTTAGAGAGCATATTCTGTATAATTTCAGTTCTTTGAAATTTGTGTTAATTGCTTTATGACCCATTGTGTAGTCTATTGTGGTAAATGTTCCACAAGCACTTCAAAATAATATTCATTCTGCAGTTATTCAATATAATGTTGTATATACATTAACCAGATAAAATTGCTTAATTGTGTTGTTTAAATATTCAGTATTTCACTGTTTTTTGTTTGCTTGCTTGTTTTAGCATTTTCTGAGAGAAGTGTGTTAAATCTGTAACTCTGATTTTGAATTTGCCCATTTCTTTTTTAAAAATTCTGTTACTTTTGCTTTGCATATTTGAAGCTTTGAAATGAGGAGCATACTAATATGGGGAAGTTACTTCTTTAAGTCTACTTTATCAGATAGTAATATAACCACACCAGCTTTTTGTTAATGGTTTCCAGCAATATCTTTTCATTCTTTTCCTTTCAACTTGTGTCCTCCTATATTGTGTGTATCTCTTATAAACAACTAATATTTGCATCTTGTTTTTTTAGTTCAATCTGACAATTATTTCATATTATACTATTTATCCATTTATAATTAATGTAATTGCTGATATAGTTGGTAGTATCAAACTACCATCGTGTGATTTGATTTTTATTTGAACCATCTATTCTTCGTTTTTTAATTCCTCCTTTCCTGCCTTTCTTGACTTATCGACTATTTTTGTCACTTCTGTTAGCTTCGTGGTTATATGTTCTTTTTTTCTTTCAGTGGATCTAAACTGCATCCCTGAATTATTACAGTCTACCTTAAGGTTGCACTGTTACTTCTTCTTGAACAATGCAAGAACCTTCAATGCAAGAACCTTACAACAGTTTAACTCAACTTTATCTGCTCTTGCCCTTTGTGCTATTATTGTCATATATTGGTACTCATACATATATTATGAGCTGAAGATACATTGTCATTATTGCTGGTTTAAGTAATCAATATTGTTTTATGTTTACCTACATACTTATTGTCTTGGGTACTATTCACTCCTTCCTGTGGTCTGTTCTCTCTGGGCTCATTTTCCTTCACCATGAAGGACAGACTCTCTTTTGATTTATTGTGATACTGGTCTGCTGGTGATGATTCTGTATGTGGTTTTTTTTTTAATGAAAATATATTTCACCTTTAATTTTAAAGGACATTTTAGTGGATATAGAATTCTAAGTTGGCAATATTCTTTTTCTAGCTTCCATAGATTCTAGTGAAGACCAGTGGTCAGTTTTACTGTTACTTCTTTTAAGGTAATGGTTCCTTTTTTCCTCTAGCAGCTTTTTACTGTTTGTCTTTGTCTTTGTCTTTCAGCAGTTTATTATGAGCCTGCATGTGGTTTTACATTGTATCTATCCTGCTTGGGTTTTGCCTTGCTTTATAAAACTAAATCTGTGGTATTTGGAAAATTCTCAGGCATGATTTATTCAAATACTGGTTATGCCTCATTCCTCTCTCCTTTCTTTCTGATACTCCACATATGTGTATGTTAGAACTTTTGTTAGTACCTCACATGCCTTTATGCTCTGTTCTGTTCCCTCTCCCTCCCAGCTTTATTTCTGTGTGCTTCAGTGTGGATAATTTCTATTGAGTTCCAGTTCACTATCCAGTCATACACTGTGTTCAGTCTCCTGTTAAATACATTCAACAAATTCTTAAAATTCTGATATATTTTCAATTCTAGAATGGCCATTGGATTTTTAAGAGATATTCTAACTATTTTAATTCTCCACTTTTTAATCCATCTTGCGCATCTTTTCCTGTATTTATTTTCACATGCTGATCATGGCTGTTTTTATGTCCTTACTGCTAACTCCAGTAACTGGGTCAGCAGTGGCTCTGCTATTTTTTGTTCACATTTTCCCCCTTCCTTGCTCATCTCCTACTTTGTCACTGTCACTGTCACTGCCAGATGCTGCTCATAGAAGGACCATAGAGGCTATAGATAATATCTTTCAGTAATTAGGGTTTAGTCTTTTATTCTGTTAAGAAAATGGGGTAAGGGACTGATAATCTTGTGGCTGCATTACAGTATTAGTAAGACTCAGTCCGCCACTGGTACCTGCCTATTCTTCCTGGTATGGCCTTACCAGGTGTTTTTTTTTTTTTTTTTTTTTTTTTTTTTTGAGACAGAATCTCGCTGTCACCCAGGTTGGAGTGCAGTGGCACTCACTGCAGGCTCCACCCACTGGGGTTCACGCAATTCTCCTGCCTCAGCCTCCCGCGTAGCTGGGACTACAGGCGCCCTCCACCTCGCCTGGCTAATTTTTTGTATTTTTTATAGTAGAGACAGGGTTTCACCGTGTTAGCCAGAATGGTCTCGATCTCCTGACCTCGTGATCCGCCCAACTCGGCCTCCCAAAGTGCTGGGATTACAGGCGTGAGCCACCGCGCCCGGCCGCCTTACCAGGTTTTTCATTGAGAATCTGAAAGTTCCGTCTGACCTTGGAATGTTTTGAGCTTCCCTCTTTCATTTGCCTACTCTCACAAGTTCAAAATCTGACAGATGTTTCAGGAAGGAAACTAGTTTGTGATTCTTGCAAGTAGGTCCCTGGTCTAGTGTGATTTGGTCTCCTAACCACCTATGCAAGAGTTTCTCCTTTGTCATTATAGATCAGAGCCTCAGCTTGCTGTAGCTCCAGAACACAGAAAACTTCTGTGGAAGAATATGGTCTTGTGTTTGGACCTCTTTTAGGTTATAAATCATTGCAGCTGACCCAGCAACCACCAAAAGGGATTATAATTTTTCTCTCCCTCAGTGGAGTTTCTCTGACTGGGCCAAGGCAGACTGCCAGTCCATGCCCAAAACGGACTATTTCAACCCCATACAAACTCTGACAGCTCTTTTCCTTCCTTTTCAATTTCATGCATTTTTTCTTCTTTCCTAATTGCCCTAGCTAGAACTATCAGTGCTATGCTGAGTAGAAATAACAAGAGTGAGTATTCATGTCTTATTGCTGATTTTGGAGGAAAAACATTTTGTCATTCATACTTAACCCAATATGAAATGAGTTACAGTATTTTATTATATCTCCATAGATTTCATTTATCATATGGAGGAAGTTCCCATCTACTGCTAATTTGCTGAATGCTTTTATCACAAATGAGTGTTAAATTCTGTCAAATCCTTTTTCTCTGCATCTGTTGAGATAATTGTATGATATTTCCTCTTTATTCCATTAACAGGTGAATTGGTTTTGGAATGTTAAAACAAACTTGCATTCCCGGGAGGAAACTCACTTAGTCATGATGTGTCATCATTTTTATGTGTTGATGAATTTAATTTGCTAATATTTTTTATTTTTGGTAGATTTTATTTTTTGAAGTTTTAGATTTACAGAAAAATTGGGAAAACAGTACAGAGTTCCTATGCACCCCTAACCAATTTCTCCTAACTATTATCCTACATAACTATATTTGTTACAGTTAATCAAACAATATTTTGATACATTATGATTAACTAAAGTCCATAGTTCATTCATATTTCTTTAGGTTTCACCTGGTTTTTTGTTTTGTTGTTTTTCTCCTTTTCTAGGATTTTATCCAGGATACCACATTGCATTTAACTGTCAAGTCTCTTTAAGATCCTCTTGGTTATGGCAATTTCAAAGACTTCTTTTCCTTCTCTTTTTTTCATGATCTTGATAGTTTTGAGGTGTTCTGGCCAGGCATTTTGTAGGATGTCCCACTGTTGGAATTTGTTCAATTTTTTTTTAATGTCATGACTGTGGTTATGGTTTATTGGGTGGAAAATCACAGTTAAAGTGCCATTTTCACCACATCATATCAAGTATATATATTGTCAACATTATCTATAACTGTTAATGTTGGCCTTAGAGACCTGGCTGAGTTAGTGTTGGTCAGGTTTTCCCACAGTACAGTTACTCGTTTTCCCTTCTTTCCATACTGTACTCGTCGGAACGAAGTCACTATTTGCAGCCAATACCTAAAGAGTGGGGAGCTGTGCTCCTCCTCTTTTTAAATTAACTTTTTTTTTTTGAGATGGCATCTTGCTCTATCACCCAGGCTGGAATGCAGTGCTGTGATCATGAATCACTGAAGCCTTAGACTCCTGGGTTCAAGTGATCCTCCAGCCTCAGCCTCTTGAGTAGCTGGGTGTACAGGTGCACGCCACCACACCAGTCTAATTATATTTTTTCTTGTAGAGGAGGGTTCTTGCTATGTTGCTCAGGCTAGTCTCAAACTTCTGTCCTCAGGCAGTCCTGCAGCCTCAGCTTCCTAAAGTGCTAGGATGACAGGCATTAGCACCACACTCAACCTGCTTCTCCTCTTTGAGGGCTGAGCATCTTTAAATAAATTATTTGGAATTCTTCTGCATGAGAGATTTATCTGCCTTCTCCCATTTATGAATTTATTGCATCAGTGACTTATATCAGTATGGACTTATGGATATTTATTTTATGCTTTGGGTTATCATCTAATGGAACTTTATTAATTTTATTGTTCAAATTATTTCCACGTTGGCCACTGGGAACTCTTTTTTTTTTTTTTTTTTTTTGAGATGGAGTCTCATCTCACTCTGTTGCCCAGGCTGGAGTGCAGTGGTATTATCTCGGCTCATTGCAACCTGCCTCCCAGGTTCAAGCAATTCTCCTGTCTCAGCCTCCCAAGTAGCTGGGACTATAGACGCACACCACCACACCCAGCTAATTTTTGTATTTTTAGTAGAGACAGGGTTTCACCATATTGGTGAGGCTGGTCTCGAACTCCTGACCTCAGGTAATCCTCCCACCTTGGCCTCCCAAAGTGCTGGGATTACAGGCGTGAGCCATTGCACCCGGAGGCATTGGGAACTCTTTAAGTGGACTCCTGTTCTCCTTTGACAGCTCATCAATTTGTGAGTATTTTTTTCTTTCTTGCATTTGAGCCTTTCCCTACTTTCTAGAGCTACAAGATGTTCCAGGCTCATGTCATATATTTCCTTCCCCAGTTCTAGAATCAGCCATTTGTCCAAGGAGCCCTGATTCTTATTGAAGTGTGATACATCATATTAGTTTTCTAGGACTGCCATAACAAAGTACAAAAGACTGGGTGGCTTAAACAACAAAAAATTATTTTCTCACATTTCTAGCTATAAATTTCTAAGCACTTTTAGCTGCACTTCACTCATTTTGAGATATATTTTCGTTATTATTCAGTCCAAAATATTTTATAATTTTCTGTCTGATTTCTACTTTCACCAAGGAGTTATTTAAAGATATGTTAATATCTAATTATCTGAGGATTTTCTAGATACCTTATTGTCATTGCTATCCAACTTAATTCTATTGTTGACAGAGAACATACTCTGTAAAGTTTCAATCTTTTGAAAAATTTTAAGGCTTATTTTGTAGCTTAGTATGTGGTATGTCTTGGTGAATGTTCTATATGTACTTGCAAAGAATATGTACTCTGGAGATGTTTGACGTGGTGTTCTATAAATGGTGTTAAATCAAAGCACTTTATAGTGTTATTCATAATCTTCTATACCTTAACTGATTTCTGGTCAGTTAGTTCTGTTAATTTCTGAGACAGGGGTTGTAGTGTCTCCAAACATGACTGTACATTTTGTCTATTTCTCCCTTTAGTCTAGTCAGGATTGCTTTTTTATGTATATTGAAGGTGATTTATTAGGCACATACACATTTGTATGTAATTGTTACACCTTTCTGATATTTGTAATTGTTTGTAATTGTCATGCCTTTCTGATAAAGTGTTCTTCATCTCAGCTGATACTGATTGTTTTAAAACATGTTTAACCTGATAATAATATCACTGCTCTAGCTTTTTTTTTTCTTTTTTTCTTTTTTTTTTTTTGAGATGGAGTTTCACTCGTCACCCAGGCTGGAGTGCAATGGCATGATCTTGGCTCACTGTAAACTCCACCACCCAGGTTCAAGTGAGTCTCCTACCTCAGCCTCCCAAGTAGCTGGAATTACAGGCACCTGCCACCACACCCAGCTGATTTTTCTATTTTTAGTAGAGACAGGGTTTCACCATGTTGGCCAGGCTGATCTCGAACTCCTGACGTCAGGTGATCCACCCCCGTCAGCCTCCCAAAGTGCTGGGATTATAGGCATGAGCCACCACACCTGGCCTGCTCTAGCTTTCTAATGCTTGCATGATATAACTTTTTGTCTTCTTATACCTTCAACCTAACTATATATTTCTATTGAAAGAGTGCCTCTTATAGAGAACACAATTGGTTCTTTCTCTTTTAGCTCAGTCTGATAAGCTCTGCTTTTTAACTAGAGTGTTTAATCCATTTATATTTAATATAATTATTGACATAGTTGAGTATAGGCCTATCAATTTTGCTGTTGATTTTCTATTTGTCACCTGAATCTTTTGTTCCTGTCTTCCTCCTTTTTTGTTTTCTTTTGAGTTAAACATTTTTTAAAGAACCTTTTCTCTATTACTTTTTATCAAAACCTCTTTGCATTAGCAAAACCTCTTTGCATTTGTAATATTTCCTCTAGCAATTTTAATATGAGTCCTTACCTTATCATAGATATTTTGTCACTTCACATCAAAGTAAGAACCTTTGCTTTGTGTTAATTTTATTTTATATATATATAGACATACACACACACACACACACACATGCTATATACATTATGAGCTCCATAATACCGTGTTATAATTTTTGCTCCAAATAATTATATCTTTTTTAGATTAAGGAAATAAAGTTTTTTCCTTTATAACGATTTACATGTGTACTATTTCTAATGTTCTTCATTCCTTCCTGTAAATCTGAGTATCCTTCAGTGTAATCTCCCTTCAGCCTAAAGAACTTCTTTTTGTATTTCTTGTGAAACAGGTCTACTGGCAGTGAGTTTTCTCAATTTTCATTTATTTGAAATATCTTTGTTTCCCCATGTTTATGGATTTTTTTCTGGATATATAATTCTAAGTTTTTTTTTCCCTTTCAGCACATTAAAGATGGTATTTCATTATGTTCTGGCTTCTATTGTCTCTGATGATAACTCATTCATTCTTCATGCAAGTGTTCCTCTATGTGTGATATGGTTTTTTTGTGTGTTTGGTTGTTTTGGTTTGGTTTTTGTTTTCATTGGCTGCTTTCAAGATTTTCTCTCTCTTTGATCTTTAGACTATGATGTGCCTAGGAACTGCTTCCTTTTATTTTTATCTTTCTTGGGGTTCAGTGAGCTTATTGAGTATATAAGTTGTGTTTTTCACCAAGTTTGGGACAGTTTATCAAATAATTTTTCTGCTCTGGTATCAATTTTCTCTCCTTCTAAGACTTTAATGACATGTGTTAAGGAAACTAATATTATCTTACAGATTTCTGAGACCCTGTTTAGTTTATTTCAAACCTTTTTCCACTTCAGATTAGATACTTTCTATTTATCAAGCTTCAAGTTCATTGACTCTTCTGCCAGTTTGTTTGTTGTTATGCATATCAGTGAATTTTTTAAATTTCATATATGGTACTTTTCAAGTCTAGAATTTCTATTTCTATTTGGTTCTTGTTTAGAGTTTCCACTTCTTTGCTGTGATTTTCCCTCTATTCATTCATTATAAACATTTTTGTTCTTTAAGTCCTTGAGCATATTTATAAAGTCTGCTTTAAATTCCCTGTGCTAATTCTAACATCTTTGACATGAGTGGTTCTATTGCACTTCCCCTGAGAATTGGGACAAGGATGCCCATTTTTACCACTTCTATTCAACATAGTACTGGAAGTCCTGGCCAGAGCAACCAGACAAGAGGAAGAAATAAAGGGCATCCAGATTGAAAAAGAGGAAGTCAAACTTTCACTATTCACTGATGATATGACTGTATACCTAGAAAACTCTAAAGACTTATCCAAAAAGCTCCTAGATCTGATAAACAAATCCAGTAGAGCCTCAGGATACAAAATCAATGTGATTTTTTGTAAAAAAAAAAAAAAACAAAACACACACACACACACACACACACACACACACACACAAATCAGTAGCACTCTTATACACCAACAACAACCAAGCTGAAATTCAATCATGAACTCACTCCCTTTTACAACAGCTGCAAAATAATAAATAAATAAATAATTTAGGAATATACTTAACCAAAGAGGTGAAAGATCTCTACAAGGAAAATTATAAAACACTGCTGAAAGAAATCATAGATAACACAAACAAATGGAAACACATCCCATGCTCATGGATAGGAAGAATCAATATTGTGAAGATGACCATACTGCCCAAAGCAATCTACAGATTCAATGCAATTCCCATCAAAATACCATAATCATTCTTCACAGAACTAGAAAAAACAATCCTAAAATTGTGGAACCCAAAAAATCCTGTATAACCAAAGCAATACTAAGCAAAAAGAACAAATCTGGAAGCATCACATTACTCGACTTCAAACTATATTATAAGGCTATAGTTACCAAAACAGTGTAGTACTGGTATAAAAACACACATGTAGACCAATGGAACAGAATAGAGAACCCGGAAATAAAGCCAAATAAGTACAGCCAACTGCTCTTTGATAAAGCATACAAAAACGTAAACTGGGGACAAGACGCTGTATTCAATAAATGGTGCTGGGAAAACTGGCAAGCCACATGTAGAAGAATGAAACTGGATTTCCATTTCTCACCTTATACAAAAATCGATTCATGGTGGATCAAAGACTTAAATCCAAGACCTGAAACCATAACATCTCTAGAAGATAACATCAGAAAAACTCTTCTAGACATTGGCTTAGGCAAAGAATTCATGACTAAGACCCCCAAAACAAATGCAACAAAAACAAAAATAAATGAATGGGACCTAATTAAACTAAAAAGCTTCTGCACAGCAAAAGAAATAATCAGCAGAGTAAACAAACAACCCACAGAGTGGGAGAAAATATTCATAAACTATGCATCCAGCAAAGGACTCATATCCAGAATCTGCAAGGCAGTCAAATTAGCAAGAAACACACACACACACACACACACAAATAATCCCATCAAAAAGTGGGCAAAGGACATGAATACACAGTTCTCAAAGGAATATATACAAAGAGCCAACAAACATACGAAAAAATGCTCAACATCACTAATCATCGGGGAAATGCAAATCCAAACCACAATGAGATACCACCTTACTCTTCCAAGAACGGCCATCATTAAAAAGTCAAAAAACAATAGGTGTTGGCATGGATGTCATGAAAAGGGAACACGTTTATGTTGCTGGTGAGAATGTAAATTAGTACAACCACTATGGAAAACAGTATGGAGATTCCTTAAAGAGCTAAATGTAGAACTACCATTTGATCTAGCAATCCCACTACTGGGTGTCTACCCAAAGAAAAATACATCATTATATGAAAAAAACACCTGTACACCCATTTATGCCTCACAATTTGCAATTGCAAAGTTATGGAGCCAACCTAAGTGCCCATCAACCAACCAGTGGATAAGAAAATGTGTTATATATACACCATGGAATATTACTCAGCCATAAGAATGAAATAATGTCTTTTGCAGCAACTTGGTTGGAGCTGGAGGCCATTATTCTAGGTGAAGTAACTTGGGAATGGAGAGCCAAATATTGTATGTTCTCACTTGTAAGTGGGAGCTAAGCTATGAGGATGCAAAGGCATTAGAATGATATAAGGGACTTTGGGGACTTGTGGGGGAAGGTTGGGAGGGTAATGGATAAAAGACTACATATTGGGTACAGTGTACACTGCTTGGGTGACCGGTGCACTAAAATCTCAGAAATCACTGCTAAAGAAGTTATTCATGTAATCAAAGACCACCTGTACCCCAAAAAACTATTACAATAAAAATTAAAGCTAAAAAAAGAGGTACTCAGAAAGTTGTCTGGGTGTTAGACATAGTCTCCCATTGTACAGTATCAGCCTGATTTGATCACCAGGATCAAATGTGCCACACAGCAGAGTGACTTCCTCCCATGTTGCCAGTTCAGTGGCAGGAGGCACCCATAGTGTCCAGTCTCATGGACCAACTCAATGGGCCCCTGGTTGTGTTCCGCGATGGAAGCATTTCTCCCTCGGGAACAAAACCTTTCAAATCGACAGAGCCCGGAGGGTTCGAGTGCATGTGGTTATTAGGTGTAATAGTGAGGAAAGCCACTCCCACTCTCTGATTTGGGGCCCTGTTATTGTGGATGTGGGAGGAACCATACCTTCTACTGGTCACCTCATCAAAGCATATTCTTCATCCTGTAAGACAGAACTTTAACCTTTCAGGCCATTGTCTCTCAAGCAGAACCTTAACTGAGTGTTCACATGGCCATTCCACCCTTCAGTTGGGCCAGCTGCTTCCAGATGAGAGAGAGTCCATGATAAGACTAGCGATTTCCACGGGCCCAAGGTCCCTGTTGTCCTGTCGCTGTGAAATGGGTTCGTTGGTCCGAAGCAATGTTGGGTGGAATGCCGTTTGGCATAGAGGGCACCCCGTAAGTCCAGAGATGGCAAAGAAGACGAGTAAATATCAAGAACCAAAAATAGGGAGACATGCTGGGAGAGAGATGGGAGGGGAAGTGGTGGAGGGACAGGGTGGGATGGATTGTAAGAAAGATAAATCTTCATCTTCCATCACAGTAAGTCAAAGATGGTGTCGAAAATGGTGAAATCAAGAACTAGTGCTTAGAATTATGGAGATTTAAAAACAGAAGAGACACCTCCCAGAGTTGCAAGTGGTCGCCTGTCCCAGAGAGCTGGTGAGATGAGGTGGGGAGGTGGCAGCTGAGTTTTATGGTAAGTCTCGGGGAACCATTGGACGTCGAAAACTGTAAAGCTTTTATTAAAAATAGTTGTGGAAATAGAAAGAAAAAAAGGGGGGTAAGGGGGGAATCTGACTCTTAGATTGGAATCTGGAGAGCTGATTGTCTTCTCCAAGTTTTCTGCCACCCAGGAGCAGAACCAGTGGTTTCTGGGCAACGCAAAGAAAGGCGCCTCTTGTTTGGGATACTTTACTGCCATCTGCTGGACAAATGAAGTAACACCTTTACAAATGGGTGAGGGAATGGGATGTGAAGCTCCTTGCACCCCGCACCTGGATTATGTCCTGCACAACCTGTATAGAGCAAGCGAGGCCTTGCAATTCGTGGCCACCGGTCCAGGACACTCCTGAAGGGGCCTTGTTTGGTGAGGTCGTTGCGCCGGGGAGGCCAGAGCAGCGGCCTGTCCTCTTTCTGGGCACTTTAGCCCCCAGGTCAGAGGAGAGCCCCTTGGCGGTTCCAGCTCACAGATAGTTGGGTCCGGCTGCATGTTGCTTTCAGGGTATTTCTCCTACCTGGCCCCATCAGTGACTGGCTTAGAAGAAATTCCTCAAACTCCTACCTGGCCCTTTAGAAAAATTGTAATGCTATCTAAATGCCCCACCTCTCATCCCCACCCCCCTTTTACGTTTTCCTGGTGAGTTCAATTAGGGTTGGGGGTGACATGTGGGCAAGCCAGATCTCTGTAAGGGCATGTACTCAGGGCTCTCATTTTTCTGGCTCCGAAGCTTAGCTGCCACTTCTTGGGTCTGCATAAGGATTAGTTGTTCTTGGAAGAAAAATAAAAGCCACCCCGATCCAAGAAAGGAGATGAAAAATTCTTTGTGTGAAGCTTAGCATTGCCAAAGGTGTAGGTACTGTCCCTCCCAGGGGTGTTTGCACGCAAAGTGTATAAACTACAGAAATAAAGGAGAGGTTTGGATGAAGGTCACTTTGGGTCACTGAGTTTTCCTAGTCAGAATCCTGACATATAGAGGGCTGATAACCACGTCTATGCTATCAGCAGGTCACACAGGGCACAGATGCCCACCTGCTCACTGCTGCAGTGCCTCCAGCTTTGAAAGGAGTGGTGACTGTGAGCAACCCTGGACACTGGAATGGGGAGGAAACATCCCTGAACAGGGCTTAGAGAGTATCATGGAACCAGAGACTCAGAAAGGGAAGGAATTTTAGAGACAAAAGCCCACCCTTCCCCATCTAGTGCTTCAATCTTTCTACCTTTTTGCTACCAGAAGGTTATCAGCTTACACTTACATACCCCTAGGGACAGGAGCTCACTACCTGATAAGCAGGCCCTGCTTTCCCTGGAAAGATCTGACTCAGAAAGCACTTCCTCCCACCATCCTAAATCTGCCCTGTTCCATCTCCCACACCTCAGTCTTGGTTGTGGCCCAGTGGAGCCACAGAGAACAGATACTCTCCCTCCTCCGCAGGATAGCCTCTGAATATTTTGAGAATGAGTAGGGCTCCTCCGAGTGGTCTCCTTTCTAGGGAGAGTTGATTAATTAGGACTCTTTTCATCTGTGCATGGTAGAGACAGGGCCTCACCATGTTTAGGGGCAACATGAGGAATTTCTGGTCACATAGCCCTGCGACATCCAAGGTGATGCTGGGTCAAGGAGAGTGAGTGATGTTGTCAGGGCACTGCTGTCTCTGGGTGTCCCTTTTCTTGAGCTGTGCTATTTTCCTTTCAAGGCAGGGGTGGGTAGAACCATGGCCACTGGCATTGCCAAGCCTGCATCCTACCTGTAGTAGCAAGAGACCGCCACTCCTCACCACTCTGGGTCAGGGCCAACTGCAGTTTCAGAGGGACAGAAATAGGAGGTGACCCAAAGAGGGTGCCTAAGCACAGGTCAGAGGTGAAAAGTCAGACTCAACCTTTCCTGAGGGGCGGGGACAACATTTTTCGGTTTCCAGCCTTGAGTGCCCAGAGGCCTGTGGCCAGGGGTGTTGACAGTCTCACAGGCTAAGCCCCGACATCTTCCTGGAGAGGCAACTTTCTTCACTGGAAGTCATTTAAAGCCCTATTTTTAGATTTAAACAAAAATGGAAACATTATGGAGCAGAATGCAGAATCTGCGTGTATTTTTTGAGACAAAACCCAAGACTTCAAAGAAATTTCACACTTGTGTCAGCTGCTTCAGGCAGGCTGCCTGGCCTGCGGGTGCATGTGTTAATTCTTGGTTGGCATTA
Source organism: Homo sapiens (assembly GCF_000001405.40). Classification (NCBI taxonomy): domain Eukaryota; kingdom Metazoa; phylum Chordata; class Mammalia; order Primates; family Hominidae; genus Homo; species Homo sapiens. Next base: position 45,108,804 of record NC_000011.10, on the reverse strand, counting down.
GTGGGTATTTCAGGGGCAGGCTGAGAAAGTCTGAGTGGCACTGGGCCTGGGTCCCCACATAGCTACAGGCAGGGCTGGGGAGAAATGGGTCCAAGGACTTCAAAGACAGCTGCCACTGAGAGGCCCCTGGTGCCTCTGGGCACCACATTCCCTGAAAGGAGGCAGCTCGTCCTCACTCGGGAGTGAGGCCCCACCATGAGGACACACCTGCCTCTGGAATCCTGTCCAAGGGCAGGAGCCAGAGCCCAGGCTGAGCAAGGGATCCGTGGGCCCCAGCAGGAAATGCCAGCCGAGAGTGCAGGAGGCAGTGCCTGGCTGCTGCTTCCAGCTTTTCACAGAGCAGTGGGCACATGGGCAGGAGTGATCTTTGAAATATTTAACCCCAGAAGCTCATGGGACCAACAGTCAGAACAGACCTGGCCTGGTACTTGAGCAGGTCCCAGGGGCCCAATTGGACCAAGGCCACCCCTCAAGCTGCTGCATCATGGGGAGACACGGGGATCCCACGTAAGAGGCCAGGGCAGCAGGGCAGCGGGTCACACTCATGGGGAATTAGACAGCAGCTATTTACCAACTGGAGTGGACACATGCTGATATTTTAACAACCAGGATGGCAGCACTGGCTGAAAATGAGCCACGTGCATGGGTCTGATCAAGCGAGATTAAGATGAATCCAGGGCGGGGTGCAGTGGCTCACGCTTGTAATCCCAGCACTTTGGGAGGCCAAGGCCAGGAGTTTGAGACCAGCCTAGTCAACATGGTGAGACCCTGTCTCTACTAAAAATACAAAATACACACACAAAATAAGTTAGCCAGGCATGGTGGTGTAGACCTGTAGTCCCAGCTACTTGGGAGGCTGAGACATGAGAATCACTTGTACCCTGGAGTTGGAGGTTGCGATGAGTTGAGCTCTCACCACTGCACTCCAGCCTGGGTGACAGAGCGAGACTCTGTCTCACAAAAAAAAAAAAAAATCCAACCCACATTTATTGAGCACTTATTATATGCCAGGAACTGTGCTGGAGCCTTTATGTATATTAACTAGTTTAATTTGTACAATGCCACGCAAATCTATCAGTTCATTTAACACTACAGAGGATTGGTGTGAAAGCAACACGGAAAAGCCAGTCAGCAAACCTGACAGGCTTAGAGGAACCCCACCCCTACCCCTGCCCTGTCCCCCACTCAACTAGAGATGGGCATTTCCTTAAAGGCAGATGGCACAGAAGTCCAGACCTCCCTCTTGGCTTTCCCACTGCACCCCATCCACCCTCTGTTCTGCTTCATCAGTTGTCCACATTTGACATTCATTAGACTTACTCTTCACAACTGTATACACAAAACCATGTGTATCCATGCTGGTGGGGAGCATAAGAGGTTCTCAAGGGTCGTTTTGTGTGTACCTAATTTTTGCCTTACTGATTTAGAACTTGCCCCTGAAATGGGCTATGACTCATTGAACTATAATTAGCCCCGTTTTGCAGGTGAGAAAGTGGAGTTCGAAGATGTCATCAGCCCAGGTCACACAGATGGTGGAGACCAGTGTGGAGCCCGGGAGTGGGCTGAGCAGAGCATCTGGACTTTGAGCTTCCATCAGACCCTGAGATAGTCACCTGTCCTGGCTGCCTGGTGACCCTGGTGTGCTAACGTGGCACTTATCTTGCTCTATGGAGGCCCCTGGGCCCCCTAAACACCAGGTGGGTGCCTTCAGCCAGCCCCATACTGACCTGTGAAGCCCAGGTATTGCTGGCCAACCCACCCCACTCACAGACAGAAGCAGTTCTCCATCTTTTGGCTTTAGCAGATCTGCTTCATTTCTCCTCCCCACAAAGCCTGGACTTTGTTCTGGGGGTATCCCTGTTTGCAGTGAAGCTTTTTCACTCAGTGCTCAATCTGAGCCCAACTCCACCCCACATCTCTGATTCATAGACTTTTGTGACTGCCTTGACCAGTAGAGTATGGCAGAAGATGCTCTGTAACTTCCCAGGCTAGATCTAGAAAATGCCACGCATTTCTGCCTTGCTCTCCTGCGACATCCACTCTTAGAACCCAGTTGCTGTGCTAAAAAGAACTCACAGACCACGTGGAGTGGAGCAGATGGGTCAGTGTCCCAGGTGGCAGCCCGTGTCGGCCTCAGACCTGCACGTGAGGATGCCCACCAGAGGGTTCCTGCCACCACCGTCAAGTCACCCCAGCCTTAATCTTCCAGCCGGCGCCTCAGGCATTATGGGCAGAGGTAAACTGTCTCCATGATGCCCTTTCCAAATTTCTGACCCACAGAATCCATGGCTATAATAAAATGGCTGTCTTATGTGCTCAATTTTGGGGTGGTTTGTAGCATAGCAGTATAACTAGAACATCTAGCTCGTGAGAGAACCAGCAAAGAAAGCAAAAATCACCCCAGCCTATAAAGGGCCCTGAGGGTGGTGGGACCCATGGGTGACAGGAAACCAATCCCTGCACCCCAAGAGGTGGCAGGGCCTCCAACGAGAACGGCTGTGTGGCTTGCGAGGGAGCCTGCACCTTAAGCTGGGGCTGCCAACGGGGTGTAAACTGCTGAGCCCCTGGAAGCGCAGGAGCTTGGGACCTCCTACCTCTACAGACATGGCCAGCCTGGGCTTGAGGCCAGAGGGACTGCAGTGACCCCAGAGGCCCTTTCCTTCCCTCTGGGGCCACGGACACTTGCTGTCATCTGTGCTCTCTCAGGTGGGGGAAGTTCAGGCGTGGGTGAGCCCAGGAGGAGGAACTGGAGAGAAAATTTGAAAGCAAATGTGAAAACGGATGATTTCTTGCACATTTGAGTTTGCAAAGTAAAAGCCTTCTCGGTGCCAGGAACTCTTTGTTGCCTAAAGGAAATCATGTTAGAAGGGTCGGTCCAGCCTGACTTCATGGTCTCAGAGATGTGTGACCCTCACCCCTGGAGAGGCCTCTGTGGCCCTGGGGCTTAGCACCAAGCACTTTGTAGGGGTCTCAGAAATGCTGCCCACTAGAGCAGAGGGCTTCTGGGAAGAGCCATGGGCTCCTCCACTGCCTTGTAGCAGAGGCTGCCCCCAGGGAGAGGGAGGTGGGATCAGAGCCTGAGGCTACGTCCTGGCAATTGTTGTTGTGGCCACCAGGTGGCGGGCCAGGGCCATGCCAAGCTGTTGGGAAGGGCAATCCCAGAGGGGCCTGGACTGGGAGGCCCAGCTGCTTCCATGGCTCTGCTGTCACCACGGCTGGAGGGAGGGGCTGCAGAGTCAGCTGTAGCAGTGGAGGCTGAGGCCCTCTCACAGTGATGAGGTGGCTTTCAGAAGGCCTGAGCACCTGTGGTTCCCCTCGAGGCCTGGTGTGCAGAGGTCTGGCTTCCAGTCCCAGCTCTGCTGTGCAGCCTCAGACAAGCCCTTTCCCTCTCTGATAGATGAGGGTTCTCACTAGATGAGCTCAAGGCTTTTGCAGCACCTGGTGGCTATGACCAGTTGGGTGGCCTTAGGTAGGTCATGGGGTGCTATGGTCTGAATGTGTACTCCTCAAATTCCCACATTGAAACCTAATCACCGATGTGATGGTATTAGGAGGTGGGGCATTGAGGAGGCAATTAGGCCATGAGGACAGTTGACTGGGATTAGTGCCCTTATTAAATAGGTCTGAGGGAGCTCTTTCATCACTTATACTCTGTGAAGATACAGCAAGAAGTGCCATCTGTACATGAGAAAGTGGGTCTTCACCAGACACCAAATCTGGGGCACCTTGATCTTGGACTTCCCAGCTCCCAGAACTATAAGAAATACATGTTTGCTCTTTGTAAACCACCTAGATTATGGTATTTTTGTTATAGCTGCCCAAGCAGACTAAGACATGGGGCCACTGGCCCCGTGATGGGAATGGGGTGGAATTACATGACCCCTGTCCAGGATGCAGGAGGAGGAGATGGTCCCAGGAGCTCCGTGAAGGAAGGAGGCCTGGGAAGCTGCTTGGACATCACAAGGCATCGAGAACCCAACTCTGGGTCCCCGATCTGAATTAACCTCAGGGCTGGGATGATATTCCTATTGCTTTTCTAAAGTGCCCCACCCAGTCCCTTTAGCCGTATTGGTGGTTCTGTGTCATCTGCAGCACTGAGGTTTCTGGGCAGGTTTTAGGCCACCTCCCCCCAAAACCTTTGTTCCTCTTCCCTGGGCTGTGTTTCTGCCATGAGTCACCTTGGGGCTGAGGTCCCAGGTGGGAGATGGGTCATAGCTGGGTGGGGTCTGAAGTGTCTGTGCCTCAGTTTCCTCATCTGCAAAATGGAGAGGCTCTTGCCCATCCTGTAAGGTCAGTAGGAGGACCAGAGTCTTCACTCCATGGTCTCACTCAGCTATCACAGCAACCTTGAGCAGCAGGAAGGGCACGTGTCCTCGTCCCCATTTTGCAGATGAGAAACCCGACCCCCATGGATGAGAAGCAGCTTGCCCCCTTTCATCCAGAGGATCCTGAATTCAGACCCAGATCTGCCTGTCCAGCCCTGTGCCCTGTGCTGCCCTGCTGCCTTCTTCTGCCCTTACTCCTTCTGGCCAGCTGATGCCTGCTTTCTTGAGAGAAGTTCCTCTGGTGCCTCATCACCTGGAAGAGCCAGGTCTCCTGGGAACAAGTGGACAACATTTTGGTCTTGTGCTTTGCCAGGTGCAGTGGCCCTTGAGGGCTAGCCTGTCCACACAGCTCTGTTGCCCTGGGCCCTGCTCAGCCTATCCTAGCTTGAGGGCTATGCCCAGGCGAAAAAGTCTAGGGCACGGAATTAGATCATCTAGAGCAAGTTTTCACCAAGCCTCAATCCCTCAGCTATAAAAAGTAAGTCAACTTACAGGGTCATTGCAAAATAAAGCACAGCTATATTTGAAAGTGCTGAGTGACAGCAGGGATAACCATCGCCCTCAATGCATCCTGACTTGGTGCCAGGCCCTGAGCTAAGCCCCTTTCTTACATGATTTCTCTTGGTTTTCACCGTTAAAGGTAGATTAGTGTTATTGCTTCCTTTCTTGTTGAGGTATAATTTTTATATATATAATTTATATATAATATATATGTTATATATTATATGTTTATATTATATATACTATATATAGTATTACATATAATGTATATATTATATATACAGTAAAGTACACAAACTTTGTGTACAACTCAATGACTTTTTAAAACCGTGTGACCATCAAGACAGAAGTATTTCTGACACCCTCAAAGGCCCCCTCAAGCTCCCTCTTGGTCAATACCCTGCCAAAGGTTAACACTTAAGTTTGGGTTATTTTTCCTGGTTTTACAGATGGGGAAACTGAGGCTCAGGGAGGAACTGTGAACTGCTCAAAGTCACAAAGCTGCAAAACGGTAGGGCCTAGATTTTTCTGTCTCTACCAAAGCACATGGTGATCCATATAGGCTATACAAGTTATTTCCTCTTCCTCTTTCCTCATCTCCCTCTCATCTTCCTCCTCTTCCTCCTCCAACTTTTCCTCCTTCACCAGTCCCCCCATTTGCTGTAGTTTCATATGTCTACCATCAGATGGCGCCAAAGGACCAACTGCAGAGTCCAGGTTGGGCTCCAAGGCCGGGGAGGAGGCAGGCCCGGCGGGGTGGTCAGGGTTTCTGGGCTTTGGGGAGGGATGCAGGGGAAAGCTGCTGGTGACCATCCTGAGTCCTGTCCAGTAGACATGGCAGAGGCAACTGTCCAGTGATGACCAGACAAGAGAATGAAAATGCAAGGCTAGGGCTCACGATTATATGAGCACTGGGCTGGGAGTAGAGAGACTTGGGTTCTCTGTTACTCTCATCACACTCTGAGTCAGCTTCCTGCCCACACAGTGAGTGGGCCTTCCCCCTCCAGGGTAAACAGTCCTGCCTGTCTCTCTGCATCTGCTCTTCTGTACATCAGGCCTGCTCTCCCTTCCTCGGTCGACCAGTTCACACTAATCAGCTTGGCAAGCCCAGCCCAATTGCTGCCATTCCCAGGAAGCCTTCCCTGACTGCTCTGGCATTGAACTGATTACCTTGGCTGCCCCTGTGCAATGGGCCAGGCACCACCTTCTGTGGCCAGAGGCTCGCCTGGCGTTTCCAGCATCCACCAGGGCGGCCAGCACAGGGCTGGGGGCCCAGGGTGTGTGTCACAGGTCATCTGGACCTAATGGACTGGGATGGCAGGGGGGAAGGAGGCTGTGGCACGGTGCAAGGGGGGCTGGACCTAATGGACTGGGGTGGTATGGGGGAAGGAGGCTGTGGCACGGTGTGAAGGAGGCTCCCACAGAAGACGTTATTGCTCTTCTACTCCCTTCCTGGGAGTGGCTGGATTGCAGAGGGCAGTGTTGGGGCCCCAGCTGGGGTGCTTCCCCTCATGCCGGCCCCAGGGAGTGCTGCAAGGCTGAACTTTAGTCTTTCCTCATCTGTGTCCAGCTAGCATCTCCCCGGGAAAGCCAGCTTTCCAGAAACTAAGACAGGAAGAGCCTTTGGGGATCATTAAACACACATCGGCCCAGGTCACACAGGCTTTCGGCAAAGAGCCTGTGACTCTGCTCAGCCTCCAGCTCTGAGCCCTGAACGCCTTCTTCTTCCTCCGCTCAGCCTCCAGCTCTGAGCCCTGAACGCCTTCTTCTTCCTCCGCTCAGCCTCCAGCTCTGAGCCCTGAACGCCTTCTTCTTCCTCCGCTCAGCCTCCAGCTCTGAGCCCTGAACGCCTTCTTCTTCCTCCGCTCAGCCTCCAGCTCTGAGCCCTGAACGCCTTCTTCTTCCTCCGCTCAGCCTCCAGCTCTGAGCCCTGAACGCCTTCTTCTTCCTCCGCTCAGCCTCCAGCTCTGAGCCCTGAACGCCTTCTTCTTCCTCCGCTCAGCCTCCAGCTCTGAGCCCTGAACGCCTTCTTCTTCCTCCGCTCAGCCTCCAGCTCTGAGCCCTGAACGCCTTCTTCTTCCTCCGCTCAGCCTCCAGCTCTGAGCCCTGAACGCCTTCTTCTTCCTCCGCTCAGCCTCCAGCTCTGAGCCCTGAACGCCTTCTTCTTCCTCCGCTCAGCCTCCAGCTCTGAGCCCTGAACGCCTTCTTCTTCCTCCGCTCAGCCTCCAGCTCTGAGCCCTGAACGCCTTCTTCTTCCTCCGCTCAGCCTCCAGCTCTGAGCCCTGAACGCCTTCTTCTTCCTCCGCTCAGCCTCCAGCTCTGAGCCCTGAACGCCTTCTTCTTCCTCTGCTCAGCCTCTAGCTCTGAGCCCTGAACGCCTTCTTCTTCTTCTTCTTCTTCTTCTTCTTCTTTTTTTTTTTTTTGAGACAGAGTGTTGCTCTGTCACCCAGGCTGCAGTGCAGTAGTGCAATCTCACCTCACTGCAACCTCAGCCTCCTGGGTTCAAGCAATTATCCTGCCTCAGCCTCCTGAGTGGCTGGGACTACAGGTGCAGACCACCATGCCCAGCTAATTTTTGTATTTTAAGTAGAGACAGGGTTTCACCATGTTGGCCAGGATGGTCTCGATCTCCTGACCTCGTGATCTGCCCACCTCGGCCTCCCAAAGTGTTGGGATTACAGGCGTGAGCCCATGACCGGCCAAATACCTTCTTTTGACACTTGAAGGAGACCTCCCAGGTCTGAGGACTGGGCAAGTCTCTGCTCTGCAGCCTGACAGCACCCCCTCCCTAACTGGAAGTTCTCCTTAGCTCTCTCCTCTCATGGAACAGACACACCTCTCAGCCCAGTAAGGTGACTAGGGTGCAAGAAGTGTGGGGAAAGGGAGAAGCTGCTTTCCCTGGCTAAAGTCCTATTAATCCCCACCCCCCCACTTCCAACACACACACACAAAGCCACAATACTTGTCCCTCTGTTGGAAGACTCTGGAGCTGGTTAAGAATACAGCATTTGGATTAGATATCCCTGGGTGCAGATTCCATCTCTGCTACTTATTGTCTGCATGACCCTGGGCAAATACTTAAACTTTGTAAGTTTCTTCTCTGAGAAGTGGGACTAACCCAGTTCCTACCTCAAGCTGGTTATTGTGCACATCCAATGAGAGAAAATATGCAAAATATATAGCACAGGCCTGGCCCATAATAAGTGTTCAATAAAAGGCGGCTTCTGTTGTGGCTTATGAGCTCAGTCCCAGTGAGAAGCCTCAGTTCCATAAAGAAAGGAACTGCCCGGTTGAGGATGGGAAGCTGTTGACTGGCTGATGGGTATGCAAATAACCTCTCTGATGTCAACATACCACGGACCTATGGAGGAGAGGGCTGCTGCTCAGGGTGATCTCACCAGCCAATCAGCAGCAGCAGATGATGATGAGCACCAGTGGGTGGGTATGGCTTGAGAAGGGGAGGGAGGAAAGAAGCAGCAGACAGACAGAAGGACTGGGAGTTCAGGGCTGCCAATCAGGACATCTGGGCTCCCAGCTTGACTCTGAAAATGAAGAGCCATTTGTGTAGGCTGTGAAAGGCTGAGCATGAGTTTCTTCACCTATGACATGGGGTGGCCCCTCTGCCTATTTTTTTCTCCTGGGGTGAGTGTGAGGATCACCCCATCACTCTGATGGATAGGACAAGGTTCTGAAAGGTACAAAGAGGTCTCAGTCACTCGGATTTTAAGGACAATTAGCGAATCAGTATGGCTGAGGGATTGCTCTTAATTACTCAAACTTTCAAATTTCATTTTAGCCCTTGGATGGAAATATTTTTAGAAATGTGATAGAGTTCCCGACTTTATTACATAGTGTAATTGATGTAGGATGTGTTGATGCATTCAGAATCTGCCAAATGATGCCATTTTATGATGCTTAAAAAAAATAAAAAATCTTTGGTTTCCCGACATTAGCTAGCATCCCTCCCTGCTGTCACTGCACCTGCCTCTCAATTCTTCTCCCATCCCATAAAACTTTCTACTTCTAATCTGCTGTGAATTTGAGAGTCAGACCTACAGCTCTGTCAGAACAGCGGGTGAAGTAAGAGTAACTGGGTCCTGAGACAGGCTGAAGAGCTCACAAGTAAAGTGCATGAGCTTCAGAATTGGCAGTCTAAGCTAGAAAGAATGCATAAGACCTACTATTTGATAGCACAACAGGGTGACTACAGTAAGTAATAACTTAATTGTACAGTTTAAAATAATGAAAACACTGTAATTGGATTGTTTATAACACAAAGAATAAATGCTTGAGGGGATGGATACCCCACTCTCCATGATGTGATTATGGCGCATTGCATGCCTGTATCAGAACATCTCATGTGCCCCATACATATACGCACCTGCTATGTAGCCACAGAAATTAAAAATAAAAAAAGTAAAAAAAAAAGGCAGTGTAAGGCAGGTGCTTCCTCACTCCTGGTCTTGGCTGTGGACCCAGGAGATGTGGGGCCAGAGCCTGTGATTTTTTTTTTTTTTTTTTTTTTTTTAAGATGGAGTCTCACTCTGTTACCCAGGCTGGAGTGCAGTGGCACGATCTTGGCTCACTGCAACCTCCGCCTCCCGAGTTCAAGCAATTCTCCTGCCTCAGCCTCTGGAGTAGCCGGAACTACAGGCACACATCACCACACCTAATTTTTTTGTATCTTTAGTAGAGACAGCGTTTCACTGTGTTGTCCAGGCTGCTCTCGAATTCCTGAGCTCAGGCAATCTGCCCACCTCAGCCTCCCAAAGTGCTAGGATTACAGGCGTGAGCCACCACACCCGGCCCAGAGCCTGTGATCTTAATCTCAAGGCCATCAGGCATCGCGTGCCATTCCTGCTGCTCCACTGCCCCTGCCCCAGTCTAGCCTTCCCTCCCTCCCTCAGCTGGCTTCCTGCAGTAGCCCTCTGGCTAGACATCCCTCCTGCCAATGATCCCTCTCCAGTCCACTTCAATACACTATCAGCCATTTTCCAGAATCTGATTACCTTCTTTTGTTGCTTGAAACACTCCATTGACTCTTTAGAGCTGCAGAATCCAGCTCAAACTCCCTTGCTTAGTACAACACTCCTCAGGAGCCCACCCTTGGGGGTCTTCTAGCCTCACCTTCGCCCGCCTTCCTGTTCCCACATCCTCTGTGTGGCCCTTTCCCATACCCACTATGGAGCACTACCTTTCTCAGGCTTCACAGTGCTATTCTTTCTGACCTCCCCCAACTTCCTCACCTGGGAAAATACAACCCAGGTGTCACTCCTTCCAGGAATTCTCCATTGCCCCTTTCTAGACTTAATTGAATTGTTCCCCACCACCACCCCATAGTCATGGTAGTGGTTAAAATCATGGATCCTGGGACCTGACCACATGGATGCAAATCCCAGCTCTGCCTCCTCATAGCTGTGCGAGCCTGGGCAAGTCACCTGGCCTGGTTTCCCACCTGTAAAGTGGAACTAGCATTAGTAGCAACCTCACTGACCTCATCTCATGCCAACCTCTATCTCGTAATGATTGGTTTCCAGTCTCCCCGACTAAGTCCAAGCTTTTCAAGAGCAAGCACAGTCTCCATTCATCTGTGCTCTTCCTTCCCTGGTGTCTGGTGCAGAGTCAGGTACACATCCCCTGCTCAATGATGGCCAAATGCAGGAATGGATGTCAAGGCCAACATTGGCCAGAGGGTCCTTCCTTAGCACACAGGAACACCCAGCACTGTGTGAGTTTTCCTTGCATGTCAGTCTTCTTCCTGGCCCCAGATGATAAGTCCCTGGGGATGAGGGGAACGAGGCCATCCCCTCCATCAGCTGTGGTGCTAGTCACTGGGCCTGATACTCTGAGGCCTGGGTGGGTTCCCTGAAGGTGCCGCTAGGGCACTGTCCATGGTGCTGAAGAGCTCTGTCACGTGACTAATTCCTCCTTCTGAGATGGTAGTTGGGGAGTGAAGGGATTTGCTTCAGGGCAGCCACGAATGGATTTTTCATCTCCAATCCCAGCCAGCACATTTTGTTCTGACATTTCTTTGGCACCTTTGCCAATGACGTGACGGTGCCTGTGCAGCTCTTTCCCCTGCCTTCCAAATTCCTTGGAGAACTGTCATATTCCCCACTCCCCACTTCCTCCTGCCACTGCAGGCACCTCCAAACATGAGTGTATCACCCAGAGATGTGGACTGAAGAGAGTGGAACACAGCCTGTGGCCCCAGTTGCCAACAAGGCGGCTCCATGCTTTCCGTAGCCTGCTTGTCTCACCTACAGGTGGTCCTAAGCCCTGGATGTGTCCCAATAGCTCCGTCCTCAAGGACAAGCTAAACAGGAAAAGCCTGGCCAGAAAAAATGGTAGTGAAAATAAATTCTGATTCTATGTGTGCAGTAGAGTTCAATGGTCTGAGCATCTGAGCGACACTTGAGTTTGAATCCCATTACCCCTGTGTGATCTTGAGTGATTTGTTCCACCCCTGAGCTTCAATTTCCTCACCTGTTAAATGGGAGGGATGAAAGCTTTCCCACAGGATTGTGGTGAGGACAAAATTAGACAATGTAGGTAAATGTGCTGGCAATTCTGCCGGCATGTAACAAATGCTCACGTTTGGTAGCTACTATTCCTCAGACTTTACTTGATAGAGAAGCCTGTGAATTTCAGACTGGAAGGGAACCTAGTCCAGTGCCTTCAGTTTACATACAAGGAAATTGAGGCTCAGCCAGGTGAAGGACTTGTTTAAGGTCACATGGCCAGTAAGGGAGAGGACTCAGGAGAGCAGGGGAATCTTCAAACTTGTGAGCTATTGATGCATTAAGTCACCAGGATGCTGAAGTTGGAGGTATGGGGGGCTGCATACAGGATGAAGGTAAAGGTGCTTTCTATTTAGCTGCAGGAAATATCCTTGATTTGAACCTTAAAACCAAATTCCCTGGCCTCATCTTCATCCCATTTACCTCTCAGCCACATTTCCAGGTTGGTAGCCTCATTATCCCCGTTTGCCAGATGAGAAAAAGGAGGCTCAGAGGAGCAAGGAGACTGGTGCATGGCCACGCAGCTGCCTCCCTGCCAGGATTGGCATGAAGATCATGTGAGATGAGCAGGCAGGAGTTCCTGAAACAGGCCTGGCAGAGAATGTACTTGGAAATGACAACGTTCCCTTCTCCCTCCTGAAGGAGTCAGTCCTCACATTTCAGAGTAGAAAAAGGCATTTCTGTTCACGCTACCCAGTGCCTCTGTGATTCCACAGGCTTCTAGCACAATCTCCTCAGGAAATAATCAGAAAGACACTAAAAATCAAAGCCAGTGAAGAGGCTGCTTGGGAGGTGGTGCAGAGTTGCTTAGCAAGCAGGTGAGAGAATAAGCTGAATGGGAGGCTTTAGGAACATCTGAGGATGTCTTTTATCTTCGGAGAGCCTGGCCAGAATAATGAAAACCCATTGGGCTTGATTCAAGGCACCTGAGCTTACATCCCAGGACCCTGCCTGCACCCCCACAACCCTCCTGCTTAGATCTCTGGGATCTGAGATTATGTCACCTATAATCTCACAACTTCAGTTTCTAGATGTGAAAAAATGAGAGTAACAATTTGTACCTAAAAATGTTAAGACGTGTGAATGAAATGGTTTACCTAAAGCATCCAGCACGGTGCCTGCACACAATAGGTGCTCAATAAATGTCAATTCACTTCTAGTCCTTTCATTTCCACCTATATTTATTCACCAAGGATTTATTGAGCATTTACTATGTGCCAGGTGCTGTTCCGAGTCCTAGTGATCTGGCAGTGAACATGGCAGGTGCCTGCTCTCATGGAGCTTTCATTTTACTGGCAGAAGTCAGAAAGAGAAAGAAGCCCGTAACAAACAAGAAAATGGAGCTATCAGCGTGTGCTATAAAGAGTTTTCCACTTGACAGTGAGAAGGAGTGGAGGGTGGTAATGTTAGACAGAAAGGACAATGCGGGCTTTAATGAGAAGATGACAACAAGCAGGGGCCTGAATAAAGATCTGGAGGAAGAGTATTCCAGGGAGAGGTAGTAGCAAGTGCAAGCGTTTTGAGGAGCCCCCACATTAGCAGCTTAAACAACTTACTTTCTCTCTCTGGTAAAGGAAGAGAGGTGAGCATCTCAGGCAGGCCCGGCACTCCACGATCATCAGGGATGCAATTGGCTCTGCCATCTTCAACATTGAACCCTACCTTGTGACCCGAAATGGGTGCCCCAGCTGTAGCCATCGTATCTGCGGCCATCATAATCTGCATTCCAGAGCAGAAAGCAGAAGGGTTAAAAAGAGAATGCCTTTCCCCAAGAGGACATGTCCCAGGGGTTGCAGTTCTATTGCATTGGTCAGAACTTTGTCACATAGTGACATGTAATTGCAGAGGAGTCTGGGAAATGTGGCCTCTACTCTCAGCTGCCATGTGCCTGACACCAAATTAGGGGTGCGTTCATCAGGAAGAGGGGAGAATAGATGATGAGAGACGGCTGGCCATCTGTGCCACAGTGACAAAGGCGAGACTGAAACCCCACGTCCTGACTCCCCAGCACTGTCTCTACTGCCCTTTCCCATCTCCTGTCCCCAACATGATGAGCAGATAGCAGCGGGGAGCAAGGCCAAATGTCAGGGGATGCCTGGGGAGATCAGGCTGAGGGAGCTGAGGGCTGGAGGAAATAAAAGGAGGAGGTGGGTGTGGAGGGGTTCCAAGGGGGAGCTGTTACAGAGGGAGGCCCAGCTGTAGATTCCTGTCCCCACGGCTTAGAAGGGCTGGCAGCTGGCTTTGAGGCCCATGGCAGGGAGACATCGCTGTCACCTTCTTTTGGGGGAGGCAGCCAGTGACACAGCTTCAGACAGCTCCCTATTGTTCCCAGCAGACAGGGTGGCAGGTTGGCGGGATCCCACTGTGGTGGCAGGTTGGGGAAGGGCGTTGTTAAGCAGTTGGCAAGGCCAGCCGGCCCAGTTCCCTGCCCCCATGCCTGTGCTGGTGGCTGGACAAGGGCAGTGGTGGCTCCAGACTCTGTTTATCTCCTTCTGCCAGGTACTGAGCTGCCAGTGTCTCCTCATCTCCCTCCCTTCCTTCCCTCCCTTCCTTCTTTCCCTTCCTTCCTTCCCTCCTCTCTTCCTTCCCTTCCTTCCCTCCTTCCTCCCTTCCTTCCCTCCTTCCTCCCTTCCTTCTCTCCTTCCTCCCTTCCTTCTCTCCCTCCTCCCTCCCTTCCTTCCCTCTATTCCTTCCCTCCCTTTCTTCATTCCTTCCCTCCTTCCCTCCCTCCTTCCGTCTTTTCCTCCCTCCCTCCCTTCCTTCCTTCCTTCCATCCTTCCATCCCTCCTTCCTTCCTTCTTTCCTCCCTCCCATTTTCTGCTCCCTCTACTTCCTCCCTTCAGTCCTCCCCTCCCCTCCCCTCCCCTCCCTTTCCTTCTCCTTTCCCCTCCTCTCCTCTTTCCTCCCGTCATATCCCTCTCTCCCTCTTTTCTTCCTGCATGTTCTTCCTTCCTGCCTTTTCTCCTCTTCCCCACCATGACTCACTTCCTTCTCCTGCTCTCTCAGCCTCCCCCACCCCCTCCCAGCCCATGCCCCACTCTGGGGTCCCTCCATGCAGCTGGGGCAGCACTGGGCAGAGGACATTCAGGGGCAGCCTGGGTGGCAGGTCGCATCTGTCCCGGGCCCTTCCCAGAAGCCTCCTGTTTCCTGTCCAGCATCAGGTGTTAGGAGAGGTCATGGCACCCCATCGTCTCACCTCCTGCTACCTGCCACCCACTACCCTGTGATTCCAGCCCACCCCCAGAGGAGGACAAGGGACTCACATTCATTGAGCTGCAACTGCATGCTAGCTACTTGCATGGCACTTCAATTTACTTAAGCCTCCCACAGTCCATTGAGGTGGCTTACTCTTATTCCCATTTTATAGATGAAGAAACCGAGGTTCAGAGAGGCAGAGCAGTGTGAAGCCACACGGTATGCTGCCGGGAGAGATGGTCCTCAAGACAGCTGGAACAAGGTGGATCAGAGGCTCCTGCTGTCGGGGCCTCCCAGTGCCAGCCCTGACTCCAGCTCTGAGCCTGATGCTACTTTCTGGCCCTTGATCCCATGCTTGTTTGGTCACTCAGCCCTCATCTTCAGATAAATCCAGGAGTAAGGAGAGAAAGAGAGACTGGGACCGCAGGAGGTACTCAATGATCTTTGCAGTAGGCCCAGATCTTTGCAGCCAACTTCTTGGTTCCTCAGTGCTGCTCAGCCTGAAACTCTCTAAATAGCCTCTCTCCCCCCACAGCCACCCCAGCATACACAGATACACACCCCACACATGGAACAGCTAGAGCACATGTGGCCTCCCACACCGCCGCTTCTGTGGGTGTGAGGGCGTAGCTGTCGTGGTGATGGTGGCAGCAATGGAGGTGGTGGGGTTGTTGTAGTGGCAGTGGTGGGGTAGTGGTGGTGATGACAAACAGCATATCATTTAGCCACACATAAATCTACAAGATACATAGTATACATGCAAACTATAAAGAAAAGCTGCACAATGATTAACACTGAGTAATGACAAATTGTGCTCACAGATAGATAACGTTTCCAAGAAACCACAAACCACACTCATAGACACAGACCAGGCTAACTGTGAGACCCCACCAGTGAGTAAGCACCGGTGAAACACCCCTTCCTCTCCACTGCCTTTCTGAGTGACAGTGGCTTGCTCACCAGACAACGCCGGTGCGGTTTTAACCCTCCTGCCTCCAAGATCAAAATTATTAAGTGCCCATGCACTCAGTCCAGAACTGGACTTGCTTTCCTGGTTTTCCTTGGAATCATCCAGCCAAGCCTAGATCTTCTCAGGGGCTTTCCAGATCCCTTTCCCTGAGACACCACCGAGGTTTCCCTGCGCTGTGCACTCCCTTGCAGCGACAAGCTTACGAAACCTCCCATTTTCTTACTGCAATCATGTTCTTGGGTCTCTGGGCCATGGGCTTCCACAGCACAACACGGAACCCAGTGGTTAACCTGGGCAGGGGGATATGGGGCAGCCACAGGGTCAGGGCAAGCGTGGGCTTGGAAAGCATTGGGAAGGTTTCTTAGGCTGGGTTTCTTAGTCTGGGCTTATACAAGCCTTCATTTATTATTATTTTACGATTTAACATAGTCTTTTAAATGTGCGTACGTTATATAGATTATTTTATATGTATGTTTCACAGTAAAAAGTAAAAATAGGCTGGGCACAGTGGCTCATGCCTATAATCCCAGCACTTTGGGAGGCCAAGGTGAGATGTTCACTTGAGCCCAGGAATTCAAAACCAGCCTGGGCAACATAACGAGACTCCATCTCTACCAAAAAAAAAAAAATTAGGCAGGCATGGTGGCACATGCTTATAGTCCCAGCTACCGAGGAAGCTGAGGTGGGAGGATCACTTGAGCTTGGGAGGTGGAGGCTGTGGTGAGACATGATTGCACCGCTATGCTCCAGTCTGGATGACAGAACGAGACCCTGTCTCTAAAAAAAGAAAAAAAGAAGTAAAAATTAAAAAGTTAATAAAAAAGAAAAAAACAACAACAGACGCCATATTCTTGCCAGATGCCCAGGGAATGACTCTGGCCTTTTTCCTGGGCCCCATTGGCCTGGGACCAGCAGAGCAGCCCTGGGGTCCTGGAGGAGTCAGGGCTGGTTCTCAGGACTGGGGCGAGGCCCTCTGAGGGGAGGAGGTCTGACCAGCAACTTGCCTTCCCCTCCATTCAGGGCCTTCCCCACATGCCCGGAATTCCTGACCTGGCCCTGGTGCTGCCTCCCTTAGGGACAAGAGGTGGGGGCCTTTGAGTGTTTGTTTAGAGGCATAGTTTCCTTAAATGGCTGGGTTTTTAAAAAATGTATGTGCCTGCAGCTAACTTCCTCTCCCTGACAGCCAGGGCATCGGATGCAGGAGGGCAGGCAAGAGACGGGAGGGGGCTGGGAGGAGTCCAGGGACGGGGGACAGAGGAGCCAGAAAGCTAGGCAAGGAGGCAGCTTCTAAAAAGCCTTGGGACCCCCCTTCCACTTCAGGAAGAAGGCACAAGGCCCAGACAGGGAACATGAGAAGCACGCAGCAGGCGGGCATTCCCACAGCAAATCAGGGACAACCGTGGGAATGCCAACCTGCTTATTTGTTTTTATTTCTATTAAGTCTTTTCCTGCCTCTGAGCCTTGGCACCTGCTGTTCCTTCTGCCTAGGCCCCCCTTTCTTTGGTTCTTCTAGTGACAAGCACCTTGTCGCTCTCCAGGTGTGAATGCTACTTCCTGACCATGCTTCCCCTATCCACACCAGCCCCTCCCACACCCCCGATTGTTATTTACATCATCCCGCTGAATGAATGAAGTCTGCAAGCTATGGAATAGGTAGTTGTAGGTTTCCTTTGGAGAGGAATCTGCTATATCTTAAAACAGTGATTTCTTCTGTTTTTTCAGTTTACTTTTGTAGCCACATCAGAAAATCAAACGGTAATTTTAAAACTGTGTTTCCCTAAGCTATTTGATGTAGTTATTTATTTAACATGTGAACTATACCTCCTCCAATAGGCTCATTATAGCTATTGTGAACACTTGAGAACTGTTTCTGAGACATAGCCATGCTAGAAAATGTATTATTTAACCAAAAGAACAAACTTTGGCATTCTGGTTATTTTTTTTCAATGAAGCATAGTATTATTTTAACAGACATGGGCTTTGATTTCTGAACTTTTAACCTTATGGGTTATAAATATGAAATGGAGTCATATTTTAATGAAAAAGGAAATAGGACAATTTCAACTTGGTCAATGAGAAACGTTACATTTCAGGCTAAGAGGTTAATTCTGTTTTCATTTTCTTGGTTTTTCATCGCCAAGAAAAGCAGTACAAGGTTTCCTGCTTTTAAATTTCCCAGGTGATTTATAGATGTAGCACAGTGTTATTTATGGGAAAACACCAGAAGAAAATAATCTTTCTGCTTAACAGAAGAAATTTTGATACACATTTTCCAATTAATAGTCTTCCTGCATTCATGTTTGACACCTTGCAAGGGATTCCTCCTGTTTTAGGACAGAGCCTGAACTCCTTTGGAGCCCACGAGGGCCTGAAAGATCTGGCTCCTGTCTTCCTCTTCTGCTTCATCTACTGTCCCCAGTGCTCCGTGCCCCTGATTGAACTTTGCTCCTTGCCCTTTACACACACTGTTCCCTCTGCCAGCCTCATTCACACTCCCTACCCTGTACTCATCAGTCCTGCCTTTCACAGTTTAGATGTCGCTTCTTCCAGGAAGCCTTCCCAGATGCTCTGGAATGAGTGATGCTCCAGGCAGCTTCCCACATGTTCTCTGTCATATTTTTTATCCCATTATATTATCTTGGTAATTCCTCAGTTTTTTTGTCTGACTCCTTCACTAGACTATAAGCTGTATGGGGACAGGGACCACGTTTAGATTCCTGGGGTCTACCATAATGTTTTACACATGGCAGGTGCTCCATTAATGCCAGGTGAATAAATGAACACATAGCCAGAATTTGACTGAGGTTCACCAAATTCTGGTAGCCCATCACCTATGGTCCATCATTCATAGTTCTTGGATGATTTCCTCTTAGTCATTAATTTGGTCATTCACTCCATCCATTCAACCAATTCTCCATCCATCCATCCATCCATCCATCCATCCATCCATCCATCCTTCCATCCATCCATCTATCCATCCATCTGTCCATCCATTCAGCCATCCATCTGTCCATCTATTCATCCATCTGTCCATCCATCCATCCATCCATCCATATATTTCTGTGACTAGCAGAAACAGTGAGGTTGAAGTCGCAGTGGGTTTTAGCGAAAGAAGAAAATCAGGATTTCTGATGTTAATGTCAGGTTTGGTGTAAGGTATAGATCAGGCTCAGAAAACCAGAACCACATTGTGGGCACACCCAAGCAGGGAGTGGCAGAGCTGATGGAGGAATGGCTTATGCATCAGAAGCTAAAGCAATTCAAGCCTCCCTCGCCCCCTGGCTGACACACATGGCCAGCACAGACACGTCTACTCTCCCCTCCCCTCCCTCCCTTCCTTCCTTCTTCTATTAAGTCTTCATGGAGACCTCTCTCTGGGGCAGGCCTGTCCTGAAGACTGTAGAATCAGACCCAGATTTCTGCCCTAAAGCTGCTCTGAGTGTATACAGGGATTCTAGCATAGGCGTGGAGAACAATACAGGAGGCCCACTGTGGCCCCTGCCATAAGAGAGGCCCAGGTCATGTGCTCTGAGCACCTGGAGGGAAGAGAGGAAGGTAGGGCTGCATGTAGGAGGGGGCACTGGAACTGGATCTTGACGAGTGGGTAGGACTTGGGCATGTGAAAATGAGAGGAGAGTGTTCTAGGACACAATCAAATGAGCCAGGCAGAGAAATGGAATGAATCCAGGCAATTTCAGGGAATCCAGCCTGCTGGAGGGCAGGGAGTAGGACGTGAAAGAGGGCTGGGGAGAAAGCCAGGGAGGAACTGGGCCAGGTCACAGCCCTGGCCTTGGAGGCCAGCTGGGGAATGATGGATTGAGTAACTCACTCATCTAACAAATATTTTTAGCATTAATATGTTCCAGGCCACAGGCTGTGGGCTGGGTACAAAAAGGATGGAAATCTGCCCTCAGATGGCTCAAAGTCTGTGAGCCATTCCTATGTACTGAAGTGGTTCCAGCTGAGGAGGGGCCTAGTCACTCTGGCTGGGTTCCCCGACCTCACCTTACCTCATCTCCCATATCCTGCATTCCCTCCATCTCACAGCCACTGCCATTTTAGGGCCCATTGGCTCTTCCCCAGTGCTTTGCAGTAGCATCCGGCCTGCTCTCCTTGCTTTAGCCTCATCCATCTTCCCCTCCCTGCAGGCAGTGGAATCTCCATAAAGGAACATATTATGGCCGGGTGTGATGGCTCACACCCGTAATCCCAGCACTTTGAGAAGCCAAGGTGGGTGGATCACATGAGCCCAGGAGTTCGAGACCAACCTGGGCAACATGGTGAAACTGGCTCTACAAAAAAATACAAAAATTAGCCGGGCATGGTGGTGTGCACCTGTAGTCCCAGCTACTCCAGAGGCTGAGTTGGGAGGATCGCCTGAGCCCAGGGAGGTTGAGGCTACAGTGAGGTGACGGTCACATGACTGCACTCCAGCCTGCAACACAGAGTGAGACCTTGTCTCAAACAAACAAACAAGAAAAAGGAGCACATCATGTTGCCCTCCCCTGCATAAAACCCTTCCTGGCTCCCCAGTGCTCTGAGAATAACTTCCAAGACCTTGTCCTGGACAAAGCGCAGCCCTCACATTCTTCTCCCCCAACTCCTCCGTGGCCTCATGGGAGTTCTCTCATTTTCCTGAGGGCTCCCTGTGTTTTCCTCTGATCAGGCTCATCTCCAGCCCTCACTGCCTACTCTGCGCAGGCTCCCCTTGCAGGCTCTGCAGGCTGGGGGCAGATATCAATTCCTTGAGCCCCCTTTCTGGACTCCCCAGGCTGTGCTTAGTGTGGCGAGGTGTGTTTTTTCTGCCTGTTTCTTTGCTTGGTTTTCCCCACAGCCTGTGAGCTCCTTGGGTGGGGGATGGCATTTGCTAAGCATACCATTGCCTCACCATTCTGTCTACAACCCTCGAGTATCCCGTATAGAGCAGGCCTTGGATTCCTGGGGACCTGAGGATGGATGAAAGCCAGGCTTAGACAGGGTGGGGTGGATGCCTCTCCCAGCACCCCTGGGCCACTTGGTGGGAAGGGGTCCAGAGATAGGAGGTGGGCGTCAACTTGGGAGGAAGCTCAGGACCTCTGGGATTCCAGAGAGGTCTGGCAGGCTCCAGGGTGTCCTCAGGTGAGATAAAGGGTTGGGCCAGGGTTGAGGATGAGGCAGGTCCACCCTGCCATGCTGCAGCCGGAGTCCAGCTTCCAGATATGGGTGGGAAGGAGCTTCCCCCTCGATGGCCCGACTGTGACTTTGGCCTCTGCATTCATTTCGCCCGTTCTGTCTTTTTCTCTGTGCCTCTTTCCAGCTCGACCCGCCTGGGGCTATTTTTGCTTCCTTCTTGTTCAGTTGCCTGAGCAGCATTGTGGCTTTAATTGGTCCATTTTCTGCATGCTGGAAAGATGTTCCCTCCTTGTCCCCTGCCCACCCCCACCCGAGAGTGGGCCCAAGAGTAAAAGCTAGAAGTGAGGCTAATTATGGAGGGAAGGGTGGACAGAGACAGGCTCAGGCGAAGGAAAAAGATAAATGGAGGGAAAGGAACAGATAGAGACAGAGAGGGAGACAGAGAAAGAAAGAGAAAGAGAGAGAGAGAAGGCAAAGGCCAACACACAGAAGAAGAGTGGGAGCCCGGAGAGCTGGAGACAGAAATATAAATAATTGAGGTAAGAGAGAAACACAAGAAGACAAAGAGAGACTCAGAGAAGCAACCAGATGGATTCAAATACACATTGCGTGACAAGAGAAAGACAGAGGCCCGCAGCCACCCTGAGAGGGAGGGAGGGAGGCAGCCTGCAGCTGGACAAGCAGCAGGGAGCAGTGTCTCCAGGGAGGCCATGGCTTGTGTAGAACTCCACCACCTCCAGTCAGGGGCCTCTGGCCAGTCTCTGCTTCTCTGGGCCTCCTTTGCAACATAGAGATAATAAATGAGAGGTCTGCACTATTTGCAGGGGCTCGCTGGGGAGGGCTGCAAGGTGCTTTGTAAATGGTTAGACTTCTGCAAATAGGGGAAGAAGGGAATCACTGTTCCGCAGTGTGGGGCTTCACCTGTGTACATCTTCCTGCCTCTTGAACTTTAAATGAGTTAGGTGGAGTGGGGCAATGCCTAACACATTATTTGTTGTTTATTCCTACAGCAAAGGTGTACTGACCACCTGCTCACTATGTCCAGCCTCCTTTCTGGGCTCTGAAGACAAAAGGTGACCAGGGCAGGGCTACTGCCCTGCTGCTCAAGCTGTGGCCTCTATTAGGTGCTCATTGTTTAGGAGGAGGAGCTTACACACCTAACTCCACTATCACCTGGCACTTGTTCTAGCTGAGGTATGCCTCTGCCTCCACCCAGGGACAGTCAGGGACAGCTTCCCAGAGGAGGCAACGTGGGACAAGGCCTTGAAGGCTTTTCTGAGTGGAGAAGGCTGAGAAGGAATTCCAGGTGGGGGGATTAGTGTATGCAAAGGTATGGCCACCACACAGGATGGGGCTTCATGGGCCGGGTGGCACTAAGGAAGTTGAGGGTGAGGGTGAGGGGAAATGGGAGATAAGGCCAGGAAGGTAGGCAGGGGCTGGCTTGGGAGGGGCCTTGAATGCCAAGTAAGGAGTTAGGGCAAATAGGTGGTGCTGTCCAGCAACAGAATAGCAGAATCCAATCTGAGTTTTTTAAGAGGAACCCTGATGAGACAGCACAGACTAGAGCAGGAGGTGCTGGGGGCGGAGAGAGCAGGAGGAGGCCGGGGCAAAATGCAGGTGGGAGATGCCGCGAATCTGGACTGGGGAAGGAAGACCCTGGGTGAGTGGCCTGCACTGGATCAGTTGCCTGCAGTACCTGGCCTCTCAGCCCAGCCCAGTCATCTCTCTCTTGCCTGTCCCATGATCCAGAGCCACAGAAACCCAGAGACTCGCTTTATGGCACCTTTGAGACCAGTTAGTCCAGGGATCTCAAACTCAGATGCCCTCAGGTGCCATGTGGGGTGGCTAGTGTGAGACTGTAGGAAATGGTGGGCCCTGTTTATAGATGAGAAAACTGAGGCCTGGAGAGGGGAGTGGCTTGCCTGAGACCCACGGCTGGTTGGGGGAGGCGCGTGCTTCCTCAATCAACACTCCTTTCAGGAAAATGACTCCGCCCCTTCCACCAGCACAGACTGAGGGAAGGAGAAACCTCGGAGGAGGAGGCAAATGCTGGTTGCCAGAGGGAGAGATGATTGGCATGGAAGGGGGAGGTCAGCTTAATGAGAGGGCGACTGAGGGTAGGCACATCGTGGTAAAAAGCAGCAAGGGGAGGGTGAGGCATCCCCAAGGGGAGGCGCTGGCTCCTGGACTCAGCTGACCAGGCCCCCAGCTTGCCCCCAGCTTCAGGCAGGGGACTGGAGCAAGGGCTGGGAGTCCCTCAGCCTCAAAGGCCCAAATTGCCCTGGGCTGGACCTGCTGAGCTGCTGATTATCCGAGGCAGAAATCCTGCCAAGCTGGATTTTAGAGAATAATCATCACAGTCAATAGTAATGCCTCCCACCTGCGCTGAGCTTTTAACTTGTTCAGCCACTAGCAAGCAGCTTTGTCTGATTCAGAAAGAAAGGCCAGGAGAATTTGTGGCAGGCCCCAAGAGCAGGAAAGAGCCCAGTGGAAGAATAAGACATCCTCATTTACCTCCTTGAGCCTCAATTTTCTCCGCTGTAACATGCAGATGTTGTTCTCTGCCTCTGATGATCTTTATAGCCTCATCTTCGACCCCAGATCCCCACTCTCACCTCCCTCCCTCCTGCAGTCACACACACTCACATGTGAAGTCCAGGAATGGAGAACTGTTGATGAACCCCTCTGAGGTCTCTGCTTTGGTTTTACATCAAATACCAAACTGCCCCATGTTTTTCGTGAACTCCCCTTTATCCCACAAAGACCAGTGCTACCTTCTCTGTGAAGGTCTCAGCTGTGGTCTGGATGTTTCTGTCCCTCTGAAATTCATGTGTTCAGATCAAATCCCCAACATGTTGGCATTAAGAGGTAGGGCCTTTGGAAGGTGATTAGGTGATGTGGCAGGTGGGGGTGGTGGTGAGGGGCGTGGGGGGTGCGATTTGCCCTCATGAATGGGATTGGTGCCCTCATAAAGAGGTTGGAGGGAGCCATTTTGCCCTTCCACCATGTAGAACACATATTATAGAAGATGGAACTGTGAGGAACGTATCTATGAGGAACAGACCCTCAGCAGACACTGAATCTGCTGGCCCCCTGATCTCGGACTTCCTAGTTTCCGGAACTATGAGCAATAAATTTCTGTAGTTTGTAAATTACCAAGTGTATGGTATTTTGTTATAACAGCCTGAACATACTAAGACACCCTTTCTGATTCTCTCCCCAAAGTTAATCACTCCCTTTTCTGGGCTGCCGCTGTAGTGTGTACATTACAGCACATATTCTACTTATATCTTTGCCTCTTTCCACTTCAGTCTGAAAGTTGCTCGAGGCTAGGGAGACTAGACCTTTATGTACTTCTGTATTCCCAAAGCTCAGCATGGATCTAGCACACAGTAGGTGCTCAAGAAATAGTTTTTGGCTGGGCACGGTGGCTCACATCTATAATCTCAGCACTTTGGGAGGCTGAGGTGGAGGAAGGTGGATCACCTGAGGTCAGGAGTTCAAGACCAGCCTGGCCAAATGGTGAAACCCCATCTCTACTAAAAATACAAAAATTAGCCTGGCGTGGTGGTGTGTGCCTGTAATCCCAGCTACTCGGGAGGCTGAGGCAGGAGAATCATTTGAACTTGGGAGGCAGAGGTTGCAGTGAGCCGAGATCACATCATTGCACTCCAGCTTGGGTGACAGAGTGAGAATTCATCTAAAAAAAAAAAATTAGCTTTTGATTCGAGTGAAACAGCTTTTGATTTGAATGATCACACCAGATTATGTTTGTCACTGTCTGTGTCTGTTTCCTCCACTAAACTAGAAACCTCCTGGAGGGTAGGGTCTGATTCCTATTCACCTTCCATGTGTTGCCTAGCACAGAGGATATCCTCAAAAAGGTTAGGGAAGTGAGTAAACAAAGGAAAGCACTTTGTGAATTGTAAAGCGAGATCCAGGGTAAAGGAAAGAAGCCTCTGGATGAAAGAGAAGATGAACACATGATTCAATGGCTGTGTTTTAAGGTATGTCTGTTTGCCTGTTGTGAATGTATGCCTGCATATATGTATATGAGTGCCACTTGTGAGGTTATGTGTGTGCACAAGTAGGTGTGTGTGCAGGCATGTAAGGATATAGGCATTGTTTGCTTTGTGCATGTGTATTATTGTGTTTAGTGTATGGGTATTATTGTATTATTGAGTGTAAGTGTTGTCTAGAGTCTATTGCTAGTTCTGAGTGTGTACAACTGTATGTGTCTGGGGTATGTGTGTAGGTGTGCACCTGTATGTGTATGTGTAGGTGTAGTGTTGTGTCAGGGGTTGAAAGATGAGGTAGGAAGCAGAAGAAAGAAAGGACTCACTTGTGATTGTGAGTCATTTGCACAAATGCCAGGTGCAAAGGGCAAGGACTCATAGGTGTTCCCAGCAGAGACCCACATACTTCACATCCCATCTCCAGCTTCCACTCCATTCATTCACACCTTCATTCACTGATGCGCAGATGCTGACTCAGCTAGGCCCTCTGCTGGCTGAGCCCGGGGACCATCATCTTACCTGGGATGGTTTCCATGGGCAGCCACAGTGTTGCTGAGGTCCCGGCTGCTCCAGGCTCTGGCTCAGCCTGGTGTTTTCAAATCCCACCTTTCCTGCCTCCCTACCCCACTGCCTCTGTCTATCCTCCCCAGCAAGGATCTGCAGAGAAGAGGACAGTTCTAACAAAGGGGAAGTGAGAAGAAAACCAGCAAGGGGAAAATGGAGAAGACTCTTGGCTGCTTGGCAAGGTCTGCCCCAGACACTTCCTCTCTGCAGGGGCTGTGGACCGCATGCCCCTCTGCCACTGCAGCGTTGGCGGGCACACAGGTGCGGACTTATTTTGTATGCCCAGCCTGTATGTTAGCCTGGAAGTTCCTGGAGGGCAGAGGAACATTATTTATAGTTTCTCCTCTTTCCTCAACTGTCGGAGAGGGGATGGCAGAAGGTTCACACCCTTGTGGCCTGACCTGCAAATTCTACAGCCTGATGTTGATAAACAAACCGGATCTGGTTAACAAAGGAAACTGATCAGCAGCCCAGACCCTGGGAGACAAAACAGTGGGCTCTTGTGACTGATGTGATTTTAAATCCTTATTTATAGGCAGGTATGGAATTCAGTTCTTTCTTTTTCAATTAAGGAAAAAAGCCTGATAGAATAAACGAGTCAGTGAATGAGTCAGAACTCAGAAGGCTTTCATTTCCTTCTGGTGCCTCAATCCCCTACTGAGCGCTCAATCCCTTATGCGCCAGAACCCGTTGCTGGGCATGCAGAGCTGGGAAGCTGTGGCCTCTATTCTGCTGGTGGTGGGATGGGACCCTGGCCTGGGGCTCCAGAGAAAGGGCAGGCTCTGTTTGGTTGGAGGAGAATCTAGAAGAGCTTCTGCAGGAGGTGGCATTTGAGATGAAATTTGAAGAAAAGGAGATGTTTTTGAGGAAGACATCAGCATGTGCAAAGGTCCAGAGGTGGGAACGAGCTGAGATTTTTTGAGGAATGGTGAGCAGTGCCCTGTGGGTTTGGGCTCAAATGCTGGTCAGTCCAGGGGAGGCATGAAGTGGTGCGGTGAACTCAAATGGAAGAGTCCAGTCCCGCCTGGGCTCCAGTGCTCCCTGGCCCACTCTGATCTTGCTCCATTTGCTTCTACTCTCTATGGGCTTGTTTATGGGTGGTAGAACCGCAGACTGGAAATGTGGTAGGAAAGGCTGATAAGAGGTTTGTGTACTCTTCTGTCCCTGCCATGCCGGGGGCAGACACCGGCCATTAAGTCATCATAATGAGCTTTTGTGTTGTTTTGGAGGAAGAATGAGGTGAGTAGAGGCAGGGTCTAGAGCCAGACTACAGAGGTGCAGAATCCAGCTGTGCCATGTACTGGGAATCCCTGGACAAGATCCTTAATCATCCTGTGCCTCAGTTTCCTCATCTGTAAAGTGGAGGTACTAATACCGACTTCATGGTGTTGTTGCTGCGGAATTAAATGAGCTTTTAAACAAGATTAAATTAAATTTTATATAAATATCTGTAAAATGCTTGCAGTGGTACTGGGCACGTGGTCTGTAAGTGTTTGGTTGTTTTTCTAGACCCACACTTAACCCCAGTGCTTCTCAAGACACTGCTCAGGGCAGCCGTATTAATCAGTTGTTGCTTCTCCTGTTTTAATCCAGTCTCCTCATTGTAGATGGCAGGTGGTGGGGCCAGTGAATCCAGGTGGTGGGAAGTCTTTCCCAGGGTCTCAGTGACTCAATGGAGCTGGAGCTCACCATTTCCTGATACTGACACCAGAATTTGTTGCATTATACGATGATATGGTTTGGCTGTGTCCCCACCCAAATCTCATCTTGAATTGTAGTTCCCATAATTCCCACGTGTTGTGGGAGGGACCTGGTGGGAGATAATTGAATCACGCGGTTTCTCTCATAGTGTACTAGTAGTGAATAAGTCTCTCAAGATCTGATGGTTTTATAAGGGGTTTCCCCTTCCACTTGGCTCTCATTCTCTCTTGCCTGCTGCCATGTAAGAAGTGCCTTTTGCCTTCTGCCATGATTGTGAGGCCTCCCCAGTCATGTGGAACTGTGAGTCCATTAAACCTCTTTTTCTTTATAAATTACCCAGTCTTGGGTATGTCTTTATCAGCAGCCTGAAAACGGACTAATACATATGACTTACAGCATAGGAAGGCGCTAGCAGGAAGGATCCCAGTGCTTAAGAGGGAAACTCCTGGAACCTTCATCTGCCCACTGTGAAGGGAAGAGCTGATATCCAGCCCTCCCAGCTCTGCACAACGTGAGGATCTCCCACAGGGCTGTCCCAGGGGAGTCAGCATCGGGGGTGGGGCATAGGCCAGTCCCCCTGCTATCCTGTACGATAACCCCTCTCCTGGGGGCCCAGTGCATCTCCAATCTCTGTGGCAGGTTCCTCCCCACCTTTCCAGGCCCCTTCCTTTCTTCTGTTCCTTCTTAGGAGATATAGCTACAGCCTGGGGTGGTGGCCATTCAGCTAGCCCTTGATGGGAGGGTCCCAGGAACCAGCTTCAGGCCCTAGATGGGTCCACTTCCAAAGTGACCAGCCTCCGCCTTCAGAGACACTGGAACCATATGACCTGCTGGCCGGCCTCCGGCAAGCGGATGGGACCTCAGCCTTCACAACTAGACCGCTTCTAGTTAAGCACCGGTGTTTCCAGCCCTTGGAGAAGAAAACTCAAGAAAGTGCTTCCAAGGTGTAGTTCAAAGACTACCTGTGCCGAATCACCTGGGGGTGGGGGTCAGGAGGCTCATCGATGAAAATACAAATTCCTGGGTCTTACACAAGACCTACCGGGTTAGACTCTGGAGCTGGGAGTGCAGGAACCGCAAGTTTCCCAAGCAACTCCTGCACACTCGAGTTAGTAAACTGTGGGACTCACGGGGCAACAGCAACGGGAAAGCCCTTAGGACCAGGAATCCTTGGTACCATCCCAACCCCATTGCCAGACTCCCTGAGGGACGCCAGGGATTCACAGTTTGTGCCAGTGAACGAGCCCAAGCCTGCGTCTTCACTCCTTTCTCTCCAGCTGCCCACACTGCTCACACGTTCCCCGCAGTTTCTAAATTCAAAGTGGGGCAGTTTGAGCTGTTTACCAACTCCCTTTCCTGGGCACCAGGTCTTAGAAGCCTGCCACTGGAGAGGGGTCTGGGCTCACATCCTTCTAGGGCTTGGCAGGAGTTTCCCTGACTGTAGGCAGGGGGTGAGGATGGGACCCGAGGGCCCTGTTGCAAGCTGGGTGACTTCCTGGCCTGGAGCAAGCCTCTGACTTTCCAGACACAGCTTGGGCCTCTGAACCACTTCCTCCCGGAAGTCACAGTCTTTACAATCTCCCCCAAGTGGGACGGCAGCCTGAGTGCTGTCAGGCTCACCTGCAGAGGGACTCCCGTCCTGGGCCCTGGAGCTGGCGCTGGGGTGGGGGTGGGAGCCTGACACCCACTCCGGCCCCCTACAGATGGTCCAATGCCTCGTTGGCAGAGCAAGTGTTCATTGAACACCTGCTGAGTGTGGCTTGCTGTACTGGGTGCTGGTGGGGGGAGGGTGAGGGATGGGGAAGCATTGGGGGCGAAGAAAGAAATAGAAGACTGGGGGAGTGGAGAAGCCCACACGCAGGTTTAGAACAATCACTAAGCAGCCTGCCAGGCAAAGCGAAACACACTCATCAGAATCCAGTCTGCGTGAGCTTATTCAGCAGGCCAGGCTGGTATCTCAGAGGTGTGGGGTGTGTGCTGGCGTGGGAGGGGGGCAGGGAAGACACAGGGGCAGACAGGACTTATGTTCCAGTCCTGAGGCCACACACCATGGACAAGGCCATTGCTGTGTGGCCTTGGTAAGTTACTTACCCTCTCTGAGCCTCAGCCATTCCCCTTTCTGTGCTTCCCCCAGTGTATACAACCTGGAAAATTGCCAGCTTAAACCAAATTTTCTGACACTTAGCAAGGGATGTGGCTTCTTGGTCATCTGAGTGGTCTGTCAGCTAGAGGCCCATGTCACCCCAACAGGCAGTATAGGGTCATGATTAGAAACCTTGTGCTTTGGGGTCACAGACCTTCACTGAAAGCCACCTCTGCCACAGGCATATCAATGCCCTTGTCTATAGAATGAGCAGATCTGTCGGCATCTTTGCAGGGAGGATTCAGTGAAATTCACTCCTGGCTGGGGAGCGGGGTGTCTGGACAGCATCTCGGAGAAGGGGCAGAGGACATGAGGTTCACAAAGCACTGCCTTCCTCCTTTGCTTTGATTCATTTTAGTTGCAGTAGTCACTTGTTGGAGATGTTAATGAATACAAAAGCCAGAGAGTGTTTCACTTTTTTCAAAGACTGCACGAGTTATGAGGTTTGAGGAGTGCCAGGGTACAGGATGGAAGGGGCCCAGCGCTGTGCCTGGCGCTTGGTGAGCTCTCCTGAGTGTTACAAGACAGACTTCTTCCCACTGCTTCCTCTCTTTAGTGTCTTCCGATGAAGACACTCCTCCCCTTTCTCCTTCTCAGCTGTGTTTGTTCCCTAGAGACAGCTGGAGCTCCACCCCCCAACAGCCCCTAAGCAGGGGGGGGCCTCTCCCCTGCAGCAGCCTGGCTCTGGGCTAATCCTAAACCCTCTCCTAATTAAAGAGCATATAATTTAGGGATTAAGTGTGAAGTGATTAAAATTAGAGACCTGTGTGCCAATCCTGGCTTACTATTCACTGGCTGTGTGACCTGGGGCAAATTACTTAGCCTCTCTGTGCTTCAGCTTCCTCCTCCAAAAAAAAAAAAAAACATGGACTAAGGCACCCACGTCACAGGGCTGTTGTCAAGATGAATCGAGTAAGTGCATGTGAAACATTTAGCATGCACTAAGCAGTCAATGAACATGCAGCTGTTCTTCAGGTTAAAGCCACACTGGCTATTGGTTGCCTTCTGTTTTCTTTACTTTCGCAGAGCCACCTCCCGCCATGGGCCAGTCTGGCTGGAAACTGTAGGAGTGAATAAGAGAAGGATCCATGTGAGTGCGTGGTCAAAATAGAAGTTGCCGTGGAAAGGCGAGAGATGAGTCTGCCAGTGAGAGCCTGTCTGGATGTCGTCAGCTGTGATGGGCCTACAGGTTGTCACGGACTTGGCGGCTCTCCGACGACTGCTGAGCAGTCTTCTATGTATAAGAATCCAGAGCCTGTCGGGATGAACCAGGGTGTAGGGAGTCAGTGTTAATGGCGCTTGGGAGCTGGGTTCAGCGGGGAGGTTCCTCAGAAGGGTCCGGACTCCATCACAATCATTGCAGATGGAGTTGGACTCTAGCCAGCAGAGAGGAGTAGTCACAGAAACTGTGGAGGCCAGAACAAGCTGATCTGAGCCCTAGGGGGTTAAAATTCTTTCTTCCCTCCCCACTCACCTCAGAAAAGTGACCTGGGACCTTGTGACCAAGCAAGTGAAAATTCAATTCATTATCTCATAAATGCCTTCAAGAGTTGGTAGACCTAAGAGTACAAAAGAATACAAGATTCCCCCCACTTCCAAAAATCCTAAGAGTTGAAAGGGTGAATACATGTGCATATGGTCAGAGTTGAAACCTACAAATGCAGGCACATGATCAACCCTGTGTAGGCATAGACAAGAATTAAGGAGTGTGTGGATTACCAGAATCCAGGGATTGGGCTGAAGAGCTGGGGAGACAAACCCTCATTTTTTTTTATGCCTGTGACATAGAACTTAGGGAGTCCCCCTAGGCCACCACATCCAGGAGAAATTCCCTATCCTAAGCAACCTCAACTGAAGGGCTCATAACGGCCTTCTTGGGGGCTAAGCCACCCCAGTTAACTGAGATAATGTTTTTTCTTTGTGGGTGTACATTTTTTTCACTCCAGGAGATTTGGGGTTATGTTAAGACAGGCTTATGGGAATTAAAACCATAGTATTTTATTTTTCTGTTATACACTTACTTGTAATGCTAAGATAATTTTGCCTATTAAAGTGAGAATCTAATCATCCTAATTTAAAATGTAATTGAGCAATTAGATGTGTGAGTTTACATTGAAATCTTACTAAACTTATGCTCAGTCCTAGAATATTTCAGAGCATTTTAGGTTCACAGTATATATACATTTAATTTACTAGCTGTAAATGAATTAGTTATGTCCCCAGGGAGATTTTGCTCAAAACAGGCAAATGAGTTTAAAAGGAAATCCAACAGATGACTTTAAAGATGTTATTGAAGTACATCATATACTCTGACAAGTCCTGAGATGACAAAGTGAACCGGTATCCATGTAACCAGCACCAGATCAAGATGCCTCACAATACTTGAACCTGGAAAACCTCTCAGCAGGTCCCTCCTGCAGCCAGTCCCCCTCCAAGGGAAACCACTCACTCCAAACATTACATTTATAAAGGCAATATAAATTGTTTGAGATGTCTTTAATTACGTTTGTAAACGCGATCAAATGTTCGAAGACTTCTTAGAAGCAGCTGCTAAAACCCGCTTGATATCAACAGAACAAAGATTTGTAAGCAGACTTAAACACTTAAGAGAGAATTAGGGTTGTGAATGTGTCAGTTTAGTAAATTGAACTCCAATTATTTAAACTCAAAGTAAATGTCTGAGTAGTCTTTTCTGGGCATTAACAACGGCCCATGGAGACACTAAAAAACTCAGATGAACATGCATATGAACAGTCATAGTCCAAAGACATGAAGGAATGTTCATGAAATGACGCATCATGCCTGTATCTTTCCTTAGGCAGAAGGCACATTTCCAACTCCCAAGGCCACTTTCAATGCCTTGGGCTTTGCAGATCATGTTCTTTTCTTGAAACAGCATGCCTATATTGTCTATGATTTACTTTAAAATATTTCAAATAGGCAGTGGGACATATTTTGAGTCTATACTCTAGGATACTCTAGGATAGTCAGTTAACGTGAATAGAAACACTACATACTCCATGGATGGGTGTTTAGCATTGGAAAGACTCATGAGAAGCCCACAATGTACAGGGACAACTATAAGGGTTTCCATTGTCTTTATTTCCAATCAGCACAAGAGGGCTTGTTCATTTGCATAATGGGTATAAAACGATTTTTCATGGGTGATCCAGTAGGATAAACAATGCATAATTAGCTGGAGATACAATACGGGTACTGTCACTCTTGCCTGAACAAGGTCTTAGAATGCAATGGTCCAATAGCCTACAGAAGTGCTCCACATTCAGGACACCCTCTAGTCTTGTGCATGGCCAATTACTTGACTCCATAGAAGGTCAGATGAGTTCTGCACTGGAATACTGTTGCCTCTACCCTTCATTAACGGAACATCTAATAGGGAGATGGCTGGGACTTTGGATACATTTTTCATTACGGGAACATCTAACAGGGCATATGGCTGGAACTTTATGGAGTTCTGGACCGGGCGGATGTGGGGCCCACTTGCTAATAAATGTGTGCAAATTTGGAGTGGGACCTGCTTTCATTATACTTTACTGCCCTAGTGGCAGGCTTGTGGGAATGGCAACAGGTGCCCTCCTTTCCCTGTAGCTATGAGAAGTTATGAGTATTAATTGAAGCGAGTCCAGTGTCTGTGACCCAGTTGGTTGAGGTCAGTTGACAAAGCAGAGGCTCAGAGGAGTCTGATGGTCT
Organism: Homo sapiens; assembly: GCF_000001405.40. NCBI lineage: Eukaryota > Metazoa > Chordata > Mammalia > Primates > Hominidae > Homo > Homo sapiens. The sequence continues at coordinate 45,076,045 of NC_000011.10, read as the reverse complement.
GGGGCAGTGGGCAGTGCAATGCCATGGAGCAGGCTGGGAGACACATCTTTGGTGGGGCCATTCCAGGCACCCCCCCACCCCACAAACACACACACTTCCCCACTGACCGTCATCTTCTCCAGCTCTGGGTAAGTGTACCTCGGGCCTCAGCTCCCTCAGATCCTATGATGGCCTGCCTAGGGGCTCTTCCCACAGCCAGGACCTAGAAGATTAGGGTAGGGATGAGGGTGGGTGGGAATTTCGCTTCCATAGAATATGGCCTTGGAGCTGACATGGGATTCTTTTCTCTCCTCGACTTGATATCAAAGTGGTTGCTCTGTCAGCTGTTTTGACAGCATCTCACAGCCCTAGCTACCTACAAGTGCACATCTTAGTGACAGAATCAGGTGGGCTTGAAGATACAATGCCTTCTCTTCCCTTGGAGGTCCTGTTGAAAATGGCTCTTTTGAAAACCAGACAGCAAGTATTATACTCAGTATGGTGCCTCCTCGCTCCTCTTCACCTCTTTTGTTCCTTCCTTCTCCCTCCCTTACTTTCTCTTTCATCCTCAGTATAGAGCACTCTAGGCCCAAATCACATACAAGCCAATCATACAAGCATTTTGTCACTTGATGCTCCCGGATCCATGCTCGGCCTTAAGGGACAGAGAGTTTTCTTTCTCTTTCTGCTGCTTCTCCTGCTTCTCCCTGCAGTGAAGCAGCTCAAACCAGAGCCCTGAAGAAGACACCCCCTTTTGGTGTGACTTCTCTACTTTAAACCCCGAAAGTCACGCCAGGCAGCCCCTGACCTTACAAACAGTAGAGCTCCCCTGGAGCCTCCAGAATATTCTAGACTGCAGTGGGAGTAGCCTTTCCTTGCGCAGCCCTGCCCATGGGACCCTTCCAAGGATCGCTCCAGGTGTTCTCATGGCTTCCTCCCGCTGCCCCCCCTGAGCCCAGGTGCCCAACAAGCAGGGAGGGTTGCACTGCCTTCCATGGTCTTCTTGTCCTTGAAGCCAGCCAGACCATCAAACAGTCACGACGCTGGCATTTGATTACTTGGAAGAAAACAGCATTGCCAATATGAGGAAGGTGGCTGGGTGTGGGGAGGAGAAGGGAGCTGAAGTGGGAGGTATTTGGGTGGTGATTATTAGAGGTAATATGTAAATATCTGATGATTGGAATCCTTGTGAAAAGATGTTGAAGAAAGTGATGTTAAACAGCCCTGTCATCCGCAGAACCATCTGTGGGTGGTGGAGAGGGTGGTTAAAGGCCTTTGATTTTTGTCCAGTGCCTCTGCAGCTGGGGAAGCAGGTTCCTCTGCCCCCTCCCCTCGTTCTCCTTGATGTCAGATCCTGGCTCTGCACTGGGAGGTGAGAGTGGATGGCCCCTCTGCCCTGCCTCTCACACATGTAGCTTGGCAGGTTTTTCCTAACAAGGGGTTGAGGGGAATCATTTCACCTAGACATGCTCACCCTGGTGTCTCATTAGGAACTGGGCCATTTTAACAGATCCAGAGAGGGCCCAGACTCTTCACTTTGAAGTTTTTTGCTCCATCCAGGTACTATGAGACTTCCTTAATCCTTAAGGATGTTGCAGAACCCTGGATCCTGAAAAGAACATGGGTTTGGAGTCAGAGAGACCTGGGTTCCAATCTAGTTCCTTGAACTCACTAGCTGTGTGACTTTGGGCAAGTCACTTAACTTCTCTGAGCCTCTGTTTCCTCATCTTAAACATGGAGCTGTGTAGAGTTGTCCTGGGGATTATTACACCCATGAACCAAATCAATTCCCCGGCACACTCCAGTGCTCAAGAAATGGGGGTCTTCTACCCCTTCTCCTTCCTGGGTGTGGAGGAGAGAGAGGACCCCTGGGCTGCACGGTGAGGCTGGACCTGGCTGGCTGGCCCTGGTTCATGGGCTGCTTGGTGGAGCCCAGTTGAGGCCCTTGGGTCTGCTGCCGATGCTGCAGGCTATGTTTCTACAGCTTGCGAGGCCCTGGCCCCAGAGTGTAAAGAGGCCTCCAAGCCTCTTGCCTCTCTGTGGGAAGCAGCCCAACCCAGGGAGCTCTGGGGCGGGGGTGGACTGAGAATCACAGTCGAGGCAATTCAGTTAAGCCCGGAGCTGTCATTAGTTGTTCTGGCCCATAATTGGGCTATAACTACCCTTTGGCCCCCAATGAGGTTCGGGGACCGTGATTAGCTGTGATTAGCCTCTTCGTGCCTCAGAATGCTGACTCCGCACTGTCCCCTCCTCTCCCACCCCTGCCCCTCCCTTAGGGCCCTGCCAGAAATAGACAAGCGCTTCCTGTGCAGAGAGACCCACACATGAGGCTCTTACCTCCGCTTTGCTCTGTCTGGGCAAGCCATAGCCTGATGCTAGGAAACAGACTCGAATGAATTGTCCTGGTTCTGAGCAGCAAATGCCAGCTTCCTTCTGGTCCAGCTAGTGAGGGAGGTTGCTTATCCCAAGTGAAACTCAGCCTAGGGCTTTGTGGCCTGGTGGTGAAGAGGGCAGACCTGGGCCTTGGGTAACTTAGGAAGCCTTTCTGGGCTTTCATCATTTGTACAATGAGGGCACTTGCCTTGTGAGGTTGCAGTGAAGATGACATAAGTCAATAGGTCAGTCCTGCAGCTGGTCAGCTGGTCACAGCATCTTCACCGAGACCCTCCTACATCCAGATGCACACCTGTAAACACAGGTGAGCAAGACAGACTGAGACCCCATCCTAGATACCTTTACATTTTGGAGAAACAGAAGGGCACCCAGCAGAGAAGGCTAAGGAGAAGCAGTATTGAGGTTGGAGATCCAGGTATGCTGGCTGTGTGGATGCTGGAAGAGAAGGCCAACTCAGCAGATGTGAAGTGCAGAGGGCAGTGCTGGACACAGTAGCTACTCAATAAATCACAGCTCTTCTTATCATTATGGGCAATGAGTGACATTGTAGGGCTTCTCACATTGTGCCTTGGGAGCACAGGAGGAAACAATTCTACCTGATGGAGTCCAAGGAGACTTTCTCGAAGGAGTTAGCATTTGAGCTAGACTTTGAGGGATGAGTAGCTGTTCTATAAAAAGAGGAAGCAGTTCCCTCCCTTCCTCCCTCCATCCATCTCTCCCTCCCTTTTCATGTGCACTTTTTGATTCTAACTGTGTACTGGAATAGGGCCTTCCTCATCCCTCTCTAGCCTGGTCCAGCCCTCAGGGCAGAGCCTGTTGAGAGGGTTCAGGCTATAGTGCCTGCAGTTCCATTAATCCCTAACTCCATCAACAGTTCACTGGCTCCCCTCTGCTCCCAAGTGAGCAGCAGAATCTCGAAACAGCCCCACCTGTGTCTTCTTCCATCTCCTCTTGCCCCTCCCCACCTGGTGCTCTGGGCACACTAGCCTTGGCCAGGCCCCATAGAATGATCCGGGTTCCCACCACCTGGGGACCTTTGTTCATGCTGTACCCTTTCCTCACCTCTCTGCCTAGTTACTCCCATTCATTAGATGGAATGTCATTTCTTTCTTTCTTTCTTTCTTTCTTTCTTTCTTTCTTTCTTTCTTTCTTTCTTTCTTTCTTTCTTTTTTTTTTTTTGAGACAGAGTCTCACTCTATTGCCCACGCCAGAGTACAGTGGCACAATCTCAGCTCACTGCAAACTCTGCCTCTCAGGGTCAAACGATTCTCCTGCTTCAGCCTCCCAAGAAGCTGGGATTACAAGCATGCACCACCATGCCCAGCTAATTTTTGCATTTTTAGTAGAGACGGGGTTTCACTGTGTTGCCCAGGCTGGTCTCGAACTCCTGACCTCAGATGATCTGCTTTCCTTGACCTCCCAAAGTGTTGGGATTACAGGCATGAGCCACTGCCCCCAGTGGAACGTCACTTCTTTAGGGAAGACTTTGGCAACTCCATGGAGAAGATCAAGTCTGCCAACTACCTCCCTGGAGCTCCCAAACTCCTATTGTTCACAGCACCCACCATAATTCAACTCACACACTTGTGCTATTATTTGATCCGTGTCTGCCTCCCCCACTAGACTATGAGCCCTGTATGGGGCAGGATCTGCGTCTGCTTTAAACACCGCTGAAGCGCTAGAGCTAAGATTTTTTTGAGCACTTACTGTATGCCAAGTACAGTTCAAAGTATTGTAGAGAAATTAACTCATTTAACCCAAGAAATGACCGTGTGAAGAAAATATTATAATCACCATTTTACCAGTGTGGAAACGAGGGACAGGAGAGTAAAGTAACTTGCCCAAGATTATCACACGGGTGTAAGAAGAGGCTGGGCAGTGGGGTCGAACCTCAGCAGCTCAGTTCCAGACCCTGTGTTCCCCACCACCAGGCCATGCTGCCTAGCCCATGAAAAGTAGTTAGTACATGTTTCTTATTCATTTATTCCTTCCTTCATCCATTCAACAAGTGCTTTCGAGGGCCCACTAGGTGTCAGAGGCCCTGTTTTAGGTGCTGGGATGAAGTAGTGGAGAAACTCAAGTCTCTGTGTCTTGGAGGGTACATGTTAGTAGAGGCCAGACAATAAACAAATTAATATAGACCAGAATATCTGGTGGTGAAATATGCCAGGAGGAAAAGTGAAACTGGTTAAGGGGCAGAGAGTGGCTATTTTTGGACAGCAAGGTCAGAAGAAAGACCTGTGAGGCAGACAGCCCTGTGGATGTCCCAGAAATGTGTGTTCCAGGCTGAGGGAACTGCATGGGCAAAGATCCAGTGGTGGGAATGTGTGTGCTGTGATGGAGGCAGTGATGGGGGAGAATGGAAGCGGGGAGGTCAGAGATGGGGAGAGGTCATGGGGGTCTGGGATGCCAACCTAAAAGTTTGGTTTTATTTTAAATGCTGGGAAGCCATTGGAGGTGTCCACAAATGAATGAGTGAATGCATGGATGAATGAAATAGTGCAGCTGATTGCCCTGGCTTCTGTGGTGGGATCTGGAGATGGGCAGAGGTGCCAGCGACAAGGAACAGATCCTTTAAACCTCGCTGCTCTGGCCAGAGATGATGCTTTCTTAGCCAGGGCCAAGGTATGTAAAGTCCCAAGCCCAGGAGGGCCCTGGATGCCCAGGGAAAGAGCTGGCACTCCCCAGGTCTGGGTGCAGCCAGGCTTGGTTTCAGATGAGGCCGATTTTAAAATCTGTACCTTAAACGCTCTGCTATGTGACCTTCTGAAGGTCCTTGCAATTAGAGCATAGCAGCATAGGCTTTGGCTCAGAGTTTAAGCAGCCCTGGGTTTGAATCCCAACTTGGCCACTACCTCACTGTTTTGACATTGGGCTTGCTACACAGTCTCTCTGTGTAGAAACGCCATTTCTTCCTCTACGAAATGGATATCCTAATATCCTGGAAGCATTTTACCCACTTTGTCTCACTGTTCCTTACAATAGCCCTATGTGGGCAGTGCTATTAGGATGGATAGCATAGGACAGGGAAGAGCTGGCTTTCCTATCCTCCCCCAATTCTCTTCCTGGGGCAGGTCCCCTGCCAAGCACTAGCTGGGCTATTCTGTTTTGTTTCTGAGATGGAGTTTCGCTCTTGTTGCCCAGGCTGGAGTGCAGTGGTGCTCACCATGACCTCCGCCTCTTGGGTTCAAATGATTCTCCTGCCTCAGCCTCCTGAGTAGCTGGGATTACGGGCATGCACCACCGTGCCCGGCTAATTTGGTATTTATAGTAGAGATGGGGTTTCTCCATGTTAGTCAGGCTGGTCTCGAACTCCGACCTCAGGTGATCCACCCATCTCGGCCTCCCAAAGTGCTGAGATTACAGGCGTGAGCCACTGCGCCTGGGCCCTGGGCTATTCTTTATGTAGACATTGAAGTTCTAACCTGCATGGCTCTGGGCTGGGTCCTGTAGATGTGCAAAGGTGCCTGGGAAGGTGTTGGACCTATCGGGATGGGTAGCACTGCCCACATAGGGCTCCTGTAAGGAACAGTAAGACAAAGTGTGCAAAATGCTTCCGGGACCACCACATATGGTTGTTCAAGCTCGGCACTGCACAACTCCAGGTTGCTGAGCAGTACACAATACCTGCAGCTGTGCTTCATCATTACCACCTGCTCTGTTTGCCTTTGGGAAAGTTACTCTGAGCTTCTGTCTCCTTTTCTGTAAAATGAGAGAGGTGACTTCTGCCTTGCAGAGCTGTCAGCAAGACTCAAAGAAATGCTACATGTCAGGGTACCTGGCAAGCCCAACTCTTGTTAAGAGGGAAAAAAATGGTGGCTTTAAAAACCACACTGTCCAGAAGGTCCATGGCAGGGTGGGGGCCATCCAGGAGCTGGATTTTCCAGGCACAGCACTGGACCTCCAACACCCACCAGCCTCGTAGATCAAAGCTGCCAGCCCCAGGCTCTACTGTTCCACTTGACTCTTCTCACCTCCGCCCTCACCCGGGACCACCATGGATTTCTTTTGGAAATGGCCAGTTTCAGGCAAGCAGCAGGACACTGCTATCTTGCCTGCAGCAAATTGCCTCCTGCACAGCAAGACAAGCTTCCTCCAAGGAAAGATGTAATCAGCGCTGAGTTTAGTGCCTACATTGTGAGAAAAAAGCTGGATTTGCTCCTTTGGGGCTGAGAGCTGGGTAAAGCAGAGCATCCAGGGATGGGTACAGGCTGTGGATTGAGGCTTCTCTGTGGCCTTGGAATTGCTGCCCAAAGGACCAAGCTGAAAACAGGGGATGCTGGATGGTCTCCCACTGAGAAGAGAGGGCCACAGACTTACTAAGAGCAGGTGAAACAGCCCCCACCCACATCACACACACAAATACAGACACCATCAAGCTCATGTGAACCAAAGCCTTGGGAAGCAGGAGGAATTCTTCTGAGGAACGTCATCAGCCCAGGGGTCGGGGGTGTGATATGGCTGTTCCATCCCCTTCCACGGGTGGTCCTTCCACTGAGCTAAATATGGTGGCTCCACTAGGGCATTGCAGAGGATGAGGAAGAGCTGACTTTCCTATCCTCCACGCATTCTCTTCCAGGGGCAGGTCCCCAGCCAAGCCTGAGCTGGGCTATTCTTTAAGTAGACACTGAAGTTCTAACCTGCGTGGCTCTGGGCTGGGCCCTATAGCTGTGCAAGGTGCCTGGGAAGGTGTCGGACCTGCCTGGATTACATTAAAGGTCTTGAGAGGAGAGTAGACAGAGCAGATCTGGGGCAGTGATGAGAGAAAAAGAAAATGGGTCATGACTGCATTTACTTGGTTCAGACTGTTTGATAGAACAAACAAGATAGAGGACTCTTCTTTTGGTCTGTCTTCTTTCTGGTTTTTTTTGTTTTGTTTGTTTGTTTTTTTTTTTTTTTAGACGGAGTCTCGCTCTGTTGCCCAGGCTGGAGTGCAGCGGTGTGATCTCAGCTCGCTGCAGCCTCTGCCTCCCAGGTTCAAGCGATTCTCCTGCCTCAGCCTCCCAAGCAGCTGAAACTACAGGCACACACCACCGTGCTCAGCTAATTTTTGTATTTTTAGTAGAGACAGGGTTTCACCATATTGGCCAGGCTGGTCTCAAACTTCTGACCTTGTGTTCCACCCGCCTCGGCCTCCCAAAGTGCTGGGACTACAGGAGTGAGCCACTGAGCCTAGCTGATCTGTCTTCTTTCAAAGAGGCCGTGTTTGAAAGTATTTGAGTGTGTGTGTGTGTGTGTGTGTGTGTGAGAAAGAGAGAGAGAGAGAAAGAGAGAGAGAGATACAAACTGAGAAAGAGAGAGAGAGAGAGAGAGAAAGAGAGAGAGAGAGAGATACAAACCGAGACAGGGAGCTTGAATCCTAATTCTTTGAGGTTAACCAAGGAAGGTCAGGGAACAGGCCATGGATGAAGCTGGTTGAGCAAACAAGATTCACTGTGATGGGCTGAGGCAAAATCTGAATGATGGAAGGTGAAGAAAGGAAGAGGCAGGCCAGCTGTGTGTTTCAGAGCCTAGATTAGATTTGGGGTTATGCTCAGCCACCTGTAGTCCATGTGGCCTCTGCAAGGCACTCAGCCTCATGGGTTATCTGGGAAGCCTTTGTAAATTACAATTTACTTTCTAAAACAGTCACTGTGAGAATTCAGTAATATAATATGAGTACTTGCCTGAGTGCCCCAACAAGAAAATGCAAAAGAAACAAAAATAAAGGAGTGATACTTTGCCTTATAAAAATATATTTAAGAAAAGTCACTCCCACAGTTACAGTCCTTTACTATACATATGTTCCTTCACCTGTGATGGGGTCGTGTCCTGATAAATCCATCGTAAGTTGAAAATATTGTTAAGTTGAAAATGCACTTAATACAACTAACCTATTGAGCATCATGGCTTAGCCTAGCCTGCCTTAAACATGCTCAGAACACATGCATCGACCTACAGTTGGGTAAAATCATCTAACACAAAGCCTATTTTATAATAAAGTATTGAACATCTCATGTCATTTATCACTGTTCTTTTGAACTTGTTATAGCTTTTGCACCATTGTAGAGTTAAAAAATCCTAAGTCAAATCATCCAAGGGGACTCCAGGACTGCCTGTATATACCTCCTGTGCATTTGATGTCAGGCTGGTCCAACTTTGACTTACAAGCTCCTTTCCAGGAGCTTGTAGAAATGTGAACAGGGACTGAGCACTTGCTGGGTGCCAAGTTCTGTTCTCAGTGTTTTGCTTCTATTGACTCAGTGACCATGGCTCAGCATGAGGCCTACGTGGGTGGGGAGGGTCACTCTTCAACCCCACTATAGCTTCATCTGGACTTCTGAAGGGAGACCAGGAGACTTTGGATCCTGGGAAATGCTTGTTGGTGAGCGTGCTGTGTGCCAGGTGGCCTGACTACATAAGTGGGGATGAGTAAGTTCATGCATGTGGGCCCCGATACAGAAGGCCACCATCATGAGCAGTGAGCACAGATGTCCAAGGTGCTGTGGTATGCTTGCCAGAGCACCACACTACTACCTTGCTGTGTGACATTGGGCTCTTTGCTTATTATGACAAAAGGAACCCCCACTGATATCCTGCCTCCTGGTGTCCACACCTTTGTGATCTCTCCTCCCCTTGAGAATGCATGGGAACTTCAGCTTGCTACTAAGGAACAGAATATGGCAAAGGTATATAAGACTCTATCACATACTAGAGAGAGAGAAAGAGAAGAGAAAATGACTCTTGTTGGCTTGGAAGAAGTGAGTAAGCTGCCATGTGGTGAGGGGGCTTATGGAAAGGGCCACTTGGCAAAGAATGTTTCTGGCTTCTGGGACCTGAAAGTGGCCTGCAGCTGGCAGCCAGCAAGGATATGGTGATCACAGTCCTAGAGCTACAAATAGATGAATTCTGTTACCAAACTGAATGAGCTTGAAGCAGATCTCTCCCCAGTTGAGCCTCTGATGAGACTGCAGCCGTGGCTAACTAACACCTGGAGTACAGTCTGGTGAGCCCCTAAAGCAGACCCCACTAAGCCACATGCAGGCTTTTGACTTACAGAAACTGTGAGAGAATAAATGTGTGTGTAGTGTTAAGTCTCAAAATTCATGGTATTTTATTATGCAGCAATAGAAAACCTCTCTGTGTAAGTTTCACTTTTGGCAAGACAGAATTAAAAAACAAAAAACAGAAAACTGCTTTCTTTCTTTCCCCCAGACTCCTACCCACCAGTCTCACAGGGATGCAGTGAGGTGAACTGGATAACTATCTATAAACTATTCTAATATCCTGGAGAAAATTGCTAATGAAGTATAGTGATTATATCATCAAAGTAATTTTTAAATTCATCCAAAAAGCCAATCTAATGAGTTGGATGAATAGAAGTTTTTGGGAAAGTTTGCAAATATAAAATCTAAAGCACTTGATAAATGCTGGAAATTAGGAAGACTTCCATTAGAGATGCTCAGTTCTCATGATGGGTAATTATCGAGGCAGAACAGGCAAAGCAGCTCCTTCCTGGGTCCTAACAATAGACACAGAGAAATGAGGTTAATAATCCCTAAGGAGGAAGATAACTGAAGTTGGCATCTCAAAGAGTAATTGTCATCTCCAAGGACAGAGAAGTCTCATTATTAATGTTTAATCCTTCAACCAAAAGTTCAGATGGTGTGCCTTTTGAAGGTGGCACAGCATGAGACAGCCATTCTTATTGCTAGTGGGGGAAGTGGTGACTCCCACATCATTAGGTCTGGCTTTCTTCCCCTCACTTTCTTCAACTCAAAGCTTTGGGTATAAGCAAAATTTGGATGTAAATGGTAGAGTGCTGTGGTTAAGATCTTCAACTCTGGAATCAGGTCTGACAGACCCTAGTTCAAATCTTATCTGTATCTGTATCACTGTGTTGGTTAGCTCTTGCTGCATAACAAACAACGCCAAACTTAATTATGTAAAGCATTTATTTAGCTCACAAGTTTGCAGATTGGCTGGGTAGTTTGGCAGTTCTGGGCTCAGCTTGGCTGATCTTTGCTGGGCTGATTCACAAATCTGCAATCAGTGGGTCGGCTGGGGTATGGCTGGTCTGAGGTGGCTTCAGCGGGGAGAATTGGGCTGACTTGGGTCTCTTCCTCATGGTTTTTCATCCTTCAGCAAGCTGGTTTAGTCTTATTCACATGACAGCTGGCAGAGTTCAAAAGAAAGAGAAGCTTAGAATGGGTGCAACTCACTCCTACTGCATTCTGTTGATCCAAGAAAATTATAAAGCCAGCCCAGATTCAAGGAGTGGGGGAATCAACTCTACCTCTTGGTGGGAGAAACTTGGAAATCACATGCAAAGGGGGTGGTTACAGGAAGGATATTAATTAGGGTTATCAATGCTTCATCCCAAGGCAGCAGTACTCCAACAGCAGCAAGAAATAGCAAGATCCAATACACAAGCACTTTTCAAGCACCCTCTTGTTTACTAATGCCCATTGGCTAAAGCAAGTTGCATGGCCATCCCAGAATCAAAGGGTGCAGAAATAGACTCTACTTCTTGATGGGAGGGAAAGACTGCGTGGCCATTTTTGCAGTCCTCCATACTACCCATCCAAGTGTTATCTGGGAAAATCTTAACTATTGTCAAACAAATCAATGAATCCTGGATAAGACACAAATACAACAAAATCTTGATAACTGTTTAATCTGGAAGGACAGCAATCAGCAGGTTGGTGACCACACAGAGTCCAGCACTACCACAGTCATCTCTGTACCTCTTGTTTTCAACCCAGTCTTCTCTTCTCTAGTTCTGGGACTGGCCACCTTTATCAACTTTAGGGCTGCACAACTAAAGCCCCTGCCCTTGGATTCACACTTTTAGAGCATCTCTGTGAAATAGAAATAAAACATGGGTCACTTATGTAGTTTTAGATTTTCTAGCGGCCCTTTAAAAAAATTAAAAAGAGACAGGTGAAATTAATGCTAAAAATATTTTAAATGTAATATATTCAAATATTATCTCAACAAGTAATCAATGTAAAAATTATTACTGAGCCATATTTTTCACATACTAAGTCTTCAAAATCCAGTATGTATCTTATACTTACAGCCCATTTCTATTGGACAGCCTTGTCTGAAGTACTCAATGGCCTCCTGTGGCAACTGGCTACCATATTGGACAGCACAGCTTTAATTGGTCCTTCTCTGGTCCCCTCCAGCTGCATCTCTCTTGTGGAGTAAGGAATTCATGGAGCAAAAAGGATGTCACCATTTGTAGCTCCCACTACCTTTTTCTAGGCCAGACTCTAGGGGCCTAATGAATCCCAGGTGTTCTGAATACTCTGAACATCAGCTCCATGCCAGCTTCCAGGGATTTCCTGGGCTTCTTCCCCAAGTCCAGCCTCCAGACATCTGTCCTGGTGCTCAATCCTAGGCCCAGGTTAGCCAGCCAAAGTGTGACTGTTTGCTGGGTGGTGTGTGTGGATATTGCTGGGATGTGATGTGTATGAGCCCCTTGCAATGAGAGACAAACCTGATGGTGGGAAGGGAAGGGGAGTGGCCCTTGATCCAGTGGCTTCCACTGGTACTCTTGCCCCAGGCCCCCAAACGTGAGAGGTGAGCATGGGTATCACCACTGCCTGGCAAGCAGGCCAAGAATGTGGGGGACCTCTTTGGTTCTTCTTCCTCCCTCCACATTTAATTTTGTTGGCAAGTCCTTTTGACTTGACCTCCAAAATACAGTTAATATCATCATTCACAGCACTTATCCTCTGTAAAGTTGCTGCAAACACTGAATTGGAGAATACTGAAACATTGCTCCTAGGGGAAATACAGGGTTAGGTTCCTGTGAGCTTTCGGTCACAACACTTTCATCAACCTATCTATACCTAACCTTGTTATATGTGTGTTTTCTGCTTAAAGACATCTTATTTAATACACATTGTTGATTCATTAACATTGAAATCATGGCCAACAGCACTATCATTCATGCCTGAAAGAAGCTTATCTAACACATGTATTTTCTCCATAAGCCATATGACACTTAGGAACTTGGGAATACTTGCACTAAGGAATGCTAGACAGCACTTCAGCACTACATGTGAGTACCATTTTAAACAGCTAAATTACCAATAAAAAGCACAGACGTGAAAAACAGGGCACTAAATATACAGTCATGCATTGCAGAAGGACATTTCAGAAAACAGCAGACCACATGTATGCCAATGGTTCCTTAAGATTATAATGAAGCTGAAATATGTCTATCACCTAATGATGCCATAGCTGTTGTAATGTTGCCATGGTGCAACACATTACTCATGTGATGCTGGTGTAAACAAACTGACTGTGCTGCCAATCTTATAAAAGTACAGCACATACGATTACATACAGTCCATAATACCTGATGATAAATGACTATGTTACTGGTTTATGTATTTACTGTACTACACTTTTTATGTTAGCGTGTACTCCTATTTATTTATTTTTTAAAGTTCACTGTGAAACTATGCCGTGTTATGCTGGCAGCCGCCACATGCATCTCATGTTTGCTTGGTCTCTTGATTGCATCATTTTCTCTTGTGCCTGATTTAATCTTATGTTGTTTTGCTCATCACGGCTCCTAGGTGTACAAAATCCATAGCCAATGTTGCCAGTCAGTGGCCACATAAAGTGATTGAGCTGGAAACAAAATTGAAAGTGATTAAGGATTGTGAAGGTGGAAAACCAGTGATGGTTATTGCTTGACAGTCACGCATGTCTCATTTCACCCTAGCTATGATCTTGAAGAACAAGGACAAAGTGATGGAAGCTGTTAAAGAATCTGCTTTAGGGCCAGGCATGGTGGCTCATGCCTGTAATCCCAGCACTTTGGGAGGCCAAGGAGGGCGGATCACCTGAGGTCAGGAGTTCAAGAGCAGCCTGGCCAACATGGTGAAACCCCGTCTCTACAAAAATACAAAAATTAGCCGGGCATGATGGCAGGTGCCTGTAATCCCAGCTACTCGGGAGGCTGAAGCAGGAGAGTCGCTTGAACTCAGGAGGTGGAGGTTGCAGTGAGCTGAGATCGTGCCATTGCACCCCAGCCTAGACGACAGAGCGAGACTCTCTCAAAAAAAAAAAAAAAAAAAAAAGAATCTGCTTCATTGAAGACAATGAAAATAACAAAACTTGAGAAGGGCCTATATCAGATATGGAGAAACTTCTAACAGCCTGAATTGAAGATCAGACACAGAAGCGTATCCCTCTCAGCATCCTAATGATCATGGCCAAAAAGAAAGTTTGCTGTTGAAAGACAAGGCTGGACCCAACTATGTTGTTGAATTTACTGCTAGCTCTGGGTGGTTTAAACAATTCAAGAATTGTTACTCATTACATATGTGAAAGTGAGTGGTGAGTCTGTGAGTGCTGATGTGAAGGCAGCTAAAGAATTTGTGGAAACTCAACATAAACTGACGGTGGAGGGAAATTACTTGCCAGAGAAAATCCTCAATGTGGATGAAAGCTCCCTATTCTGGAAAAGGAGGCCTGAAAGGACTTTCATCCAGAAGGAAGCCGAGTCAATGCCAGATTTCAAGGCTTTGAAGGACAGGATTACAGTCTTGCTTGGGACAATGTTGCAGGCTGCAAATGGAAACCCTTTCTGATCTGACATAGTGGGAAACCCAGGACCTTTGAGGATATCAGTAAGCACACACTGTCCCTGTACTACGGGAGCAGTAAGAAGTCATGGATGACCCAGCTCTGTCACTCAGGCTGGAGTGCAGTGGCGCGATCACGGCTCACTGCAGCCTCCTGGGTTCAAGTGATCCTCCCACCTCAGCCTTTCCAGTAGCTGGGACTACAGGTACGCGTCACCACGCCCAACTAGTTTTTGTATTTTTAGTAGAGATGGGGGTTTCGTCGTGTTGCCCAAGCTGGTCGTGAACTCCTGAACTCAAACAATCCACTCACCTCAGCCTCCCAAATTGTTGGGATTACAGGCATGAGTCACTGTGCCCAGCCCATGTCTTGGTTTTTGACAAAAAACTTACAAAGTAAAAAGAAAAAATTTAAAAATACATACAATCTTATAGAATGTGGACATAAAGAAAATATTTTTGCCCAGCTGTTCAATGTTTTTGTGTTTTAAACTGTTATCAGGAAAGAGTCAAAAAGCTAAACAAAATTAAAAAGTTTATAGAGTAAAAATGTTATAGTAAGCTAAGCTTAATTTATTATTGAAGAAAGAAAAATATTTTGGTATAAATTTGGTCTAGCCTAAAGTGTTTATAAAGTCTACAGTAATGTAGAGTAATGTCCTAGGTCTTCACATTCACTCATTGATTCACCCAGAGCAACCTGCAGTTCTGCAAGCTCCATTCATGGTAAGTGCCTTACATAGGTGTACCACTTTTTATCTTTTATATCTTTTTTTTTTTTGAGACGGAGTTTCACTCTTGTTGCCCAGGCTGGAGTGCAATGGTGTGATCTTGGCTCACCACAACCTCAGCCTCCCCAGTTCAAGCTATTCTCCTGCCTCAGCCTCCCGAGTAGCTGGGATTATAGGCATGAGCCACCACACCCAGCTAATTTTGTAGTTTTAGTAGAGACGGGTTTCTCCATGTTGGTCAGGCTGGTCTCGAACTCCCGACCTTAGGTGTTTCGCCCGCCTTGGCCTCCCAAAGTGCTGGGATTAGAGACATGAGCCACTGCCCTGGCCTAGATCATATTTTTACTGTACCTTTTCCATATTTAGACACACAAATACTTACAATTGCATGCCAATTGCCTGCAGTATTCAGAACAGTAACCTGCTGTACAGGTTTGCAGCCTGGGAGCAACAGGCAATATCATATAGCCTAGGTGTGTAGTAGGCTGTACCATCTAGGTTTGTGTAAGTACACACTATAGCATTCACATAACGAGGAAGTCACCTAACGTTTCTCAGAACGTTGTATCCCTGTTGTTAAGTGGCATGTGACTGTACAGCATAAAGAACCCTTGTTTACAGTATGCGAAACTGAACCAAGAAGGCAGAGTGTCACCTTGTTTGGCTTCATCTGGAAATGTGCATGTTGCTCACAGATTTTTCACCGTCCTGGACATGTCTGCATGTCTGCAAATGACCAGGAAAGTGCCACGAGCATTGATTTTGGGGTTACAAATAAAATGTGATGAGCAGGTGAGTTTGCAAATATGGAACCTACTAATAATGAGGATTGATATATCTTCCCCAGCCCACTGCTCCATCCTTCCTCCAGCCACTGTCCTCTCTTACTTGGAGGAAGCCAGGGGTTGCCTGCCTTCCTTCCTCCTTTCCACCATTGACCCCTGACCCCATCACTCACTTTCCTCTTCACAGCCAGAGACTTGCTTGCTTGCTTCCTTGCTTTCTTTTCTCTCTTTCTTTCTTTCTTTCTTTCTTTCTTTCTTTCTGCCTTTCTTTCTTTCTTTCTTTCATTTCTTTCTTTCTTTCTTTCCTTCTTTCTTTCTTTCCTTCCTTCCTCCCTCCCTCCCTCCCTCCCTCCTTTCTTTCTTTCTTTGTCTCTCTCTTTCTTTTCTTTTTTTTTTTTTCCCAAGATCTTGCTTTGTCGCCCAGGCTGGAGTACAGTAGCATAATCTCGGCTCACTGCAACTTCCTCTGCCTCCCAGATTCAAGCAATTCTCTTGCCTCAACCTCCCGAGTAGCTGGGATTACAGGCGTGTGCCACCACACCCGGCTACTTTTTGTATTTTTAGTAGAGACAGGTTTTCATCATCTTGGCCAGGCAGGTCTCGAACTCCTGACCTCTGGTGATCCACCCGCCTCGGCCTCCCAAAATGCTGGGATTATTTGGGAGCACTTTGGCCTCCCAAAGTGCTGGGGTGGCATGAGCCACTGCGCCCGGCACAAGATTCCTCTCTCTAAAAGATGAAACCTTCTGCTTCTTTTCGGTTCCTCTCGGGACTGAGTCCAAACTGCTCCCAGTGGCCTGTAAGGCCCTCCTTGGCCTGTCCCTGTGGCCCTCTTGGCTAGAATCCCGTGTTCTCTCCCCTCACTTGCTCCTTCCAGCCGTGCTGGTCCCTTCATCCTTTCTCCAGCACACCAAGCCTGTCCCACCTCTGGGCTTTGCACCAGCGGTTCTCATCTCCTCATCCTTCAGGTCTCAGTTTGAAATTCCGCCTGCTCATATAGCTCCCCTTACTACCCCTAAATCATTCCATCTCTTCATCAGAGCCCCTGATGAGTTGCCTGCCTAGTTCATATGGATTCCAATGGAACAATCCTTCATGGCATTACTTGACGAGTGTTGCCATTGGACTGTAACGTCTTTAAGGCAAGTCGGTGTTGGATTTATTCACCTGTGGGTCTTGAGGTCTGGAGCAGCATCTCACACAGTAGGGTTCCATACAGACTTGTTGCTAAGTGTGTGAGCAACCCACAGCTGGAGTGGCCTGTTGGACTTCACTCCTTCAGCCCCATGGAAGCAGGAGCCTGTGTGCGTGGCCCAGGTCAGGAGAGCCACCACTCATCCTCCTTCACGAGGCTGCGTGTGCCTCCTGCAGGTGCCACTCCCACCGGGCTTGGCATCATCCCTGTGAGCTGCACATCACATGCCTTCTCCAGGCCCCCAGGAGGCGTGTATCTGATCAGAAATACTTGATAGCCAAGGCCTTTCCAGCCCCAGGGTCTTCTGGCCTTGCCTCAGAAACCAACCACCTCCCTGCAGGAAAATGCACCATTCTTAAATTTAGAACCCACAGGGCCTTGTGATCCCAAATAGCACATCCTTATAATCTTGAAACCTCAGAAATTCAAGGGCTCCCCTAAGGGAACTGACCACCCTTCTGGTCCTCTGAAAACCCCTTCTGGTAAGCACTACATTTTTGTAATTACAAAATAGCAGGATTTCAGGGTCCACCCAAGGACCTGACCACACTTCCAAGACCCGCTTTTGGGTAAACACCACATCCTTATGTTTACCAGGCCACGGACCCTCAAGGGCCCCACCCAGGAAGAGGGTCCCCTTGTTGGCCTGAGCTGCACTTTGGGTAAATGCCACATTCTTGGGAAGATCGTGTTCATGTAGCAACACAAAGAGATGTTTTTGGTATTATAGGGAATTTGAAATAAAAACAGGAAAGAAAACAAAATATCCTCATTGCCTATACCCTTGTCTGTAATTACAGGAAGACTTGGCCTACGCCCTGCCGAGTATGCAGAAATAGAATCAGTCCCAGAGGCATGATGGGTGATCCTGCTTTCTCTACTTCCTAAACTTTCTGTAATAGTGCTGCCTTTATGATAAAAACTGTGACAACAAAGAAAAAACAAGCTTTGTTCTCCCTGTGGAGTGATGAGGATGATTTATCAGAGTTTAACAGCCAAGTTACCTCTCTGCCCCAGGCCTGCTAACCTTCTGGAAAATCACTGAGATTGATCATCATTACCAAAATTCATGCCCCAGGTCCCAGAGTGGTGTGTGTTTACCCTGCATGTTATGGCTGAGGGCAAGGGTGGGTGCTTGGGTGAGAGAGGTATATCTATCTTGGAAGGGCACGCTACAATTAGGCAATTATGGTCTATTTCATAGCAGATGATGATGTCAGCCCTAGAAAAGGTTGCTGCCTGTTCTCTGGGGAGGCCCCATCACCCAGCAGCAACTGGAAGTGGGGAAGAGGGCTGCTCCCTAAGAGTGTATGAGGATGCTATTCCTGCGTTCAGGATCCAGGAGGTCTGAGCCCGGGCCCAGGGAGGGAGGCCCTAGAGCAGTGGTTCCCAACTGGAGTGATTCTCCTGTGCCCCCACCCCCAGGGACATTTGGTAATATCTAGAGACATTTTTGGTCCTCACAGCTGAAAAAGGGTGCCACTGGCATCTGGTGGGTAGAGGTCAAAGATGCTGCTGAACATCCTAAAATGCACGGGACAGACCCTCCACAGCAAAGAATTGTCCTGCTGAAAATGTCAATAGTATGCAGTGGAGAAATCCCAGCCTAGATTAAGGGAGGGCTTTGTCTCAACAAGTCAGGGTTTCAGGCAGCTGTTAAGGTCCTGATACAGAAGTGGGCCCAGCACCCATGGACGTGCTGCTGTCACAGCTGACACTGAGGAAGAAGGGAGCTGGAGAGGTCTCTTTGAAGGTGGTTCTACTTAAGGCTTCAGGGGCCCAGGCTTGTTAGGGCCTCCTAGTTTTGAATGACTCCCTTCACTCCATCCCCACCTCACCAGAGGGACCACGTGCCAGCCTCTGATTGTGCCAGCAGTTTCATCCTCTGTGCTTTTTGCATGCTGTTCCCCTGCTTTTCCCTTCCCCTATTTCTGACTATTAAAATTGAACCCATCCTTCCAGGTTTTGATACTACTTCCTCCATAAAGACTACCCTGATTTCCTCTACCTGCATCAATATCAGTAACTTCCTTTCCTTCATAGGATTGAGGTAGGGAATCACCTCCAAACTGGAGGAGAGGTGTGATGTTTATGATAAACGGCAATAACAGGACACCAGCCCGGTTGTATCCGAAGCCAAAGTCTGTGATTTTACCCATAGTATCTTCCTCGCCCCACAGCTAAGAGCACTGTACATTAATGATAATAACCAAATAATCATCACAAGTGAATATGGTAATAATAGCTAACAATTAGCAGGTACTGCATTCCAGGTACCGTGCTAAGTATTCTACAGGTATCTACGTATCCACTGTTGTCAACAACTTACTGGTCAGGACACTGGGGCTTCCAGGGAGAATGACTGTCCTGAGGTTCCCAGTCACTCTGACTCCTACATCCCTGGCCTACCGACTTTCCAGAAGCTGTCTATCCCATGTCAAGAACTCTGTGCCTGCAGCCAGGCCCCTGCCCCAGAAGTCCTTCACAAATTGCCTTGGACACACCATTGTGCCCCTGGCATGCCCAGTGTCACCCCCACAGGCTGAGCTCAGCTGATCTCTAATAAGCATCTCTGGGAGACAAAGGCAGCTGGAGCTCCTTGTTCAGGGCCCTGTTTGGGGGACAAAGACATGAGCTGATGCATTCTCTGTTCTCTTGTGCTAAATAATTGGCTTCAATTAAGTGGGCTGGCTGAAGTGAGGCGCCTGGAGGAGCAGGAATGTGGAACTTATGCAAATGGAGGTCTGAGGATGGGGAGCCAGGAGGAGGGGCTCCCAGGGGCCCCCAGGGATCCACCCTCCCCCCTGTACCCTGGGAAAGGGTCTTATCCTCTCTTGGTTCAGTTTCCTCCTCTGTAGAATGGAGAGAGGAAAGGAATTTCTGTCTGGGTTTCAAAGCCCTGGGGGTCCACAGAAGTCTGGGGTGGGCCAGGACCCAGGACAGACCCTTACAGAGTTCAGCTAGAATAGCTCCTTTCCTCTTTACCTGTTTAATGTGTTGGGCTGTTACCACCTGCTTTTTGTCCAGGGAATGTGAACATCAAAAAAGAGCTTAAAACCTCAAGACAGATTATATTTGGGCTCCATCCCAGCTCTAGTACTTTTCAAATCTCGCCTTGAGGTTTTGGGGTCTGATATGGTTTGGCTCTGTGCCCCTACCCAAATCTCATGTCAAATCGTAATTCCCAGTGTTGGGGCGGTGGGACCTGGTGGGAGGTGATTGGATCATGGGGGCAGATTTCCCCCATGCTGTTCTCGTGATAGTGAGTGAATTCTCACGAGATCTGGTGGTTTAAAAGTGTGTGGCACTTCCCCCCTCACTCTCTCTCTCTCCTGCCTGCCACCATGGGAAGAAGGTCCTTGCTTCCCTTTCTTCTTCTGCCATGACTGTAAGTTTCCTGAGGCCTCCCAGTCATGCGTCCTGTTAAGCCTGTGGAACTGTGAGTCAATTAAACCTCTTTTCTTTTATATATATATATAATATATATATTTTATTATGCTTTAAGTTCTAGGGTACATGTGCACAATGTGCAGGTTTGTTACATATGTATACATGTGCCATGTTGGTGTACCTCTTTTCTTCATAAATTACTCAGTCTCAGATCGTTCTTTATAGCTGTGTGAGAACAGACTAATACAGGGTCTTAGAGGAGAGGGGTGGCCCACCTGTCAGTGGGGAGAGGGAGTTGGTCCAGGTGGGTCTGATTGGCTCTGGCCATGCTCTGTGACCTTGAGCCAGGCCTTGGGTCTCTGAGCCCTGCTTTCTCCATCTGTGAAAAAGGAAATGATGACAATGGCAGCAGTGACAATCACATAACTGCCGACTTCTACCATGTGGCATCCACGTGCCCCAGGCTGAGCGCCTTATCTGAGCTCTATCATTTAAGCCAAAACCCTACGAGGCAGCTTGTCCATGCTCACTGATGGTTCTTTACCAGCTATTGAGCACTCCCTGTGTTCTTGGTGTGATGATTAAAAGAAACAACACGCACAATCCCTGCACTCATGGAGCTGACATTCTAGGGTGGAAACCAGCAATAAAAGCAATAACTATGCATCACAGAGGGAGATCCAGCTAGGCAGGGGTCTACTGAGTGTCGAGGTTGGGGTGGAATTTGCAGTCGGGAGGCAGTGAGACTGGAGCCCAGGTCTGGAGGAAGATGGCAGGCCGGGGAGCTGTGTGACACGGAGTGAAGTGCCCAGTGGAGGGACAGCCCCTGCAGAGCCTGTAAGGTGGGGTGTGCCCTCCAGGGGTGTTTGAAGAGCAGCCAGGGGATCAGTGTGACGATAGGGAGGGAACAGAGTGAGCGAGCGGGAGAGAAACAGAGGATGAGTCAGAGGTCCCAGGAGGTGAGCATGGAGGGCCCTGTGGATCAGGGCAGGGACCTGCGCATTTGCCTTGAGTGCAATGGAGCACCTTGGGGTAGTGAGGAGGTCCTTGGGACAGAAAAGCTACAAGCAGGGAGGCTCTGGAAGGAGGAGGGGAGGAAAAGAGAGATGTCAGCAGATTAGGGACACATTCTGATGTGAAATGCCCATTAGAATGGAATAGAATGGATTTTTTTTTTTTTTTTTTTTTTTTTTTTTTTTGAGATAAAGTCTTGCTCTGTTACCCGGGCTGGAGTGCAGTGGCACAATCTCAGCTCACTGCAACTTCCGCCTCCCAGGTTCAAGCGATTCTCCTGCCTCAGCCTCCTGAGTAGCTGGGATTACAGGTGTGTGCCACCACCCCCGGCTAATTTTTTTTTGTATTTTTAGTACAGTCGGGGTTTCACCATGTTGGTCAGGCTGGTCTCGAACTCCTGACCTCATGATCCGCCCAACTCGGCCTCCCAAAGTGCAGATGTCTACTATGCTGAGGGACAGGAGGGGACATCAGAGGAAGAAAGTTGCCAAGAGTCACTCCAGGTGTTGGACTGAGCGGCTGAAAGTGGGGGCTATTTCTTTCCATTTGTTGAGATGGGAAACACCGAGATGATGGCTGTGGAGGCATTGGATGTTAGGTGCCCATTAGTCATGGAAGTGGAGATCTCAGTAGGCTTGTAGGTCAGAGGGAAGGTCTGGGCTCGTATCCTCCCATGCATAAGCTGTATTTGCATTTGTGATCCCCGGGGATGTGAGTGCAGACAGCAGAGAAGCCCACGGAGCCCTGGGACCTCGGCGTTAGAAGCCAGCAGGTGAGGTGGAATCAACAGAGGATGGGGTGATCTGTCAGCCAGCAGGCCAGAGGAAAACCAGGAATGTAGAGTCCCCATGACAGGAGTAGGCGGGGGCTGCAGGGGCAACCAACTGGTGATCAGAGCCAGGGAGATGAAGCCGGCGAAATGACAGTGGATTTAGCAACATGGACCACTGGTGACCCTGACGAGAGTGTTTTTGTGGAATCGTGGGGACAAAATCCTCCTGAAGTAGGTTCGAGAGGGAACAGGAGGCGAGGAAATGGAGGCCGCCTGCTTCCCAGATGCCACCTGGCAACTCTTCAAGGAATTTTCCTATAAAGGGCACAGGGAAAGATCGGTGTGTCAGGGGAGCTGACCTGAGGAAGGTTTTCTGGTTATTCCCCAGTTTTAAGATGGGCACAATTAGAACAGGTTTGTATGCTGTGGAGGGTGATCCAGGATGGAGGAAGAATTCAATGCAGGAGGAAGAATTCAATGCAGGAGGGAGAGAGGAAAAAACCCTGGAGTGGGTGTGAGGGGCTGGCATGTAAGGCTCAAATGAAGGGCTGTCCTTGAGTAGGCTACAGAAGAAGAGACTGAGGCCAGAGAGGTGAAGTGCCCAAGGTCCCACAGGTAACCAGGGCAGAACGGGGATTGAATCCAAAACTCTGACACCAGAGTGCAATTCTGTCCCCCCTGAGATGCTAAGGCCTTGCCTCCCTGCTCAGGGATGGGCCCTGAGGCTAAGCCAGGATGTCAGCAAAGGCCCCTGGGGCTCCTCAGGATGGGGGCAAGGTGTGGCTCAGAGGGCAGGGTCACTGTGGCTGTGGCAGCTGGGAGTGGGGCCCGATCCCTCACACCTGGCATAGCCCTCCCCTCTGCTACGCAGTCTCCCTTCAGCCTGCTGACATCAGCACAGGCTAAGAGAATCCCAGAATTCCAAGCTGGTGGGGCCCCAAGGGTCCCCAGTCTCCAGAAAGAAAATGCCCAGTAGGATGTTGGATTGTGTCCACCCAGCAATCTCTAACTGGGCATTTGAGTTTGTGTGGCGAGTCCCACCTGGGTCATATTGGGACACAGAAGTGAGCCAGACATGGCCCTGCTCTCAAGTTTCCTTCAGGCTCTTGATTGAAGAAAGGAGGGCACAGCATCCCAGCCTTGGGTTAGGAGTAAGGCCCACTGAGCGTCTCCTGCAAAGACAACCAGTGTGATTCAGTGGGACACGTATGGGACTGCCCAGGCTCCCCGCCTGAGGGAGAAGTCATAGGTGCATTGTAGTTTGTGTATCTATGATATGCATCTGGCATATATTTGTGGATGAACTTGCATTTATGTTGTTTGAACACACATATGTGTACTTATATCTGGTGTATTAGTCCTGCTTGCTGCACTAATACTGAAGAACAAACAGCAAAATTGCAATGGCCCACAGGAACAGATATTTACTTTTCTCACTTCTGGGTCTCACTTCTGGGGCTCAGCTGATTTCTGCTTGGTTCATTCAGGTGTGGCTCTGGGATGGGGCTGTGTTCAGAGCCATGTTTTCCTTCTTTTAGTTGGACTCGTTGCTGCTGCTCCTGGGGGTATGCTCTTCTCAGGGCAGATGGCAGAAGCACACGAGGCCAAGCCAAATTATGTAAGCACATTTAAAACCTCACAGGGTGTTTGCTGCATTCCACTGGCCCAAGCAAGGCCCACAGCCAGGCCCAACATGGCAAAGGGTGTGGACTTGTAATTCTATGACAGGGAGGCAGTGGAGAGCTGGCGACAATAATCCGACCTTCCATGGCAGGGGGTGGTGTGTCCGTCGATAATGGGGGGTGAAATGGGTAGAGGTCATGGTAGCAGGCACTTCCTAGCCTGGTCATCTTTCTCACTGACAGCAAGAATGCCATGTCCTCCCAACCCGGGTAACTCCCGAAAGCCACCAGCTTCACTTCCTAACCTGGTGGGGGAGTGATGCATTGAGTCTAATTCTGAGCATTTTTGAAGGAGGAAGAGGGTATTCCGGATGGAATCTCACAGGTAGACGGTGTCTTCAGTGCCTGCATCTGACAGACCAAACACTGACTACAGGCCCAGGGTAGTTGGTAGTGAGTCTCCCTCCCCTCCTCTCCCTGCCCTCCACGGTGTCCAGATCTGGGCCTGCTCCATCCATGCAGCTGCCCAAGAGGTGCTGGGATGAATCCAGAGAGGCAGCCCTATCTCAAAGGAGTGCTTCTGAGAAGCCAGTCTCCGGGCCCAAAACATCCGTCCTCCCTGGCATTCCTGCAAGCAGCTCTCCTCAACTGGCACTAAGTGTTTAATTTCCTTTCCCTGCAGTATTGACACCTTGCAGATCCTAGGGGGAAGTTGCAACATTGCCTTGAAACTGGGGGCTCAGCCAAGAGTTTCTGGATTGGCACTTTTCTTGCCCACCCCCCTGTCCTGCCATTCCTCTGATGAACATTTCCTTGGCATTTGGGAGGAGAGCTGGCGAGGGCTATGATGGCTCCCAGCACGCTCCTGGCTCAGAAGAGGCATACTCTGCAGATGGGAGAAGAATTGGAATCAAGAATGCCCTCTTGCTGCAGGGACACCCTATCTCCCATGGCACACCAAAGAATCCTTCTCTTTCTTTTTGTCCCTGTGGACAATTGTTTGAGAATCCTTCCCTCTCTTGTCGTCCCTGTGGACAATTGTTTGAATGGGAAGCAGCGCAGATGATGGGCCTCAACATGACCTTGCCCTCTCGTTGGCAGGAGTATGGCCCTCCCAACCGAGATGCCCTCCTCTTCATCTCTGGCCCACTCCAGGCTATAGAGAGCTGGCCATGATGCCTATACTAATGGCTAATTTTTACCATAGAGATAAATTCTAGCCTCAGTTTAGGGATCACGTGGAAGACATACAATGGAATATTATTTAGCCTTAAAGAGGAAGGAAAGTGAAACACGCTATGACATGGATAAACCTTCGTGACATTATGTTAGGTGAAATAAGTGAGTCACAAATGGACAAATACTGTATGATTCTACCTATGTGAGGTTCCTAGAGTGTTCAAATTCATAGAGACAGAAAGTGGAATGGTGGCTGCCAGGGGCTGGGACTTGGGGGAATGAGGAGTCATTGTTTCATGGGTACAAAATTTTAGTTTTGCAAGATAAAGAGTTCTGGAGCTGGGCGGTGGTGATGGTTGCATAGCAGTGTGAATGTAGTTCATGCTACTAAGCTGTACGCTTAAACATGGTTAAGACAGTAAATTTTACATTAAGTGTATTTTATTCTGATTTTTTAAAAAAGAAAGGGAAGCTCAGAGGAGTTATTTGCCCAAGGTCACACAGCTCCTGGGAAGTTGAGCTTGCATTTGAACCCAAGCAGGGTGACTCCAGAGTTTACACTCTTAAGCCCTCCACTTTTCACGTTGGTCACTGCAGTAAAAGGTGGGAGAAAGACCCTGGCAGGCAAATGAGGCCAGAGGCCAGCATGACATGGCAGGCTAGAGATGGAACTCTGCAGGCCTGATCCAGGCTCTTACCTTCGACATGAAGCATGTCTCTCAGCCTCCCTGGGTCAACGGTGCACCAGCGGGATAGAGATTGTAGAGATACTACCTCAAGGAGCAGGTGTGAAGATGAAAGGAGAACATACTTGTTAAGCTCCTGGCACAGTGCTGGGCTCAATGAAGAGAGGGTTAAATACTCACAAACATGGTGCAGCCTCAGCTCCATTGCCCCGCGCCCCATAACAAAGGTCCACTCAGTCAGCTCTGGGAGCGTCAAAGAGGAAACATCTTGAATGCAGCATCTTGGGATGTGCCTTGAAGTAGGTGACATTTGAGTGAAGGGTAGAGTAGCGTTTTAACAAGAGACTGTGAGACTGGGATGGTATTCCTGGGAGAGGTTACAGCCCGAGTAACAATCTGGAGGGGGTGGTGTTCAATCTGTTCTGAGAACCTGCAACTAGGCTCATATGGCGTGAGTGTAGGACTAAAAATAATCAAGTTTTTTTTGGTGGGGGGGTGAAAATTACAGAAATTCAGCTGAAAGGGGATTTTTTGCTCGTGTTTTCAGAAGAGTCCAAGAGATGAGCTTCAGGTGCAGCTGGATCCAGGTGCTCAAACTATGTCATTTCGATTTCTTCTTTCTTGTTTCATTTTTCTTGTTCTGCTTTCTTTGGCACTGGCTTTTTTCTGAGATAGAGCCTAGCCACATCTTAGGGGTTCCCTGCTCCCTGCTTCAGTCTCAATTGGGAAAAAATATTGATTTCCCAGTCATTCCAACCACAGTCTCAGTGCTGACACTGGTTGACCCAGCTTCTATGCCAAGCCATCCCTGAGTCAGGCCCTGCACTCAGGGCTGTACTCCAGGCTGAGGCTTGGGCCCACCTGTGAATCTGAGGGGTGGGGTCGGCCCTGCCTGGGCTACATGGGCCAAGAGTGGAGGCAGGGTATTTCCTCAAAGCCAAATCAGGATGACGTTTCCAGAAGGAAGGAAATAAATGTTAAGCAGACAAAAACACCAGATGTCCTCTACAGGTAGCAAGAGCTAAGGCTGCAAGAGAAATCAGAAGCCCTGCTCTAATTCACACCACCGCAGCCCCCGCTCCCAGCTTCTCCCACCTCCCAGCCTCCCCCTCCTTTTCTACAAGATGTACTCATTCCCACCTCCTTGGTTTCTCTTGCACACGCTCCCAACCTCCCTGGATGCTGGGCATAATCTGGTCCTCATCAGAGGTGCTAGAAATACCTTCTGTCAACACAGCATCTGCCAGCTGCCGCCCCCCACCCAGCCACAGCTACATCATTTGAGTTAGTGGGAACTGGCGGACTGGCGGCTGGAGGTGCGTGTGTCTCAGGCTGACTGGCTCCTCCCTGCCTCCACCTCCTGTCTGTGAGATCCTTGGCCATCTGGGGGAGCATGCGACTTTCCTGCCCAAACTGACCTTAATCAGGTTTGCGTGCACGAGCCCAGAAGACGCTCACTGGCTCCGCTGATATGCCAGAGCCAAATATAGGACAGGCCCAGCCCCACCCCCTTAATTCTGTAATTTGTTCGAAATCAGATGATAACGCTAGCCTGGGGAGACATAATTTGTGATAAGCCAGTCCTCCTGGGTTTCGTCCAAGATGACATCAACGTAGAGTAGCGTGCCTGTGGATCAGGCTCCTTCCCTGTGCTCATCATCTTCCCTTTTTAGTCCCTACTCCTGGTCCCAATGGCCATCTGCCACTGCTGCCTCTCTCCCTTTCCCCCAGTCCCTGACAAACTGACACGATGTGGAGGAAATGTGCTATTTACTCATTCATTCACCCTACCGCTAACCACTGAGCTCGTGCTAAGTGCAGACACTGCGCGAGCAGCTGAGGACAGAAGATGGACAGGCCCTGGCTGCCTATGGCTGTCCAGAGATTGTAGCCTCCCGGGGCAGGGGAGACCAATGTCCCTCTCAAAAGAATATGCAGTTTTCAGGGACAAGACTCACAGTAGGCAGAGCTGGGGGGGTGAGGGTCAGCATTACTTAGGGGAGTAGTAGGGCCTCAGAGGGCGGTCGAGGGCTGCCCACAGTGAACAATGGCGGGGGTGCAGAGCTGGGATGTCAGCTCTTGGCCTCCCTCACGAGCTCTGTCCCCTTGACCGTGGCCATGGGCTCCTGTCCTGCCTGGAGACAGAAGGCCAGGTCAGTGGTTTGGTAAGGATCCTGTTCTCTGGGGAAGATGTGAGGCAACCACATGGGTGCTTCAGACCTTCCTTATCTGCCTCCTCCCATTTCCTGGAATAGTTCCTGTTCATTCACACAATAAAAATGGCCAGAGTACTTGCTAACGCTGGGTCTGGGCCCAGGCACAGGGTAGCATGGGAAGCCAAAGATGTGTGGACCAAAACCAGAGGGTTTCACAGGTAAACAGAATGGTGTCTGTATGCAGCCAAAGGAAGGTTCAGGGCTGTAAGATACACTAAGAACAAGGGAACTCGTCTAGGAGGTCAAGAAGGTGAGGACTGAAGTGAGTTCTATCTGGCAGGAAAGTTAGAATTAAGTAGGGGAGACAGTGAAAGAAATGTGCTTTGGCTGGGCGTGGTGGCTTGCGCCTGTCATCCCAGCACTTTGGGAAGCTGAGGCAGGCAGATCACGAGGTCAGGACATCAAGACCATCCTGGCTAACACGGTGAAACCCGTCTTTACTAAAAATACAAAAAATTAGCCGGCATGGTGGCAGGCACCTGTAGTCCCAGCTACTCGGGAGGCTGAGGCAGGAGAATGGTGTGAACCCGGGAGGCAGAGCTTGCAGTGAACTGAGATGGCACCACTGCACTCCAGCCTGGGCAACAGAGTGAGACTCCATCTCAAAATAAAAAAAAAAAAAAAGAAAGAAAAAAGAAGAAAAAAGAAATGCGCTCCAGGCCAGAGGCATGACAAGGGTAAAGTTCTGGAGGCAGGAACATGGGGGTTGGAATAGGGGTGGTGCCAGGCGTGGTGGCTCACGCCTGTAATCCAAACACTTTGGGAGGCCAAGGTGGGTGGATCACCTGAGGTCAGGAGTTCGAGACCAGCCTGACCAACATGGAGAAAGCCCATCTCTACTAAAAATACAAAATTAGCTGGGCGTGGTGGCGTATGCCTGTAATCTCAGCTACTCAGGAGACTGAGGCAGGAGAATTGCTTGAACCTGGGAGGCAGAGGTTGCAATGAGCCAAGATCGCTCCATTGCACTTCAGCCTGGGCAACAAGAGCAAAACTCCATCTAAAAAAAAAAAAAAAGGAATGGGGGTGGTGTGATACTGGGCAAAGGTGGGAAATGGGTGGGTCTGACCTTGGCCCTTGAACCCCATTGGGGAGCAACAGGGGGCCACTTTGAGGGGTCCGGTTGGTCTCAGGCCTGGCCCAGGGTGCCCTGGTTATGAAGGCCACACTGTCAACCAAGCTCTAGGCCTGCATACAGGATGCCCAGTTATGGATAAACAATGAATACTTTTTGAGTTTCATATAAACAATAAATTTTTCGGTAGAAGTATGTCTTGGCTTCTCCACACTTATGCTAAAAAATTATTTGCTATTTATCTGAGATCCAAATTTAACTGGG
The DNA here is from genome assembly GCF_000001405.40 of Homo sapiens. Classification (NCBI taxonomy): domain Eukaryota; kingdom Metazoa; phylum Chordata; class Mammalia; order Primates; family Hominidae; genus Homo; species Homo sapiens. The sequence goes on along the minus strand of NC_000011.10, from coordinate 45,047,155 downwards.
CATCCTGTTTTCTGTTTGTCTGTTGTTTTTGCTAAATCTAGCAACCCTAGATGGAGAGATGTAGGATGTCCTGCCCCTCCTTGGGACTGTCCTCGTCCCCTCTTGGTAATCAGATGTGTCCGGGCTGATTAACTAGACCACAGCCTGTTCTCTCTGGCCCTTGCCACTGCCACCTGCCCGAGCCGCCAAAACCTGCCTCTCCTTCCCCCAGTGCCCTCACCCTGCTCCCTAGGACTCCCACCGAGATAGCCATTGGGAGGAGGAGGAGGAGGCAGGACAGACAGACAGCCTCCCAAAGTCATAGTTGGGAGTGGGGTGAGAATCAGGACCTGCCAGTTGTGTGGCCCAAATAAGCTCCCCCCCGTCCCACCTCTGAGCCTTTGGTCAGGCTGTTCCCTCTGCCTGGCGCTTCCTTCTCACCTTGCCTGCTCGTCCAAGGCCCAGTTTGTCACGAGCTCAGAAAAGTATTTTCTGACCTTCCTATCTTTCACAGCACCCGGAGACTTTGATGACAATAATATCATAAGCTACCATTTGCTAAGCACCGGCTATGTGCAGGGCACTTCATACACTGGTCTATTGACATTTCACATCTCCTGGGGGTGGGGGGTGGGCTTCCTTCTCTTCATTGTGCAGATGAGGAAACTGAGGCTTAGAGAAGGTGAATAAAAGATGCAGATTCACGCTGTGAAGCATCGGAACCGCGCCCGTCCTCACTCCCAGGAGATCGGGGCAACGCTGAGCTCAGCAAGGTGGACTGTCCACGTCAACAGCATTTTCAGACCACAGAGACTCCCTAGGTCCCCCTCCTTACCTTTCTCTTTCCAAATATAAACCACTCCTGCTCACACTTCCTGCCAATCGGCAGGAAACAAGTTTCCTGTTTCCTTTTACAATTCCCAGCTAGACTCTTCTTTGACCCCTGTTGCCTGAGGCTGGCCTAGCAGAAATCTGTAAAGAGTTCTTGATTTAAAAAGTAATCACTTGGTCGTCTCCTGGGCTTTAGTCTGTTTTTTGTCTGTTGTCATCTTGAGCAATATCCTGTGACTCACGCACCCCGTGGATCTCCGTCCACCCCCACTGGCTCGTGGAGGCAGCACAGACACCTATGCCTTCACCTGCAGTCTCAGCCCATGCCAGCTGCGACCTGGAGCACCACATCCCGGATTCTCCAGGGTAAATTGGCTGATTGGTTTTAATCAGTTCCCTGCTGCCAACAAGCCACCAGGGAGCAGAGTGGACAGGAGTGGAGGAGGGAAGTTATTCAGTGGGCAGGAACTCACTGTGTGTGGCTGGCTGAACACTTACCGTCTCTGGGTTCTAGTTCCCTCATTCATGTAAAAGGAAAAAAGAGAACGTAATTCTATAATAATAGAGTCACTCATTCTCCAGTCTTTTTTGAGCACCTACTTTGTGTGCTAGGGCACCGGGTGCGGTGGCTCATGCCTGTAATCCCAGCACTTTAGGAGACCAAGGCGGGCAGATCACCTGAGGTCAGGAGTTTGAGACCAGCCTGACCAACAGGGTGAAACCCATCTCTACTAAAAATACAAAAATTAGCTGGGCGTGGTGGTGGGCGCCTGTAATCCCAGCTACTTGGAAGGCTGAGGCGGGAGAATCACTTGAACCCGGGAGGCAGAGGTTGCAGTGAGCCGAGATCACGCCACTGCACTCCTGCCTGGGCAACAGAGTGAGACTCTGCCTCAATAAAAATAAAAAAGAAAAGAAAAGGAAATATGTTAGGCCCTAGACATATCTATGAACAAAAGGGATAAGAGTCATCCTCATAGCGCTAATATTCTTTTGGGGGAGACTGAGACTATAGAATTTCACTATCCTCTGTGGAAACCACTAGCCACACGGGGCAATGGAAATTCAAAGTATTTAAAATGAAACAAAACTAAAAATTCAGTTCCTCTGATACAATGGCTGCATTTCAAGTGCTCAACAGCCATATGTGGTCAGTGGCTATTGTATTGAGTAGCGTGGGTTGTGGAACATGTCTATCCTTATAGGAAGTTCCATCAGATAGACTTGCTGGAGACTAAAGTATAATATGACACCACGCAAGGGTAAGTGCTGCAAGGACAAGAGAAGAAGGGCAGGGAGTAGACAGTGGGTGGGGTGATGTTTTTTGTTTGTTTTTGGAAAGAATGGTTGGGAAGGAAATATTTGAGCAGAGACGATAGCAGTGAAGGAGTGGTCCTTTTAGAAAACCAGGGGAAGACTGTTCCAGGCAGAGGAAACAGCAGGTACAAAGGCCGTGAGGTTGGTGGGCTGAAGAAGGGAATCCAGTGTGGCTAGAGTGGATTGACCTGGGGAAATGTGACAAAAATGAGACCTGACCCGTTTGGGGCTGTATAATTTGGGGCCCTGCTCAGCATGGTAAGTTCTCAGGTGTAAAGGGAAGGTAGGTTGCAGGCTTGTAAGTTTCAAGCTGCAGAGTGACCCGCTCTGATTTACTTGTGAAAAGATCAGCCGATTGCTGGGCAGAGTGAGGGGTCAAGAGGGGAAGCAGGTGGCCAGTTAGGAGGCTGGTAATTCCGATGATTATCACCGGGGCAGGAGCACTGGATGTGATCAAAAGTAGTGAGATTCTGGAAATGTTTCAAGAGAAGAGCCAGCAGTCTTGCTGACAGATTAGATTTGAGGTGTCAGAAAGGAGAGCAAAATCAAGGATTTCTGGGCTGGGTACCAGTTCACAATGGGACCACTGAGACACACGCACAGCCTAGAAGTATGGGGGAAGTTGATGCCCGGTGGGAACCTTCCCCGTGGGGCGTTCTTAGCCTGGGGGAGATGGAACCTGTGATAAACGCTCCCTCTTTCTTCTTTGGATGAGTCCTTCTGGCAGTCCCATGGGATGGACTGACTCTGTTCAGAGCTCATCACCATCGCCAGCCTGCGACTCCTGGCACACGCTCCTAGTCCCTGCAACACGCTCTCACAGCTAAGCCTCTGTTGTTGGCTCTGCTTTCTGGAGACCCAGGCTAAGATACACCCATTATTTCCCTGCATCCATCATGGGATGTCCACTCCGCACAAAGCTAGAATCTAGGACAGAGGTTATACACCAAGCAGACACGCAGGGCACACAGTTAGTGCTCTATAAGTGTGGCTGTCATCATTATTGAGTCTTTCCACAACCCAGTGATCTAAGTGTTATCATCCAATTACACCGATGGAAACTGAGGTTCAGAGAGGTTAAGTGACTTGCTGAGGTCACACAGCAGGTCAGAAGTAAAACCCATACTTGAACATGTCTATTCTAGTCCAGAGTTCTTGGGACCAAGGGACTCATCTTAGTCAGTTCTGGCTGTCATAATAAAATACCATAGACTAGGTGGCTTAAACAACAGGAATTCTCATATTTCTAAAGTCTGGAAGTCCATGATCAAGGTTCTGGCAGATTTGGTTCCTGGTAAGAGCTCTCTTCCTGATTGTAGACAGCCATCTTCTCACTATGACCTCACATGGGAGGGGGAGAGAGAGAGAGAGAGAGAGAGTTAGTTAGTTCCAGCATCTCTTCCTCTGGTCTTACAAGGACACCAATTCCATCGTGGGGGCCCCACCCTTATTAACTCATCAAACTTAAGTACTTCCCAAAGGCCCCGTCTCCAAATATCATCACATTGGGGGTTAGAGCTTCACATAGGATGTTTGGGAAGACACAGACATGGAGTCCACAACAGGACTGTTTCCTGGTGCTCAGGGGCTGGGCTGCAGCCTTAAACCTCTCTTCCAGCTCAAGGGAGGGCTGAGCATCTCTTGAGCTCCCAGCCTGTGGATTGATTGGCTTTGATTATTTTCTGGAAGGATACTATGCAGGGGGAGTAAAGGAGCATTTTTGGGGGCCTTGGAGTGCAGATCAGCACTCACTCCCCCACACCTTGCCTCCCTTTCCCCTGGATCTGTTCACCCTTTGCCAGCAGGACACAGACCCACCCTTGGTATTAGCTTTGGCTGAGAGGCAAAGTCTGGGCTGCTGGGATGAAAGAAGGGATCTGTCTATAATGGTGTTTCCCAAGCTGCATCCCAAGGTAAACTCATGCCCTCTGAGTCCCATTAGGGCTAAACAAAGAGCAGGCTCTGTAATTAAATGTGCCTGGAAAATGTGAGGTTACATAAAATCGGAAGGCCTTTTTACCCTGGAATTTCTCAGAACCTTGAATATGCCAATCTGTGCTGTGACTGTCCTGAGGGAGTGTGGGGCATGCGGTATTTCCCAAACAGATTTACTCAAGGAACCCTCTTTGCTGAGGACAACTTTTTGGATCTGCAGAACTTGATTTGGGCACAGCTGCTGTAGTGTTTGGCACATTCTCCCCTTTTCCAGATGGACTAGATTGCCTCAGCCAGATGGGGGCTTCCCTGAGGCTGGCTGCTCCTGCCTGGGAAGTCTCTGTTCCCTCTCTTGCTTGCTCTGGGGAGACAGCATGAGTCACTCATCTTGGGCATTGGGTGCCAGCTCTGGGTGAAGGGCGGGGTGTGTTCAACAGGATGCCACTAGCAGCCTCCTTGGTTCCAGCCCTCTGGCATAGAAGCAAACGTTACCTTTAAGGGTAGACCCAATAGGAGATGAAGGTTCTTTCGACATGTGTTGGTTATTAGAGCAATGCTGGTTATTAAAAACTGAGATTCTTTTATACCAGTTGGTTAAAAGCTGCTCCCCCAAGCCCCTGAGTATTTTTACCACCACAGCTGTTCCAACCACCCCAGCCCTCTCCTGAGATCCTTCTCACAATCCAGCAACCAAGGGATTAATGCTTGCCACAACCAGGGCCCTTCAGGACCCTGCTTCAGGCCTCCAGAAGGCCTGGGTGTGTTCTAGCTGGTCATAGCCCTGCCATACCAGGTGAGGAATAATTTGAATATCATCCTTGGTGTCAACTATGAGTGCCCATCAGATGCTCTAGTGTCAGAGGATGAGAGCAGATGAAGAACATGGGGGCAGTGGTGTGCTAGAGGAGAAAGGGCTCAGACCTGGGATTGAGACCTCTTAACCTCTTTGTCTGCCACATTCTAGCTGTGTGCCCTGGAGGGGTTGAGCAGTGTTTTCCTTCCCTGAGTCTCAGTGTTCTCCTCTGCAGGATAGGATGCTATTCCTGCCCTTGGGAGGGTGTTATGAGGGTAAAGGAGCCCTGTAGCCAGCACAGAGCCTGGGCCACAAATAACGTGAATTCTTTTTTCCTTCCCCAGCCTGCCCAGGGCCAGATGCTGGTGGCGGCAGGTGCCTGAAGTGATGCTTCTCTTGCGTGTCCCTCACCCACAGCAGCCTTCTCATTAAGGGAGCTGTTCCGCATCCACATCTAATTACCCTCTAACTGCCTGCACCCCACTGAGCTCCGCCTGCTTTCTGCCTCCTGCCTGGGCAGGAGATGATGTCTAATTGGAAGCCGCTCTGCTAACCTGGCAGGACTCCACTCCTGATGGGGGAGGCAGTCTTGGGGGAGGCTGGCCCCAGCTGGCACCTGTGGGCGACTTCCAGCAGAGGGGCAGGGACAGCAAAGGCAATGGAGGCAGTTTCCAGAATCTCCAGGCTTTGGCTGAGTTACTGGCCCATGAAGGCAGAACCACAGTGAGCTGATGGTGTTGGAAGCTCTGCATTGACTTATTTTTCTGTAAAAGCAATTTAGAGTAGTGATTAGGGGTGCATGCTTGGAGCCCAACAGACCTGGTTTGAGCCTTTGCTCTCTGCTTACCAGCTGGAACCTCTCAAAGCCTCTATGATCCCCAGTTTTCTCATCTGAATGGGAATGCTATCATGGAAAGGAAATGAAAAAAGGACACAAAGGGTTTAGCATGGAGCCCAGCCTACAGCAAGCCTTTGGCCATTGGAGGCTACATTAAGCTGCAAACCCCAGGTTCCACCTCACCTTTCAGGGGAAAAGGCCCCACTGAGGACCCTTTTACATATAATATCTCATTTAATGTCCACACAACCCCATGCAGTAATTTGCTTTTTTCACAGAAAAGGAAACGGATTTAGAGAATAAAGTGACGTATCCAAGATCATCCCAATGGGAAGAAGTCTCATCCCATTGTTCCTTCTGCACCCACTCTTGGCTTTCATTCATAAACATTGATTGGGTGCCTATGATGTTCCTCACTCGATTCCAGCAAGACTAGACTCCAGAATTTTTTGCTACAGCCCGTTGTTTGGCAAGCCAGGGACCTTCACATCAGTGACACACACTGTACCTTCATTTCCCATCCCCTTTTCCCTGCATGCCTCTACTAGGGAGGTGAGAAAGCTACTCACTCAGCTTCCCAGTATATTTACAGCCAGCAACAGTCCATGATATGCACCTGACAATTTGGTAGGGGGAGTTGGAGCGAGCAGTAGGTGGAGGGGGATTGGTCTTTCAAACAAAGCTTTGAATTCCTGGTAAAGGAATCAAACTCCACGACTCCACAGATCATCTTCTACTCTCTTCCTTCCTTAAATACTCTGCCCTGACACAACCATGCCATAAAGAAATCTGGGCTGAAAGACCACGTGGAGATAGAAGGGCCCAGCATCACAGCTACTCAGTCCACAGCTGATCTTCCAGCAGAATGCAGGTAAGACCAGCAGAAGAACTGCCCGACCAGCAGAAGAACTGCCTGATCAACTACAGAATCAGGAAAATAATACATTATTGTCACTTACACTACCAAGATTTGGCAAGACTTGCTATGCGGCAAAATCTAATGAAAACAACTGTCTGCTTCGACATGCTAGCAGCCCACAGTGGATAAGCTGCAGGCCTGGCTTGTGACCCTAATGAGAGGGGAGCCTTGGGGACCTGTGGCTGCTGAAAAGAAGAATCCTGGCACACACTGAACACTCCTTCTGGTCTAATGTAAAAGGGAGAGAGACAAACACTAATTCTGGGTTTTCCATCTGGAACCAAAAAAAAATTTTTAAATAGGGCAATTTTGTAGCTTTTTGCTTGTATCCAGCCCTCTGAGACTGCTGAGACCAAATTCAGAAAATAACCATACACCTTGCCAAACTGCAGCAGCTGAATTTTTGCCATTCTTGGTTTCTATGATTGAAATTAATTCATTTAGTAAGAAAGACTGGCAGAGAGGAGGAAAATTGGGCATTAGAGGCAGAGAAAAGGCTTTGAGCAAAAGCTCAGAGATGTGGTATCAATGAAGCTTGCACTCAGATGTAAGTAAACAAGTACTAGGTTAACCAGTCACTTGTGCCAATGGGTTCCTAAACTTCAATGTGCATTAGAATCACCTGGAGGATTTGTTAAACCTCAGATAGCTCAGAGTTTGTGATGATGCACATCTGACGGGGGCTCATGAATTTGCTTTTCTGATGAGTCTCTACGTGATGCTGGTGATGTTCAAATTAGTCCCAGACTTTCAGAACCACTGGCCTGAAATTTAGGCCCTAAATCAATAAGGTGTTATTTCCTCATCTTGCAGTAGGTGATTGGGGTTATAGTTCAGGCCTCAACAATGCCATCAGAAGTCCAGAATTCCAGTCTGTCTTCTTGGAGATCCTTGTTTTTCATCTTATGCTTGAAGTCTCTTGGTCACAAGATGGCTGCTGGAGCTCCAGATCTCATGTCTGTTTCAAAAGAGCAAACTCAGTAGTCAAATGTCTCCTGGCATTTAGCCTGTAAAACTCACACAATCTCACTTCTGCCACATTCTATTAGTGAAAGCAATCCAAAGACCACCTTAGATTTGAGGGGATGGAATAGATTCTACATTGCAAAGGGGTAAACATGTGGGATTGGATTGCAGCCATTACAAGTCCTACCACATCTGCCTTCTGGCCACAAATTATTCATGTTCTTTCCACAGGAAATTATGTGTATCCTGTCTCCAAGCCCCCATAAATCTTACCCTACTTATAGCATCAGGATCATTATCCAAAGTCTCATGGTCTAGATCAGGTTTGGATGTCAGTGGGGCTCCTCTCCATCCAACATTTGTGAAATAAAAAGGCAAGTTGTTTGAACCTGCAGACACCCAACATACAATGGCAAGACATTATGGACACAATCCATAACAAGGAAGGACCATTAGGCATGTAAAAATCTCTGGTCCCTAGCAATTTTGAAATCTATCCAGGCACATCTTGTCAAGTCCACCTCCTCTGGGGATAGGAGACGCTCCTTGATTAGGGCCTAGCTTGGCTTCCTGGTGGTGGTCTCCAGTTCATTGTTCTTTTTAGCTCTTGCCTCCATTCTTTGAGCTCCTGCCTCTGCTCTCTGAGATTCTCCTATTCCATATGAATTTTTTTGCAACTAAATAGCTTTCATGGTCAGCTTTCTGCTTGTAAATTCAGAGGCCCAGAGTACTCTTTTCATTTGAAACTGTCTTAGTCCCTTTTAGTCCGAACTAGTGATACTCTTGTTAATACAATTCCCTCAAACATTGTGGGTTTTCTATGAATCTTACTGGGGGCATTCAGTGCTCCCAAAGCCACATAATTCTCTTTGAGACAGGTTTTTTTTTCCACTTTGGGCATGTCCAGCTGCTGTAGCTCAATACTCTTAAGGTTCTTAGAAGCCCTTTTGTACAGCTGTGAGGCACTGCTGGGCATCACTTGAAATCATTTTGAGGTCTTAACAAAGGGTTTTTACAGCCTTGATTCTGTCTTAACCCTAAGGTTGTTTTCACTCAGAATATTTTTCCAAGAAAGGTTAAGGGATAAAGAACAGTTTTATTTTTCAACTCCGCATATTCTGTTCTTCTGTTACCTCTAAATTTTTCTTACCAACTAAATAGTTTTGGTTCATCTCTCTTCCTGTGCCTTATCATACAACCCTAAAAGGAGCCAATTAGCTCTTTCCAGGCTCTGCTTGGAAATCTCCTTAGCCAGATCCATAAGTCCATTTGGCACATTTTCTATTTCCCAAGTTTCTTTGGTGACAGCCTTGCCAACGGTTCTGCCATGACATAACATGAGTCCCCTTTCTTCAACCTCCAATGGCAATATGCTTACAGTCCACCTACTCCAGCCTCCATGGATGGTTTCCCCAGTTCCCTTAGCCTCCACCCAATGTCTGGGTTCCAGGGCCAATGTACATCGTTCAGCTTTGCTTTATGGAAGCAGCCTACTTCCAGGTACCAATTTTTATTAACTGTTATCAATGGCAGTATAAAACCTACCCCAAAACTTGGTTTAAAACAATAATCTAGCACTTCTCATGTTGTCTGGGTGGTTCCTCTGCTGTTTCTGCTGGGCTCACTTAAATATGGCTGCATGCAGCTGGAGGACTGGCAGTTGGTGCTGGCTATTGGCTGGGGTGCCTGGGTTCTCCTCCATGTGGTCTGTCATCCTCCAGGCTAACCTGGGCTTGCTTACATGAGTAGGCTCAGGGTAGCATGCCCAGAGGGCAAAGGCAGAAACTGAATGGCCTCTTGAGGCCTGGGCTCTGAAATTCACACAACATCACTTCTGCCAGATTCTATTGCCACTGGCTAGCTTAGGTTTAAGGGGATAGAGAAAGAACTCCACCCCTGGCTGGGAGACTCAGCACAATCATGTTACAAAGAAGAGGCTGTACTGAGATGGGAGGAATTTATGGCCATTTAATCTACCACAATCCTCATTGCCTCTCTATTTTCTTTGATCCCATAGTCAGCTCATATTTCCTCCAAGAGCTTATTATTTGCAAGTCTATTCAAATTTCCTGTTAGTCAGAGATTGTTTCATTGCAAATAATAGAAGCCCTGCAAAATAGCTCAATTCAGGTTGGGGAGGGTACAAATATCACGGAAATAAAATGGGGATCTCATGAAACCTGGAATGGGGAGGGACCAAGAAAGTATCTTTCTGTCATTTGTTTCCTCTCTCTCTCCTTCTTCAGTATAGTCTTCTATGCTGCTGCTTTTTGTGTGTGTGTGTCTCTGTTCCATTCTTCTCTGAAAATCTACTTACTCTGCATCCTTGTGGCTTCTTTCCTCCTATAATTTTGGTCCAAGACATGCAAGCAAAAGTCTGCTGGTCTGTTGGGAGAGGGAGCATAAAAAAATATGCTTGCCAACATTGACCTACTGTGGGGTCCAAAGCCCCAATTCCACAGACACAGACCCAGAACCACCACCCATTAACCAGAGTCTTCATATTCCTTAGTTCATATTTTTAGTGAAAGAAAAGTAGGTCTCTGGCCCCACAGTGGACTGGCTTCTCCTGGATTAGCCATTCACCCCTGGTCCAATCAGCTACGGATGTCAGGGAAGGCATCACGTGATACAAAACGGCTTCTCCGATGTGCCCCTCCAGCTGGGCTGTGGGTGTGAAGCTCTCCAGGGACAGCTGGAATTCCCTCAGGGTTCATCCTGGCATGCTGGGGCCCCGAGTATGTCTCCTGGAGACCAAGGTAAGGGGCCCTCAAGGAGACAGTCTTGCTGATCAGTCCGTCAACCCTCCCTCTGATGACATTTTTCTTCAGGCTGCCTCAAAACTGTCTGTTTTGCTCCTAGAAGGGCGAGCCATTCTCTGTTCTTGGTGGTGATGTGATCTTCATCCAGCATGGGGAAGGGGCTTGCATCCTGGTTCTGCCTTTTGCAAGCTTCATGATCGTCCGTTCGTCTTTCCAAGCTTCCATTTCTTCATCTGCAGGATGGAGATGGGATCCCTGCCTCACATGTCGTGGCAGGGCCAAAGATAGCAAATGTCAACAGCCTAATCTGGCACTGCAAATACTAAAAGATAATGGCTAGAATAACAACAACAACAATAATAATAATTAGCAATATATACTTACATGTGTTACAGTAGTTGTTGCCCCTTGGCCTGTGAATTTTGAGGGGATAAGGAGTGGGGTCTCTTCATGCTTGGGGACCTGATTAGTGGTATTAAGGTGTGGTGTGACTCAATCAATGACACCTTGAGCCTCCTTGATGCAGGGAATAGACGGCAGGCCTCTGAGGACCCAACAACTCCCAGCGCGCCAGCTCTCACACCAGCCATGGCCTGGCAGGAGGAAGGGAAGTGTCTGCAGTAGGCATAGCTCTGTCTCTGACATGGGGCTCCCCCAAAGCTGCTCACCCTAGGGCCCAGCACCCTAGGATAAGCCATGGGATGCCCTGGCTAAATTCTGGAGATGGATAGCTCCTTGGTGGATTTTGCAGACCCCTTTGCTCTTTGTCAGCCTTCTGGGGCTGCAGCCTGCTCAGAGCACTGTGTTGGACTGGAGTCAGGACTGGGTAAGTACGTAAAATTTAAATTTGTAAGTTCAGTTCCCAGGTAGTAGCCCTGACTGAAGCTCCAGGATCTTCTGTGTGTATATGAAGGGTCTACAGGGCATGGGAGGCTGAGCCCCTTGCTTGCTGGCTTTAGAGTTTGGGTGACCGAGATGGCGGCTGTTGGCCACCCTACTTCTAAAGCCTAAATGATTGTCATCATGCCCTTTGTTCTAAGACCTAGTGAAGTTCAAAGCCTTCTTCTATATTTTTCCTAACTTCCTGCAGGGGATGGCGGGGAGGTAAGGGGAAATACTCACTTCTCAGAGTCTTTCTTCCTCCTGGTCCCCAGTTTCCTGTAGCAGCTATCTCTGAACTGTGCCTCACTGACCCTGACATGAAATCTGCTTGGTTTCCGGAATAGCAGCAACAACAAGAATTCACATAAAGCATTCGTGAAATTAACATCTTTTACGAAAAATTGTTTGGAAAGCCTGGGGCTGGGCCTCATCTCAGAATGCACAGCCATATATCTTTCCCTGGGTATTTCTTACATTTGCTAGCAGTGTAGAATAGTGGTTATAGGCACAGACTTGGAGCCAGAGTGTCTGGGTTCAAATCCCAGTTTTGCTCCTGCTTAGTAATTTTGTGATCCTGAGCAAATCCCCTTGCCATTTGGTGCTTCTATAAAATGGGGATACTAAGATGTCCTAATTGGTTGTTCTGAAGCTAAGACAAATTTTAAAAGTTAATATTTGTAATCTGCTTACAACCATGCCTAGCTCATAGGAAGCGCTACGTAAGTGAGTGACAAATGTGACTCCAGTTATGCTCCTCAATTTCTCTTGAACGCTGGGGCTTATGAAGAGATTCACCTCACTAGATGGCTGTGAGGATGAAATGGCATGTGTCATGAACATTTGCTTTTGGCTTTCAAGGGGTGGTACACATCATCAGATATCCAACTCCCATCACATTTGGGGAGCAATTCTCAGTTGCCTCTAGTGTGGGTGGGTCCCGTACCCTTTCCTTCCACGGAAGTCAGTGAGGGGTCCTGAAGTCTTTCCTCTCCACCCCCTGGCAGTTGGTACCTGGGCCTGTGACGTTGACTCCACCTGCAGAACGCTGCCCTTCTGGATCTTGTGCAAAGATGCAGGAACAGACGGGAAATCCTTCCCAGTGGCAGCAGTGGTGACATACCCCAGCCAGCCTGTCCATTAGTATGATGGGGCTGGGGTCCTGCCCTGTGGCTAGTTTGACTCCTACCAGTTTTCTAAGCCTGATTCCTCACTCTTGCCAACAATTATCTAGGCTGCCCAATCTCATCGGTGGCAGAGACTTGTGGATCCTCCCAAGAGCCATCTTCCTGCTTATGTAGTAATAGATTATTTAGCTGGGCCAATGACTGCTTAGATTACAATGGCTTTTCCAGGTTCCCTTGTTCCAAGTGTGGCCATTGACTGTGCTGTGGACAGCAGGTGTGAGCAGAAGAGAGGTGGGCACCTTCCAGGTGGTGCCTTCCAAGGAAGGAGCATTCCTTCCCCCTTGCTTTCTCCCTTCCCTCCTGGCTAGAATGTGGATATGGAGTAAGGCTTCCTGGACCACATCCTGAGGGCAATACCTAGGGTTAGGGGATCCACAAACCAGGGCCTGAAAACTTCTTGAAGCAGAACCACTGCTATGATTTCAATGGTTATACCCCTCCAAAATTCATGTTGAAACTTAATCCCCAATGCAATAGTATTAAGAGATGGGGCCTTTAGGAGGCAATTGGCCATGAGGGCTCTACCCTTACAAATGGGATTCATGCTCCTAGAAAGGGCTCAAGGGGTTCTGTTCACCCCTTCACCCCCTTTTGCCCTTCTGCCATGTGAGAATGCTTCAACAAGGCTCCATCTATGAAGCCCTCACCAGACACTGAATCTGCCAGCATCTTGATCTTGGACTTCCCAGCCTCTACAACTGTGAGTAATAAATTTCACAGCTCACCCAATCTGAGCTATTTTGTTATGGTATCCTGAACCAACTAAGACAACTACCATAACATTTTGGCTACTTACTGAGAAAGAAAGAAATCTCTGTCTAATTTAAGCCACTGTTATTTCTGGGCTCTCTCTTCTTTGCATAGCCATGTGCCTTATATTATATCTAACTCATATACCTTCTAATAGATTTCCTCCACTGCTTCAGCTAGCCACAGATGGTTCCTTTGCCTTTCTTTTTTGTTATTTTCTGTTCTTTTATTTTCCTTTTCTCCCTCTCTCTTTTTCCTTTCTGTTCTTTTTTTGTAATCCAGCACCTTGATTGCTGCAATACATTAAAGCACAAAGTACACATCTTCCTTAGTGCAAAGCAACGTATCAATAAATATGAAGTATTCTTCATCAAGCTGCAAAGTCTTCCCCCTCACAGGCAGCATCCTCCCTTGCCCCAAAGCTTTGGCTCCAGACTCATGAGTTCTTACCTTCCTCCCTAAGACTCCTCACAATATTTTTGTCCAAATTATGTTACAGTTCCTCTGAGGCCTGATGCCAGCTGTTAAGTTAATAAAAGTTTCTCCACTCTGATATGTTTGTTTTGTTTTGCCTGGGAACCTGGTGTCCAGCATTTCTGTTCCTTTGATCTCCGAATGGAAAACAAATTCCCAGGAACCCAAGCCCATGGCCCACGGAGAGAGGCATGCAGAGTAGAGCTCAGCAGCCCCTGAGCTGCAGCATCAGGTGGCGTATCAGAGAATGCTGGATCTGGATGGGCCCTAAGAGGCCAGGTGGGGAAAGTGAGGCTGTTGCTGGATGTCACATGGCCAGCCAGAGGCCACACCAGGAGTCTTGCTTCCTGGTCAACAATTCTGCTGCTGAACCAGATAGTCTTCTGGGTTGTCCCTGTGCATGTGTGTGAGAGACACAGAAGAATCAGATGTGGCTCCCTCCCTCCAGGAACTCACAGGCCCAGAGAGGAGCTGAGGCATGCTCCCTAAAGTCAATAGCATGTGATAGAAAGTGATGGTGACAAAGAGGGCTTGGGCACTCAGGCGGAGGGGGTGCTACTGGTCTCAGAGGGAGCACAGGAAGACCTCCTGGAGGAGGGGGCATTTAGTTGATCTGGAAGGATAAGGGGGTTAGGATGTGTGATTCAGGAAGAGGCAACTGTTCATGCCACAAATGTTTATTGTGCTTCCACATGTCAGGTGGATGCACATGACAGAGGTGGCCCCATCCTCAAGAGCTCATAGTCTAGCAAGAGAGACAGTGAGTGAACAACTGATCACACAACTCAATCACCAATTACAATTGCAATGGATGCTGTAACAAAGAGGGTCAGAAGGCTGTGAGACCATCTAACAGACCCTGACCCTTTGGGATATGGGAAGATTCTCTGGGGAGCTGTCATTTCATCTGAAGACCGGAGGATGAGTGGGAGGCATTGCATCCAGGATAGGTGGCTCTCAGGGAGTCACTGCCAGCAGAGGCACAGTGTGTGGGAGGCCCCCAAGGCCAGAGGAGTGTGGGGTGCCCAAAGCACAATGAATGAAGGCAAGAGTGGAGAAAAGGTCCCAGAAATGTAGGAAGAGGCCACCACATATTCTCAACAAAGGTGTGAAGCTGACATGCAAGTTCAAATGAACTATAGCAAAAGGGGGTGTGGCCAAGCCTGCCAGTTGCCCCAACTCTCAGTTCCCCTTTTTTACCTGATCTCAGATTTCCACTTTTTCTGCTGAGAATGTAGCCACTCAGAATAAAGATTACATTTCCTGGCCTTTCTTGCAGCTAGGTATAGCCATGTGTCTAAGCTGTGAACATAGGAGTACAAACAAAAATGACATGTGCAACTTTCAAGATGTAGTTTTACATACAGTGGAAGTACTCTTCTTTCTCATGGCTGGAATGCAGACATAATGGTTGGAGCTCAAGCAGCCACAGTGAACCATGAGTTAGGAGGCTGATATTAAGGGTAGTGAAGCAGCTAGATGGAAGGAGCCTGGGTCCTTGATGGTCGTGGGCCTTCTATGCCCACCCGGGACATGTCTCTGAATTTTAAGTTTCTTGATATGGACCAAAGGCAAACAAACAAAAACTTCTCTCTTATGTAAGCTGCTTAAAGCTGAATGTGATCTAAAGTGGTCATATGGATTTGTAGGATGATGCTGGGGTATTTCATACAGTCAGGAGGAATGAAGGTACTGGAGAATCTTCAGGGAGAACTCACTATGGAACGATGGAACTCATGATGATTCTAGGACATTCTATAAAGAGGCAACTAAGAAAAAGGACATCACAGGAGCCAGGAAAATGGACCACAACAATTATCAGCTCTAGGAAAAACAAAAAGTCCAAGAAAGTGAGCATCAGTAGCAAATGACTTGGTTCTACTGTTAGTAATATTTATTTGGTCACAATTATAAAACATTGACTATGAATTTAATTTAAAAAATGGAGATTTAATTCTGTTGGGAGGGGACAGCAGCAGGGAAAAGCTACCCTTAGCCCTTATAGCACCTGTGGGCAACTAGAGACACAGGCCCTCAAGAAGTTTTGCTGCCATTGAAAGGAAAATTATCTAGATCATATATGAATCTATGGTGTTTACAAGGTGAACCGATGTATCCCAAGATTACATGGTGATCCTGGGACAGGGGGTGTTCATGATCAAAAGTCCTTATCCAGTGTAAGTCAAGAGGTGGAGTCTAAAACCGATGAAACAAGAAATAATACAAGACAGATATTTTAAAGTATGGAAGTAAATACCTAAAAAAGTAGCTAAAAGAGTTGAAAGTAGTCACTTCTGAGAGCAGAGATGAGAGAAGGGTAGGAAGGAACAAGAGCTTGCTTTTTTTTTTTTTAAGCATTATTTGATCTTTCAAAACCATACTTTGAAAATATAAAATTCAGGAAAAACCTGACTTGGATGTGGTCTCTCCCTCCTTTGAATCTCCAAATCGCACAGTTTTTCTGTGATAGCACACGGGCTTTGTAGTTAGACTGGGGTTGGTTTGCAGCTGGAGCCATCACTTCTTAGTTGTTTCCTAGGGAAATGAGTGACTGTCTGAGCCTCAGTTTTCTCGTCTATGTAATGGGTATCTTCTTCATGCATTGCTGTGAAGAATCAGTGCAGGTAAAGTGCCTGGCACGCATCTAGCTCATGGTCCTGTAGGTAGCGTTTGTTGTCGTTGCTTTTTGTGTTATCAGGTTGGTGCAAAAGTAATTGCAGTTGTCACCATTAAAAGTACTTTTAATGCCATTACTTTAAATGGCAAAAAGTAATGCCATTACTTTTAATGGCAACAACTGCAATTACTCTTGCACCAACCTAATATTTGTCCTGGATGAGTCATACCCAAATTCACCTTATCCCCCTTCCAAAGTTGTTCTTAAATTTGAGCATGTATCAGACTCACCTAGAGGGCTTGTTGAAGGACAGGTTGCCGGCCCCCACACCCAGAGTTCCTGATTCAGTAAGTCTGGGGTGTGGGGCAGAGATCCAGCATTTCCAACAAGGTCCCAGGTAACGATGAAGGTAATGTTGCTGGTCCTGGGACCTCACTTTGAGAACCACTGTTTGGCTACATCAGCTGCTCTGTGGATGGACAGTTGATCTTGGGACACAGACACGAGAGAAGATAACTCTAAGAGCTCTGGCCCGGCTTCTTAGAGATTCAGGCTGCCCCTTTGGGGAAGGTTTTGCAAAATAAGTAGTACTTGAGCTGAGCCTTGCAGGACCAGGAGAAATTTGCCACGGTGGCTAGACCAAGAACATCCCAGCAGAGGGAACAGGTGGTGCCCAGGCAAGGTGGTAGGAGAAAATATGGCACATTTGAGGCACAGTGATCTTCCCTAACCTCTAAGGCATCTGTGGGGTGCACGTGAGTGAAGGGGTCACTCGGCAGCTTGCAGATTGTGTGTGCACTTTTGGAGATCTCTTTGAAGGGCTGGAGTGATGAACAATACGCCTAGTAGTGTGCATGGGGCTTAGCTCCCGGGAGAGGAAGCCAGAGCCTTGAAATGAAAAAGCTGCCATCACACCTTCCAGACGGGATGTCTTTGATGACTTGTTGCAGATTTCAGTGATATTACATAGATAAGGAGAACATTACAGAGACTCATAAGAAAATCTTTAATCCTAGTACTGCCCATTCAGGGGATACATTTTCACATCTTCCTGGGAGATGTAGCTTGGAGGCTCAAATGCTGGCATTTCCCCGATGTGCTTTGTGGGGGCAGCAAGGCGGACCATATCAAATGAGGTCTGGGCCTGAAAACACATCACAACTTCACCCAAGGACCCAGCCTTCTTCTTTGGAATTGTCATCTCTCCCCAGCCACACAAGCCCCTTCTCTTTTCCCATCTCTGTCATGCCCGTTGCCTGGCTGTTTCCTGCTCTGCTGTAAATCTGACCCTAGTGAGCATAGCTACTCGCCTGCAAGAGCAATTATGCGTTAATGGAAGACAGCGGTGACGCACGTAGGCAGTCTCTAGGCATTTAAAGGTCCTCTTGCTGAGCTCGAGATCCCAAGGGGCTGCTGAGCCCTGAACCTCTCTGGGGAAACTGCAGCCTGGTGGCCTCCAAATGTCACCACCTTCATCCGCGTTGCATGTCAGTTCAGCACCTACTGTATATAAGTCTCCAGGCTGGTTGCTGAAGGGGTGACATCCTGGCTGTCCATGATCTCCCAGCTGTCCAGTGACCTCCCTTACCAAATGCCTACTCTGCACCTCCCTGTGCCAGGGCCTGCCTGTGCAATCATGTTCTGGGTTTGTCCTCTAATTTTCCATCCGAGGTAGGCACTATTATACCCATTCATAGGGGAGAAAAGTGAGCTTCACGCAGTTCAATAAGCAAGGCAGCTGAGAGGGAGAGTATGGTGCAGGAACTGAGAGCACAGACTCTGGAACCAGCCTGCGTGAGTTCAGATCTTAGCTCTGCATGATTAGCTGTGCAGCTTTGGGGTGAGTTGCTTAATTCTCTGTGTGCCTATTACTTGTCACTAAAATAAAGAGGAAGAGTATACGGTTTCTTTGAGGGTCAAGCCAATATATGTAAAATACCTAGAACAGTGGCTGCCACACAAGGGCTATATACAATGCCACTTATTCTACTGTGAAATTAATTCATGGGCAGCAAGTGAGTAGATCCATGCTCTAGTGCCAACCTTCCATCTGCTCCATTCCCCCTGAGGCTGGTTCCCAAAAGGTGGAGAAATGAGGACGTGAGAGATCATGAAGTTGTCCCTTCCCTGTGTCCTGTACTCTATGCTTTAGAGCAACTCTGCACATCCTCCTGGGAGATGTAGCTTTACAGCAGAGCAGGAAACAGCCAGGCAATGGGCGTGATAGAGATGGGAAAAGAGAAGGGGCTTGGGAGGCTGGGGAGAGATGATGCTTCCCAAGAGGAAGGCTGGGTCCTTGGGTGAAGTTGTGATGTGTTTTCAGGCCCAGACCTCATTTGATATGGTCTGCCTTGCTGCCAAGCTGTCCAATCCACAGTCCGCGGGCCACATGCAACCCAGG
Organism: Homo sapiens; assembly: GCF_000001405.40. Lineage (NCBI taxonomy): Eukaryota > Metazoa > Chordata > Mammalia > Primates > Hominidae > Homo > Homo sapiens. Next base: position 45,028,507 of record NC_000011.10, on the reverse strand, counting down.
AAGGCTTTGAATATGGCCCAACACAAATTCCTATGCTTTAGAGCAAGCTTGTCCAATCCACAGCCCGCGGGCCACATGCCTCCCAGGACGGTTTTGAATATGGCCCAACACGAATTCCTGAACCTTCCTTTCTTAAAACATTAAGATTTTTTTTTTTGTAATTTTTTTTTCAGCTCATCAGCTATTGTTAGTATTCATATATTTTATGTATGGCCCAAGACAATTCTTTTTCTTACAGTGTAGCCCAGGGAAGCCAAAAGATTGGACACCCCTGCTTTAGAGTCGGCCTGACCTGGGTTTGAATCCTGGCTGTGTGACCTTGGTCATGTCTCCTGACTCTCTGAGCCATGGTTCCCCATCTTTAAAATGTCGTGTCATGGAGTGGTTGTGAGATTTAATAAAACAACTGCAGCCAAGTGTTGGGATTAAGAGGCAGACTCCAGAGCCATGGTGCTTGGGTTAAATTCCCAGTTCTACAGTTTCCCAGCTGTGTGACTTTGGGTACTTTACTTCTCTGACTTACAGCCTCAGTTTCCTGGTCTGTAAAATGGGTGTGATAATAGTTCCCATATCACAGAGCTATTAGGGAGAGAGCACTGAAGGGAGGGGATTGCAAAATTCGGCCTTTTCTCTTGCTGACCAAAAAGTGTCTGGACCAAGATGTCTTAGTCCTGACTGCACATTCAAACCACATAGGGTTTTTTAAAATAATGGCAGCATGCACGACCCACATCCCAGAGATTCTTAATTAGCCTACACAATGCCCTGGCACCGTTATTTTTAAAAGCTCCCCTGGTGATTCTAACAAGCAGCCAGGGCTGAAAACCACTGAATTAAGAAAAAACTGAGGGGCGCACCTGGAGGAGAGATTTTAACTAGGTGGGTCAGGGCGGGCTTCCTAAGGAGGTGCCATTTGAGCTGAGACCTGAATGATGAGAGGAACAGGCAAAGACCTGGAAGGAAGGGAGGGTTTCAGACAGAAAACAGGGCAGGTGCAAAGGCCCTGAGGCAGGCATGAGCTTGGCGTATTGGAAGAAGAGCAGGAAGTCCAGGGTGGCTGAGAGGTGAATGTGTGAGAGAGAATGGCCAAGAACCAAGCCCAGGGTGGCAAGAAGGGGAAACTGAGTCCCATTCTGGCCAGAGGGATGGAGTTAAGCCCTTGGAATAGGCAGAGAACAGCCGAGGGCATCCATCACTCATGTCCACAGCTAACTTAGGTCCCTCAAATGTCCTCCAGTCAGAGAACTGGGAACTTTGGGAGGGTCTCTGCTGATCCAGGCCTCAAGCTTCAGGGAGGGTTTCATTCTAGCCATCTTCATAAGCAGGCCATTGGCCCAAGAGGCATCCTTTGGGAGAACAAGATGCAGAATCATTTCAGGGCCCAGAGAGGGAGGAGAGGGAGACAGGCTGGGCCGTGTGCCCCCTGGGGCTCATCACAAAGGCCACTCGGGCTGGCGGCCACCCTGGCAGCGAGGGGCAGCAGGGCTGCCAGGAAAATGCCAGCCTCCTGTGAAGGCTTAATTAGCCTGCTCCTGCCGCTGCCGGGTAATAGCTTGGTAGGGTGCAGGTGTTTCTATTTTTCAGCACAATTATCTGGGAAGTGAGGGCAGAAACATCAATGGATATGTCCTCAGCTTTGTGTGTGTGTGACTTGTGTAGAATGACATGTTTGAATGTCACATCCTCATAAGAGACAGTGTCCTGTTGGATGGCGTGTGTCTGTGTCTCTGTCCTACTCACATAACAGCATGTATGTCTGAATCTCTCATAACCATGTAGAACCATGTAAGGTTGTGTTTGTGGGTCTATGTGTGTGGACACAGGTATGCCCAGCTGGCGAGTACAACCTGGCTCTCAAAACACCAGCCTTCCAGAGCAGGCCAGCTCTGCCTTTTGCTTCTGTTTCTTCAGCTGTCGAATGGGGCTGCAGACCCGGTCCTGGGGCCACACAGCATCTTTCCACTGTGTTGCTGCTGTGACTGGTGGTGGGGTCTCCTGAGGAACACGTCTCAGGCCAGCTCCTTTGTCTAGAACAGTGGACTGGCTGCTCCCCAACTCCCCACCACCAGCGTAAGCTCTTCCTCTTGCATGAGCCCAGCTGCATCCTGGACCTGGGCTGACGTGGGCTGGAACTTTGAGGCCTGGCCTAGGGCCATCTGGGCCTGGTGTGCTGTGCGTGTGCAGAGGGTCCGCGACAGGAAGAGCTTCCATTCCCCGTGCTGTGCGTCCTCCCCGACAGCTGGGGCTCAGGGTGAGATGCAGAGGAAGAGGAAGTGAGTCCCCAGCCCAGATCAGGGCAGGACCAGAGGATGAGAGACCTCTGGGAGTCTCTCAGGTTACCAACAGGAAGCAGTGATAAGTTTCCATGGAAACATTACACAGGTTATGCCTGAAGCCCTCGCTTATCAGCTATTTGTCCAGCATGAACCGAGCACTTGCTCTGGATCAGGCCTTGAATCTGAGCTACTGTCAATAACAGCAGCAATAATAACAAAGCAGCCTCCACCTACTTAGGCCACAGCATCAGCTCCTCCAGCCTGCCCCCCGCCTCCTGCCATGTGGCAGCCCCGCTGGCCTCCCCTGGGTTCCTCAGTCTCTGCCACTTCTGTCCCTCCACAGGGCCTTTGCATATGCTGGCTCCTCTTCCTAGAGCACCTTTTCTCCTGCTTTTCTTGTGGCTGCCTACTGCTCATTAACCACCTCTTGGTTTAGATGTCACCTCCCCACAGAGGCCTTCCCTAGACCCATCCCCTGAACCATGTCATGCCTTAGTCCCATGGGCTCAGACTTTCTGTCCCATAGGCTTCAGAGCATGTGTAACCATCTGCCATCATCTTGTTTTTCAAGTGTTTATTCTGTCTTCCCTTTCTGGACTATAACCCCTGTGAGGGCAGAGCTCTCATCTGTCTTGTTCAGCCTCCTAATTCCAGGATCAGCATCAGCATGAAGTATGTGCTCAGTAAATATTTATTGGCAGATTAACAAATTTAACGAGTACTAGTTATGTGCCAGGCACTGACTAGTATCTCATTTCAAACTCGCAACCCATAAGCCAAAGGTGTGTGCATCTTACTGATGAAAGAAAATATAAGTTCAGAGAGGTTAAGAAACCTGTCTAAGGTCACACAGCGTGTAAGTAGGAAAATCAAGATTTGTATCCAAATCTTTCTGATGCAGCTGCATGCTCTTAATATTCTGCTCTGCTGTGATCAGGAGACAGGAAGAAGAATAAGAAAGTCTGGCCAAAGAGACAAATGGACACACAGACAGCTGCCTCAATTATATATTGGGGCAAAACAAGCCACCCCAGAACTGAGTGGCTTAAAACAACCATCACTGACTGCTCATGGCTCTAAGGTTTGGCTATGTGGGCAAGGTTCCGCTGGGATGAATCCTCTTTGTGTGGTGTTGGCTGGACCAGTTTTAAGGAAGAGGCAAGGTCAGCTAGGGGCTGGCTGGTCCCAGATGGCCTCACTCACAAGTCTAGCAATGGGGATGGGGCTGCCAATCAGGTGCCTCAGTTTACCTCCAGGTGGCTTCTCCAGGGAGTTAGCTTGGGCTTCCTTATGTGGCAGCTAGATTCCAAGACAGCAAGAGTGGGAGCTGTGAGACCTCTTGTAGAGGTCAAGAGGTGACAGGGACTCTTGCCCTCAATGTGAAATGCTACAAAGGATTTCATTGTTCATCCACCACAGAACCTCCATTTGACCATAATTTTTCCACGTGCAAAATATATTCACCTCCTCCCAAAACTTCCCCCAAATTCTCCCTCCATTATGGCACTGGACTCCATGATCTTGTGAGGTGAACTTGGGAGACAGATCCTCTTCTTCAAATCCCTCTCCTGTACTGCAGACTCCCATGGAGGATAACCAGAGACAGCCTTGGTTTCCAATTTTTGGATATTATGCGTGTCACCCTGTACAGCAGACCAAGGCCAGCCACTCCCCTGCAGAGGCTCAGCACTTTGCAGATGCGCTGCTGCCGTTCCTCCTCCCAGACTCTTTGGGAAACCAGAGGAGGAGCTTTCTTTCCTCATTTTATAGACGTGGGAACTTAAGAACCAGAGAGGTTTAATGACTTCCAGAATTCACTGGAAGATTCCCATAGAGCTGGGAATAGGGGCATGGGTGCTGAAGTCTTAGTCCAGGTTGCTACTTCAAATGTGGGTAGTGCCAAGAATTGCTGAAGTCAATCCAGAGCCTTGGTCCCAGGGGAAACTTGAAGTAAAGTGATAGACATTCAATCATTCATATAATCCTTCTATCACAAACTATTTATTAAGAACAATTGAGCACCTACCATGTACAAGGCATGGTACCAGGCACTAGAGACATGATCATGAACAAAGCAGAGGGTCCCTGTTTGCTAAGAACTTACAGTCTGGTGGGGCAGACACACATTAAACATATAACTGCAAGAATAAATATGGGATTTGAAGAAAAAGTATATGATTTTATAGTTGTTACAAACAAGGGCCCAAATTCAGCCTGACGGGAGCTTCCCTTGGGAAGTATCATTTAAGCTGAGGCTTAACAAATAAGTAGGAGTTTACAAGATGTAAACTAGTGGAGGGAATAATGTAGGCAGATGGAACAGCAAGTGTGAAGACTTTGAGGCTGGAGTGTGCTTGGCATATTCAAGAAACAGCACAGCAGCCAAAGTGACCCCTCTAGGCCATGGTGAGGAGGCTGGACTTTCTCCTGGTTATGATGGCAAGCGTGTGAATAGAGGGGTGGCACGATGGGTCTGTGTTTTCAAAAAGCTCATTCTCCTGATACCGTGGAGAGTAGATTGAAAGAGGGTCTGAAGTGGACACTGGGGCTGACTGATGGCAGGTAACTCACGTATCATGTCATTTAATCACCCATGCCATCAGGCCTGTTTTATAAACTTGGAAAGCAGGCCTCAGAAACTGAGTGACACAGTTCACTCAGCCATTTTCTTAGGTCCCAGTGTCTAAATGGTGACAAGAAGCCACTGCCCTCCCCCTTCCCTTGAACCTCACTGGGCTGGAGGAGCTCCAGCCCTGGCTCCTGGTTTGCGGTCCTGGCACACAAGCACCAGCTTGCCCTTGCAGACCCAAATGGTTGCCCACTGACCCCCCAGGCCTTCCTCCTTGGCCCTATGTTCTATCCACCATGCTATAATCTACAGTCACCCAGCCTCATACACTCCACCAACAGGAAGTGATCCAGAGGTGCCCCCTACGCTCTTCCTTCATAGGCATATCATGATCAGCTTCATGCCAGATACGGCTGCTTCTTTTAAGTGTCCTGTAAGCTCCATGAAGTGAGCGGCCACATCTGTGTTGTTCCTCGTTGTAACTGAGCACCAGATACATAGGGAGCATTCCAGGATGCTGAATAAAGGAATGCTTCCCCAAACGCTTGAGGGTTTGAAGATGTCAAAATGTGCAAACCAGAGCTGCCTTTCTTAAATCCAGCCCCCAAGTTGTTCAGGTGAGGACATAGAGGTTCAGAGAGGGCAAGGACTCACCCTTTGTCACACAGCAAGTGGGCAGCACAACACGGGCTAGATCCCTAGTCCAGTGCCCCTGCCTGGGCCCCTGTAGCCTCACAGGAATCAGGACCCCATGGGGCAGCTAGCCATGGGTGTCTAAGGAGTGGTGCCTGAGGCCCCTGAAGCTCTTTGGGCGTCTGGGAAGAAGAGGTGTAGGCTCATTATCCCAGTGCCCTAAGCGTGGTCAGAGACTATCTTTGAGCTAACCACTAAGACTGGCCTTTTCCACTCACATTCCAGGAGTCAGGACGCTGAAATCCACACCTCATTACTCACACCCTGCAGCCCGCATGGAGGAACTGGCTCAGGGCCCTTGATGGGACAGTATGGCACCTTCAGTGGGCAACACACATTCTCAAGGTACTCAACATACCTCGACAGCTGACCTCTCACCTGTAACATCAGGCTCATGGTGTCTCCTGTCTCTGTCTACAGTTACCTCCCCCACTGGAATGCCACTTCTTAAAGGCATGGGGCTGTGTTGCTTACTGCTGCAACTTCTGCTTCTAGAACACTGCCTGTGCATAGTAGGTGCTCAGTAAATATCTGCGAATCCCCAACTGCACACCATGGGATAGTGGCAAAGACTGGAAAGGGTTTGGTTTGGGTGGAGCCATACTCTGAACCCTTCCCAACACGGTTCCTATCCTGGCTTCCCCCCTCGCCAGCTGTGTGATCCCAGGCAAGCTGCTCAATACCTCTGGGCCACTGTTCTTCACGTGTAGATTGGCAATGTGCTGGAGTATTTTCCAATCTTCACACGGAACATCCATATTCAGGAGAAGAAAATGAGGCTCAGGAAGTGTGAGGTTCTTGCCTGAGGCCATGCAGTTTGAAGTAATTTGGGATCAGGTTGTCCTAATGTTTAAATGCAGATCAGCCTGACTCCACATCTTCAAGTTCTCTCTGGGCCTCCTTCCCACTGTTTGCTCATCTGTCCCACGAGGCTGTGGATGAAATTTCTAGGCTGGCGCCGCTCAGCTTCTTGGCCCTGGCCCACCTCCCTCCTGCCCTGCCCCCTGATGGAGGCCACCGCCCACAGCTGCAGAGCCCCGCAAGCTTCCCCTGAGAATGTGAGCAGAATGGGATGGCCAGACGCCACCCGACCGCATGATTAAGGCTCATTTTCCCCAGGCAGTGACTGGCAGGTGTTTATTTCCTTTTAAAAGGACACTGTCAGCAGCATGCTTATGGTTTAATTTTTGTTTTCTCCTCCACAGCTCTGCACAAAACTGCTGGAGAGGAATAGCTCAGCCTCTGCGCACTGCCCTCTCTAGGAGTTAGCAATGTTGGCCTTCAGCTGAGGCTTGGAGACAGACAGTTTCTTCAATTAACCCCGTCTGACCGTGTCTAGATGTACCTGGGAGGCCAGAGGCACCTGGGCCCACCACCCAGGACCTGGGCAGACGTGGCCAGCAAAGCCCTTTACTCTGTTAGGTGTGGCTTTAGGCACAGCACATTCTCCTATTGTAGTTATGCTTGTTGTGTTATTTACATAGCCTTTTAATTCAAAATCATTTAAGACTCACACAAAGTTGCAAAAATAGTTTGGAGAATTCCTACGCACCCTTTGTCAAAATCAGGAAATTGACATTGGTGCAATGTTATTAACTCAGAAACAGACCTTATTCACATTTACCAGTTTTTCATATACTTTAATTGTATTGTTTTTAATTATCCAGTTTTACCAGTTACCCAAGTGTGCCTAGTTTAGAGAGTCATCTGGTTTAGGAGGCTGGTTCATTCAAGCTGCTCTCTCCAGCCCTTCCCCCCCTCCACTTCCTCTTCTCCAGAAATAACAACTTTCAATGCCCTCAGCTGACCACTCTGCCATTTGGCTTCTATTGCTACAAAACATGCTTGCAATGCTATGTATATTTTTCAGTTTTAGGCATTATCCATTGCCTCTTTGGTATAGGAGATGCAGTTTTAAATCTCTGTCCTCCCCTACCCCTTAACCCTAAACTTCCATCCCTCCCATCCTCCCTAAATAGATGTGCCATCATTTTGATGAGATTGGTATTCAATGTTACGACTGTTATGATTTCTTCATGTGTTTACTCTTCTGTGTATGATCACTAATTTTTCTAACCTCAAACTCTTTGCCAGTTGTCCAAACCTTTTTCAGTATTTTCATTCACATCAAGATATCAATTTGATATCTTGAAGTCTCTCCTGGAAACTTCTGGCATTCCCAAACTGGCGTCCTGGGCCCTCCCTTCCCTGTCACTCAAACTTCACTTCGAGCTGGACTCTCCCATTATGGGGAAGCACATCCTCTAGTAGTTTCCTGTGAATGGGTGGGTGGGAGGCAAATTTCTCGAGACCTTGCATATCTAAGGATATTTTTATATTTTGGCTTCACATAGAACTCTAGGTTAGGAATACATTTCCTTCCAAATTTTAAGGACATTGCTCCACTGTCTTCTTGCTTCCAGGATTACTGTTGAGACGTTTAAAGCTGTTCTGATTTGTAGAAAGTTTGTAGACTTTCTCTATCCTACCAATGTCCTGAAATTTCCCTTGACCTGCCCTGATGGAAATCTGGACGTGTGGCTTATCTGCTGTGCTAGGTAAGCACTTGTGGGGTCTTTTCAATCTCGAGATTCATGTCTTTTACTTTTAGGAAGTTTTCTTCTCTTATTTTATTGACATTTCCTCCCTACCATGTTCCCTCTGTTTCTAGAATGCCTATGATTTGAGTAGTAGATTATTAGAGCTCTTGCACTAGTCCTCCAATTTTCCTGTCATTTGTCTCCTGGTTTCAGTGATTTATTGCACTGTATATTCTTGAGAGATTTCCTCAACTTTGGCTCTCAAACCTCCTACTGAATTTGTTATTTCTGCTCTTGTGTTTTTGTTCTCCAAGACCTCTTCTTGTGCTTCATGTTCCTTTTTTATGGCATTATGTTCTTTTTTCATGAATGCCTTATCTGCTGTTGTCTCTCTTTGGATAGAGGGGTTTGTTATTATTATGGTTATATGATGATGACTTTTCTCCTTGTGTAGTGTCTCTCTTCCATTCATGATCTGTGTGAATGAAAATGCTGAAAAATGTTTGGACAATTGGCAAAGAGTTTGAGGTTAGAAAAATTAGTGATCATACACAGAAGAGTAAACACATGATCTGTTTAGATCTCTACATTCACATTAGAGACTTTCAGGGATGCCTGGAGGTCCTTAGTGTTTGCTCTTGATACAGAACCAGGCCCAAGAGTGGGTGGGAGGGTTGAGCCTTTAGGGGAAATACTGGATGTTGGTATTGTTAGGTCTGTCTTCTTGAACTGTCAACTCCCCAGAGGGGACTTCTGTTCTCCTGTTTGGAGTTCAGAAGTCTGGCTGCCAGTATTCTGGCACAGAGCAGGCTGCAGTCTCAGCCTCTGAATGACCCATTGACACACTCCCCTTGTTGTCAGTGTGGTGCCGCATCCTCCCTTGTGCCTGGAGCTTTCCAATGCAGAGATTCCCTTCTTTATGGTCGCCAGACAATAAACTCAGAGTCCTCTGTTGGGTGGGATGGCACAGTCACCTTGCAGCGTGGAGCTGGGAAGGGGATCAGGGGATATCTAACTGCTTCTTCAACACCTTTTTCCGACTGCCCTTTCCTCTCCCAGGACATCCCCCTGCCGCCTGTCCCCACCACCTAGGAGCTCTGGGGGATGTGCCCATTTCTTCCTTTATTATGTTCCTAGGATAGGCTGAGGTTGGGTCCCCAAGGACAAGAAGTGGCTCCTCAGAGTTAATCAAGCCAGAGAGGAAGCCCCCGAATAGCAATAGGCTCCTTAAGTCTCATCCTTCCACGTGTCCCCAGGCCTCAGGGGCACTGCAAGATCATCAACTGTGGGATTCCACTTTGCTGTCCTGAGTCTCTATTCCCCTCATTTGGCCAAGAGGAGTGACAATGCCTACTCTCTCCACTTAATGGGTGATATGGCATCAATCCTGGTAACAGAAAGCTGTTGACCTGGAATGAGCCCATCAGACAAATGAGGGTACAAAATAATATTTGTGTTGGACGTAAATACTTACATAAAATCAGGTCTTTGCCACACCTGAGCATTGCCATTCTCAGTCTGTGTAATATAATTTACACAAATGTGATTTTAAAACAGTTTAGCATAATTTAAACCTCAGTTAGATGATCTAATTATCTGGAGCCATGGCTTGATGTGTCCTAACTGAATCCCCCTCATTTAGTGAATGCTCCACCCACCGGACCCTGATTTCCCCAGATGACTCCAGAGCAGACTAATAGTTATACAACATATATCTCCATTTTTTCTTAAAGGTCTTTTCACGTACATGGGTGGTTCTTAAACTGCCATGCATCAGGGTCAGGGGGAGGGCTTCTTACAACACAGGGGATCACATTTCAACATGAGATATAGAGGTTGTCTGCTCTAAATTTCATGTTGAAATGTGATTCCCAATGTTGGATGTGGGGCCTGGTGGGAGGTGTTAGGGTCATGGGAGTGGATCCCTCGTGGCTTGGTGCTGTCCTGGAGATAGTGAGCGAGTACTCGTGAGGTCTGTTTAAAAGTGGGCGGTACCTCCTCTGCTGCCCTTGCTCCGGCTCTCACCAAGTGATATGCCTGCTTCCGCTTCACCTTCTGCCATGACTAAAAGTTGCCTGCTGCCATGTTTGTACAGCCTGCAGAACAGTAAGCCAATCAAACCTCTTTTTATTTATTTATTTTACTTTAAGTTCTGGGATACTTGTGCAGAATGTGCAGGTTTGTTACATAGGTACACATGTGCCATGGTGGTTTGCTACACCTATCAACCTGTCATCTAGGTTTTAAGCCCCGCATGCATTAGGTATTTGTCCTAATGCTCTCCCTCCCCTTGCCCCCTACCTCCTGACAGGCCCCCACGTGTGATGTTCCCCTCCCTGTGTCCATGTGTTCTCATTGTTCAACTCCCACTTATGAGGGAGACACATGCACACGTATGTTTATTGCAGCACTATTTACAATACCAAAGACTTGGAACCAACCCAAATCCCCATCAATGATAGACTGAATAAAGGCAGGGGATGCTTCCAAGATGGCCAAATAGGAATAGCTCCGGTCTGTAGCTCCCAATAAGATCGATGCAGAAGACAGGTGATTTCTGCATTTCCAACTGAGGTACCTGGTTCATGTCATTGGGACTGGTTGGACAGTGGGTACAGCCCAAGGAGGGCAAGCTGAAGCAGGGCGGGGCATCACCTCACCTGGGAAGTGCAAGGGGTCGGGGGATTTTCCTTTCCTAGCCAAGGGAAGCCGTGACAGACTGTACCTGGAGGAATGATACACTCCTGACCAAATACTGCACTTTTCCCATGGTCTTACCAACCAGCAGACTAGGAGATCCCTTCCCATGCCTGGCTCAGCGGGTCCCAAGCCCAAGGAGCCTTGCTCACTGCTAGTGCAGCAGTCTGAGATCAACCTGCAACGCTTCAGATTGACAGGGAGGGGGCGTCTGCCATTGCTGAGGCTGGAGTAGGGGGTTTTATGCTCCTAAAGTGGCCAGGAAACTTGAACTGGGCAGAGCCCAGTGCAGCTCAGCAAGGCCTTTGCCCTCTAGGTTCCACCTCTGTGGGCAGGGCATACCTGAACAAAAGGCAGACAGCCTCTGCAGACTTAAACGTCCCCGTCTGACAGCTCTGAAGAGACCAGTGGTTCTCCCAGCATGGTGTTCGAGCTCTGAGAATGGACAGACTGCCTCCTCAAGCAGGTCCCTGACCCCCATGTAGCCTGACTGGGAGACACTTCCCAGTAGGGGCTGACAGACATACAGGCAGGTGCCCCTCTGGGATGAAGCTTCCAGAGGGAGGATCAGACAGCAATATTTGCTGTTCTGCAGCCTCCACTGGTGATACCCAGGCAAACAGGGTCTGGAGTGGGCCTCCAGCAAACTCCAACAGACCTGCAGCTGAGGGGCCTGACTGCTATAAGGAAAACTAACAAACAGAAAGGAATAGCATCAACATCAACAAAAAGGACATCCACACCAAAACCCCATCTGTAGACCACCAACATCAAACCGAAAGTAGATAAAATCACAAAAATGGGGAGAAACCAGAGCAGAAAATCAGAAAATTCCAAAAAACAGAGAACCTCTTCTCCTCCAAAGGACCACAGCTCCTCACCAGCAAGGGAACAAAACTGGATGGAGAATGAGTTTGACAAGTTGATAGAAGTAAGCTTCAGAAGGTCAGTAATAACAAACTTCCAAGCTAAAGGAGCATGTTCTAACCTATCGCAAGAAAGCTAAAAACCTTAAAAAAAAAAAAAGGTTAGACGCATGGCTAACTAGAATAAACAGTGTAGAGAAGACCTTAAATGACCTGATGGAGCTGAAAACCACAGCACGAGAACTTCGTGACTCATGCACAAGTTTCAATAGCTGATTCAATCAAGTGGAAGAAAGGATATCAGTGATTGAAGATCAGATTAATGGAATAAACTGTGAAGAGAAGATTAAAGAAAAAAAGAGCCAAAAGAAATGAACAAAGCCTCCAAGAAATATGGGACTTTGTGAAAAGAACAAATCTACGTTTGATTGGTGGACCTGAAAGTGACGGGGAGAATGGAACCAAGTTGGAAAACACTCTGCAGGATATTATCCAGGAGAACTTCCCCAACCTAGCAAGGCAGGCAGGCCAACATTCAAATTCAGGCAATACAGAGAGCACCACAAAGATACTCCTTGAGGAGAGCAACCCCAAGACACATAATTGTCAGATTCCCCAAGGTTGAAATGAAGGAAAAAATGTTAAGGACGGCCAGAGAGAAAGGTCGGGTTACCCACAAGAGGGAGCCCATCAGACTAACAGCAGATTTCTCGGCAGAAACCCTACAAGCCAGTAGAGAGTGGGGGCCGATATTCAACATTCTTAAAGAAAAGAATTTTCAACCCAGAATTTCATATCCAGCCAAACTAAGCTTCATAAGCAAAGGAGAAATAAAATCCTTTACAGATAAGCAAATGCTGAGCGATTTTGTCACCACCAGGCCTACCTTACAAGAGCTCCTGAAGGAAGCACTAAACATGGAAGGGAGCAACTGGTACCAGCCACTGCAAAAACATGCCAAGTTGTAAAGACCATCGATGTTATGAAGAAACTACATCAATTAATGGGCAAAATAACCAACTAACATCATAATGACAGGATCAAATTCAAACATAACAATATTAACCTTAAATGTAAATGGCTTAAATGCCCCAATTAAAAGACAAAGACTGACAAATTGAATAAAGAGTCAAGACCCATCGGTGTGCTGTATTCAGGAGACCCATTTCACGTGCAAAGACACACATAGGCTCAAAATAAAGGGATGGAGGAAGATGTATCAAGAAAATGGAAAGCAAAAAAAAGCAGGGGTTGCAATTCTAGTCTCTGATAAAACAGACTTTAAACCAACAAAGATCAAAGGAAACAAGGCCATTACATAATGGTAAAGGGATCAATTCAACAATAAGAGCTATTCTAAATATATATGCACCCAATACAGGAGCACCCTAGATTCATAAAGCAAGTCCTTAGAGACCTACAAAGAGACTTAAACTCCCACACAATAATAGTGGGAGACTTTAACTCCCCACTGTCAATATTAGACAGATCAACAAGACAAGGTTAACAAGGCTATCCAGGACTTGAACTCAGCTCTGGACCAAGCAGACCTAATAGACATCTACAGAACTCTCCACCACAATTCAACAGATTATACATTCTTCTCAGCACCACATTGCACTTATTCTAAAATTGACCACATAATTGGAAGTAAAACACTCCTCAGCAGATGCAAAAGAACAGAAATCACAACAAACTGTCTCTCAGACCACAGTGCAATCAAATTAGAACTCAGGATTAAGTAACTCACTCAAAACCACACAACTACATGGAAACTGAACAACCTGCTCTTGAATGACTACTGGGTAAATAACGAAATGAAGGCAGAAATAAAGATGTTCTTTGAAACCTATGAGAATAAAGACACAATGTACCAGAATCTCTGGGACACATTTAAAACAGTGTGTAGAGGGAAATTTATAGCACTAAATGCCCACAAGAGAAAGCAGGAAAGATCTAAAATCGACACCCTAATATCACAATTAAAATAACTAGACAAGCAAGAGCAAACAAATTCAAAAGCTAGCAGAAGGCAAGAAATAACTAAGATCACAGCAGAACTGAAGGAGATAGAGACACAAAAAACCCTTCAAAAAATCAATGAATCCAGTAGCTGGATTTTTAAAAGATCAACAAAATAGATAGACTGCTAGCAAGATTAATAAAGAAGAAAAGAGAGAAGACTCAAATAGATGCAATAAAAAATGATAAAGGGGATATCACCACCGATCCCACAGAAATACAAACTGCCATCAGAGAATACTATAAACACCTCTACACAAATAAACTAGAAAATCTAGAAGAAATGGATACATTCCTGGACACATACACCCTCCCAAGACTAAACCAGGAAGAAGTTGAATCTCTGACTAGACCAAAAACAGGCTCTGAAATTGAGGCAATAATTAATAGCTTACCAACCAAAAAAAGTCCAAGACCAGACTGATTCACAGCCAAATTCTACCAGGGGTACAAAGAGGAGCTGGTACCATTCCTTCCGAAACTATTCCAATCAATAGAAAAAGAGGGAATCCTTCCTAACTCATTTTATGAGGCCAGCATCATCCTGATACAAAAGCCTGGCAGAGACACAACAAAAAATGAGAATTTTAGGCCAATATCCCTGATGAACATCGATGCAAAAATCCTCAGTAAAATACTGGCAAACTGAATCCAGCAGCACATCAAAAAGCTTACCCACCATGATCAAGTCAGCTTCATCCCTGGAATGCAAGGCTGGTTCAACATATGCAAATCAATAAACAACCCATCACATAAACAGAACCAATGACAAAAACCACATGATTATCTCAATAGATGCAGAAAAAGCCTTCAACAAAATTCAACAGCCCTTCATGCTAAAAACTCTCAATTAACTAGGTACTGATGGAACGTATCTCAAAATAATAAGAGCTATTTATGAAACCCACAGCCAATATCACACTGAATGGGCAAAAACTGGAAGCATTCCCTTAGAAAACCGGCACAAGACAAGGATGCCCTCTCTCACCACTCCTATTCAACATAGTGTTGGAAGTTCTGGCCAGGGAAATCAGGCGAGAGAAAGAAATAAAGGGTATTCAATTAGGAAAAGAGGAAGTCAAATTGTTTCTGTTTGCAGATGACATGATTGTATATTTAGAAAACCCCATTGTCTCAGCCCAAAATCTCCTTAAGCTGATAAGCAACTTCAGCAAAGTCTCAGGATACAAAATCAATGTGCAAAAATCACAGGCATTCCTATACACCAATAACAGACAAACAGAGAGCCAAATCATGAGTGAACTCCCATTCACAACTGCTTCAAAGAGAATAAAATACCAGGAATCCAACTTACAAGGGATATGAAGGACCTCTTCAAGGAGAACTACAAACCACTGCTCAACGAAATAAGAGAGGACACAAACAAATGGAAGAACATTCCATGCTCATGGATAGGAAAAATCAATATTGTGAAAATGGCCATACTGCCCAAGGTAATTTATAGATTCAATACCATCCCCATCAAGCTACCAATGACTTTCTTCACAGAATTGGAAAAAAATACTTTAAAGTTCATATGGAACCAAAAGAGAGCCCGCATTGCCAAGACAATCCTAAGCCAAAAGAACAAAGCTGGAGGCATCAGGCTACCTGACTTCAAACTACACTACAAGGCTACAGTAACCAAAACAGCATGGTACTGGTACCAAAACAGAGATATAGACCAATGGAACAGAACAGAGCCCTCAGAAATAACACCTCACATCTACAACCATCTGATCTTTGACAAACCTGACAAAAACAAGAAAAGGGGAAAGTATTCCCTGTTTAGCAAATGGTGCTGGGAAAGCTGGCTAGCCCTATGGAGAAAGATGAAACTGGATCCCTTCCTTAGACTTATACAAAAATTAACTCAAGATGGATTAAAGACTTAAATGTAAGACTGAAAACCATAAAAATCCTAGAAGAAAACCTAGGCAATACCATTCAGAACATAGGCATGGGCAAGGACTTCATGTCTAAAACACCAAAAGCAATGGCAACAAAAGCCAAAATAGACAAATGGGATCTAATTAAACCAAAGAGCTTCTACACAGCAAAAGAAACTATCATCAGAGTGAAGAGGCAACATACAGAATGGGGGAAAATCTTTGCAATCTACCCATCTGACAAAGAGCTAATATACAGAATCTACAAAGAACTCAAACAAATTTACAAGAAAAAAACAACCACATCAAAAAGTGGGCAGAGGATATGAACAGACACTTCTCAGAAGAAGACATTTATGCAGCCAACAGACATATGAAAAAATGCTCATCATCACAGGTCATCAGAGAAATGCAAATCAAAACTACAATGAGATACCATCTCACACCAGTTAGAATGGCTATCATTAAAAAGTCAGGAAACAACAAATGCTGGAGAGGATGTGGAGAAATAGGAACACTTTTATGCTGTTGGTGGAAGTGTAAATTAGTTCAACCATTGTGGAAGACAGTGTGGCGATTCCTCAGGGATCTAGAACTGGAAATACCATTTGACCCAGCCATCCCATTACTGGGTATATACCCAAAGGATTATAAATCATGCTACTATAAAGACACATGCACACGTATGTTTATTGTGGCACTATTCACAATAGCAAAGTCTTGGAACCAACCCAAATTTCCATCAATGATAGACTAGATTAAGAAACTGCAGCACATATACACCATGGAATACTATGCAGCCATAAAAAGGGATGAGTTCATGTCCTTTGCAGGGGCATGGATGAAGCTGGAAACCATCATTCTCAGCAAACTATCACAAGGACAGAAAACAAAACACCACATGTTCTCACTCATAGGTGGGCATTGAACAATGAGAACACATGGACACAGGGTGGGGAACATCACACACCGGGGCCTGTCAAGGAGTGGTAGGCTGGGGGAGGGATAACATTAGGAGAAATACCTAATGTAAATGACGAGTTGATGGGTGCAGCAAACCAACATGGCCCATGTATATCTATGTAACAAACCTGCATGTTCTGCACATGTACCCTAGAACTTAAAGTATAATTTAAAAAATTTTTTTAAGTAAAAAAAGAAAATGTGGCACATATATACCATGGAATACTATGCAGCCATAAAAAAGAATGGGTTCATGTCCTTTGCAGGGATATGGATGAAACTGGAAGCCATCGTTCTAAGCAAACTAACACAAGAACAGAAAACATCTTTTCTTTATAAATATCCAACATCAGGTATTTATTTATAGCAACACACGAATGGCCTAATACAATGGGAATCTTAAAGGATGCAATGAAATCAAACCTCAAAGATTGTCATCTGCAAATATAGAACACATTAGCTGTCACCAAAGCACCCCCCCCCCATACTATGCCAGATGTTATCAATCAACCAGGATACTTTCCCACTGAGCCTCAAGGCTCTGCTCCAGCAGAATTTCTCACATTGACATTACTGACTTTTGGACAGGAGAGTTCTTGGTTGTAGGGGGCCTGTCCAGTGCACTGTTTTAGGGGAATTAGCAGCTTAGCAGCATCCCTGGCAATTATCTGCTAGATTCCATTATCCCACCCCACCTCAATCCTGACATCAAAAATCTTTCCAGAAATTATCAAATATCCCCATGTAGGGCAAAATTGTGCTTGTTGGAAAACCACTGACGCGGACTCAGCTTCAGCATCTTTTCAACACAGCTCTCCAACAGCCTCTGCCAGCCATCATTGGACCATAAAATAAAACCTATTTGGCCAACAAAGCTGGGCTACCTCAGTCAGGTTCAGAGCTTAGTAGGTCAACAATGTAATTTGGCAATTCTATGGCTCAACCTGAGAGCCTTCTATGTGAGGATGACAACAGCCCCAACCTACTATTTCCTGGGGATAAAAAAAGAGTGAGCTCTGCTCAATGAAATTAAAGAGGATACAAACAAATGGAAGAACATTCCATGCTCATGGGTAGGAAGAATCAATATCGTGAAAATGGCCATACTGCCCAAGGTAATTTATAGATTCGATGCCATCCCCATCAAGCTACCAATGACTTTCTTCACAGAATTGGAAAAAACTACTTTAAAGTTCATATGGAACCAAAAAAGAGCCCACATTGCCAAGACAATCCTAAGCCAAAAGAACAAAGCTGGAGGCATCAGGCTACCTGACTTCAAACTATACTACAAGGCTACAGTAATCAAAATAGCATGGTACTGGTGCCAAAACAGAGATGTAGACAAATGGAACAGAACAGAGCCCTCAGAAATAATGCCGCATATCTACAACTATCTGATCTTTGACAAACCTGACAAAAACAAGCAATGGGGAAAGGATTCCCTATTTAATAAATGGTGCTGGGAAAACTGGCTAGCCATATGTAGAAAGCTGAAAGTGGATCCCTTCCTTACACCTTATACAAAAATTAATTCAAGATGGATTAAAGACTTACATGTTAGACCTAAAACCATAAAAACCCTAGAAGAAAACCTAGGCAATGCCATTCAGGACATAGGCATGGGCAAGGACTTCATGTCTAAAACACCAAAAGCAATGGCAACAAAAGCCAAAATTGACAAATGGGATCTAATTAAAGTAAAAAGCTTCTGCACAGCAAAAGAAACCACCATCAGAGTGAACAGGCAACCTACAGAATGGGAGAAAATTTTTGCAATCTACTCATCTGACAAAGGGCTAATATCCAGAATCTACAATGAACTCAAACAAATTTAAAAAACAAACAACCCCATCAACAAGTGGGCAAAGGATATGAACAGACACTTCTCAAAAGAAGACATTTATGCACCCAAAAAACACATGAAAAAATGCTCATCATCACTGGCCATCAGAGAAATGCAAATCAAAACCACAATGAGATACCATCTCACACCAGTTAGAATGGTGATCATTAAAAAGTCAGGAAACAACAGGTGCTGGAGAGGATGTGGAGAAATAGGAACACTTTTACACTGTTGGTGGGACTGTAAACTAGTTCAACCATTGTGGAAGTCAGTGTGGCAATTCCTCAGAGATCTAGAATTAGAAATACCATTTGACCCAGTCATCCCATTACTGGGTGTATACCCAAAGGATTATAAATCATGCTGCTATAAAGACACATGCACACGTATGTTTATTGTGGCACTATTCAAAATAGCAAAGACTTGGAACCAACCCAAGTGTCCAACAATGATAGACTGGATTAAGAAAATGTGGCACATATACACCATGGAATACTATGCAGCCATAAAAAATGATGAGTTCATGTCCTTTGTAGAGACATGGATGAAGCTGGAAACCATCATTCTCAGCAAACTATCGCAGGGACAAAAACCCAAACACTGCGTGTTCTCACTCATAGGTGGGAATTGAACAATGAGAGCACATGGACACAGGAAGGGGAACATCACATACTGGGGACTGTTGTGGGGTGGAGGGAGGGGGGAGGGATAGCATTAGGAGATATACTTAATGCTAAATGATGAGTTAATGGGTGCAGCATACCAACATGGCACATGTATACATATGTAACAAACCTGCATGTTGTGCACATGTATCCTAAAACTTAAAGTATAATAATAATAATAGTAAAAATTTTAAATTTCCTTTTAAAAATAAAGAAAAAAACCACCTTAAAAAAAAAAGAGTGGGCTGGTTTTGGGGGCTCCAGCTTTCCTATGTTGTCTCATGCCAACAGCTGGGGATGTGGTCCCCCCATGGGACTCCCAGAACCACCTAAATGTACCAAGGAGGGCAGCTGTTCTTTGCTGTATCTGCAGAGTGCAGACAGATGATGTGCTGAGGACCAGATGTGACCAGGGTCTTCCTCCAAACCTGTATCTCTGTACAGTGCCTGGCCCCAAGCAGGGAAGTGAAAAAGCCTAGGGTGCTTGTCAAAGTATGGCCCTAGATACTGCATCTGAATCACCTGGAGTGCATATCAACATGCAGGTTCCTGAACCCCACCCTAGATCCTCTGAATCAGCATCTTTGGAGGCTAAAATCTGAAATATGTCTTGCTAACAAGCTCACTGGGTGAGAAAAGTAATACAACAGTTAAAACATATAGACTTTGATTCAAATCCTGATCCTTCTGCTGGTAATATATAATCCAAATAGCTTAATAAGAATGCTATTTTTTATTGAGTGTTTATTATGTGCCAAGCACTGTGCTAAACCAGACCATGCATTTGCCCAGTTAATCAACTACTTTATGTGGGAGGTTATATTTTTAATACCCATGTTTTAGATGGAAAACTAAGGTTCAGGGTGGTTAAGCACACTGCTCAAGACTGTACAACATGAAGTAAGTAAAGCTGGGATTTGAACTGACCTGTTTGCTGCAGCACACTTCACAATTATACTGGAGTCTAAGAGCTGACTGCAGGTTCTACCGGTGCTGGATGATCAACACCCAGTAGTTTTCTTTGCCCTCACAGGGAGGAGATCAGAGGGATGACATGGCAGGGACCTTCACTCCCTGGGGCTTGGTTTTAGTAGCAGATCAGAGTCCCTGAAGACGTAGCCTGAGGGTGAATGAACTTCAGGCACTGTCCTGAGCCTCTCAGTCTCCAGCACGTAGTGGAGATGCCACTGGGTCATCTTGGAGCCAGAAACCCAGTAAGCTTCAGGGAACATGAGGCCATTCTAGAACTTTGAGATTTCCCCTTTCTATCCCATTGTCTAATTCCCCAGAGCCACTAGCTGTCAAACCAGAGAAGGAGGAGGTAGCTGGAACAAAGACACAAAAGCAGGCTCGATGTATGTGACAGAAGATTCTGAAATCCCTTCAGATATTAGGTTCTTCTGCCAAGGCAAGTTGAGAGAGAGAGAGAGAGAGAGTGTGTGTGTGTGTGTGTGTGTGTTGTGGGGTGAAGATTCATTCCATCATTCGATAAATATTTGTTGAGAACTATCTATCCGCTGTGTTCCTGGTTGCTAACTCATAGGCAGGATATTTTTTACATAATGTCATTTATTAAATGCTTTTTATATGTCTGGAACTTCAAGTAAATTAAACATAAATTTTTGTTTTTATAGCACCATGGGTAAAAGTCAAGATTCTAGAATTGGGTGATAGTTTAAATCCTGACACTGCTCATTGCTAGTAATGTGACCTTGGGTGAAGTACTTAGTTTTTCTTAATTTCAGTTTCCTTACCTGCAAAATGGTCATTTTGCCAGAAAATATTCTCAGAGAACCATGTGCTTCTGCATAATAGCATTAATCTTCATTGCAGTTTTATTTTTTGTGTGCTTATCTTATTAATGACTGTATTCACTAATAATAATAGCTAACAATTATAGAAATGTCTACTTCTGTTTAAGATGTAGAGAAGTGTAAAAGGCCTTTGTTCCTGTGGTAACAACAAGAAAAACTCATACAAAATAAAAGTCAGACTTTTTACGGTGCTAGAGAAGAGCTGTAGGATCAAAGAAGCCTCAATGAACTGAATTCCAGAAACAAGAGCTATGGCAGCTCCGCAACTAAAGAGATGCCATTCTGCGTGGGTGGACAAAGGCACATCAACCATAGACGGAGAGACTTTGCAAGGACAAGGAAAAATTATTCCAGCTTGGACCAGAGTATGGGATGGCAGATCAAACGGGTCTGGAAGAGTCCCGAATGCAAAGAGAAGTCACTCAGGCCAGCAAGATGGATAATCTTAGATGCAAGAATGGATCATTCGGTTCAGCAATTTAGCAGCCCCACCGGTCCTGCTTATCTTTTTCTAGAAGGCAGTGGTGGTGGAAAGATACATGAGCAGGGAAAACTTGCATGGTCTCATGCATTCTCGCTGTGATTGGGTTGCAGGACCCTGAAGTAGTTGAATTAAAGTGTGAACCAAAAATAACTGAAACTGCAGCCAATCACCTCTACTCCAAACACTAACAAGATTGGAAAGACAGAGGATGCTGGTGGTTGGCTAACCACAGGTAACTCAATGTAATTAAGCTGTTTCTCATCACCAGCTCAATTACACTCTGAGAAATCTGAGTGATCAGCTTCTCAATCTAACCACCAGACAGCAGAAACGGTTTAGGTGTTCTAAAAAACAAAACTAAAAATAAAAATTACTCTCCAAACTCAATTGTTACTTTATGCACACTCTCAAGAATATAATATAATTAAACACTAGACAAGAGAAGCAATGGGAAAAATGTGACCCACAATCAAGACAATACACAAGTAATAGAAGCAGACATGTCCCAATTAGAATTAGAAAAAAAACTTTAAATATATATGAATAGATTAAGATATTTATGGGAAATAGAATGGATGAAAAGGTGGGATATTTCAGACTATCAGTGAAAGTTCTAAAAAATAAAATGGCAATTCTGGAGGTGAAAATTAAAGTATAACTGAAAATTTATTGGATAAACAGTAGAAAGGGAATCAGTAAACTTAAAGATCGGTCAAGATAAATTGAAACTGAAACATGGAGGGAAAAAAGATTTTAAAAAAATGAACAAAGCACCAACCTGTGGTGTACCATCAGGTAGTATACAGATGTAGAACTGGATCCGATAAGGAAAGGAGAACACAGTATAAACACAAAAAACATCACGATGAGGTATGTTACAGTAACATTGATACAAACCAAGGATAAATAGAAATAACCTAAAAGTGTTCCCGCAAACATGCATTACATATAGGAACAGAATAATAAGAATGAAGGCTAACTTTTTACTGGAAATAGTGCAAGTCAACAAACAATGGAAAATGTCTTCAAAGTGCTGGAAGAATCCAAAGCTGCCAACCACGAATTCTACATCCAGTGAACTATCCCTCGAAAATAAAAGTAAAATCAAGATATTTTCAAGCTGGGCACAGTGGTTCATGCCTGTGATCCCAGCACTTTGGGAGGCCGTGGTGGGCAGATCACTTGAGGCCAGGAGTTCAAGACCACCCACCCTGGGTAACATGGAGAAACCCCGTCTCTACTAAAAATACAAATATTAGCCAGGTGTGGTGGTGAGTGCCTGTAATCCCAGTGGCTTGGGAGGCTGAGGCCTGAGAATTGCTTGAACCCTGGAGGTAGAGGTTGCAGTGAGCTGAAGCCATGTCACTGCAGTCCAGTCTGGGCGACAGAATGAGACCCTGTCTCGAGAAAAAAAAGGAAAGAAAGAAAGAGAAAGAAAGAAAAAGAAAGAAAGAAAGAAAGAAGGAAGAAAGAAAGAAAGAAAGAAAGAAAGAAAGAAAGAAAGAAAGAAAGAAAGAAAGAAAAGAAAAGAAAAGAAAAGAAAGAAAGAAAAGAAAAGAAAAGAAAAAGATATTTTTGGATAAAACCAGAATTTATTGCTAGCAGATTCAGATAATAAGATGTTCAGGCTGAAGCGAAATTGTATAGATAGAAACTCAGATCTACAAGAAGGAATAAAGAGCACCATCAAAGCTAAGTATATATTTTTAAATATAAAAGATTATTTTTTCCTCTTTACTCTAAAAAGCAATTGATCATACACTGCAGGTGCGAATGTAACATGTTCTAGTCATTTTGAAAAACAGTTTAGCAGTTTCTTAAAGAGTTAAACACACATTTGTAATATAACCCAGCAATTTCACTCCTAAGGGCATTTACTCAAGAGAGATAAATCATATGTACACACAAAGATTTTTACAGGACTTTCATAACAGCATTATGCATAATGTCCAAAATGTGAAAACAACACAAATGCCCATCAACTGGTGAATTAATAAACAAAATGTAATACATCCATACAGTGGAATACCACCCAGCAATAAAAAGGAGCAGGCTAATAACACAAGCTACAATATGATGCACCTCAAAAACGTTATGCTAAATTTAAAAAGCCAAATGTGAAAGACTACTTTACATGAGCTGTTCAGAAAAGACAAACTATAGGCACATAAAATATAGCAGTGGTTGCCCAAGGCTGGGAGAGAGGACAATGACAAGTTATTGAAAATTGGCACAAGGTATCTTTTCGGGATGATAGAAATTTTCTAAAATTGTATTGTGGCAATGGTTGTACAACACCATCAATTTACTGAAAATCATTGAATTGTACACTTATACGGTGGCTGGATTTTATGCTATGTAAAGTGGACCTCAATGAAGGTGATAAAAACAGACTGTTAAAAGCAAAAATAATATAATGATATGTTTTAGGTTTTATGTCACATATACAGGTGAAATATTGGACAAAAAATTGACAAATATTTGACAATTCTCAGGCCTCAGCCTCCCAAGTTGCTGGGATTACAGGCACTCACCACCACACCTGGCTAACTTTTCAATCCAAGGATTGAAAGAGGGTAAAATGGAAGTAGAGTGTTTTAAAATTATTACATTATATGTGAAGGTATAATATTAATTCAAAGTAGAATTTGGTAATTACAGATGTATATTTTAGTTCCTAGAGACACTTCTAAAATAAACAGAGCAAAAATACATAGCTTAAAGGCCAATAATTCAAAAGAAGTAATTCAAAAGAAGGCGGGAAAAGATAAAACAAAGAGCAGATTATTACAAGTAGAAGACAAATATTAAGATGATAGACTTATGCCCAACTTATCAGAAATTACAATTATATTAAATAGTGCTCAACACCCCAGTTAAAAGCAGTGGTTGTCAGAATGTGCAAAAAAAGCAAGACGCGTGATGCGCTGTCCACAGGAAACCTATTTTAAATACAAACATAGATCAGTTAAAAATAAAAGGCTATAAAATTATGAAGTATGCAAACATTAAGCATTAGAAAGCTGGTGTGGCTATATTAAGACCTGACAAAGTAGAATATGAGGCAAGAAATATTAAGCAGGGTGTTTTTAAATGATGAAATTGTCAATTATTAAAAAGATATAATACTCTTGGCCAGGCACGGTGGCTCATGCCTGTAATCCCGTAATCCCAGCAAATCACCTGAGGGCAGGAGCTCAAGACAAGCCTGGCCAACATGGTGAAACCCCGTCTCTACTAAAAATACAAAAATTGTAGCCGAGCGTGGTGGCATGTGCCTGTAATCCCAGCTACTTGGGAGGCTGAGGCACAAGAATGGCTTGAACCTGGGAGGCAGAAGTTGCAGTGAACCGAGATCATGCAACTGCACTCCAGCCTGGGAGACAAAGCGAGACTCTGCCTTAAAAAAATAAATAAATAAGAAGATATAATACTCATAAATGTGTAGATGCTTAGTAACAGAGCTTCAAAATATGTGAACTACAGGAAGAAATAGGGAAAATCATAATTATTGTTGAAAATTTAACACTCCTTCCTCAGCCGTTGAGAGACAAAATACCAGTAAGTTTATAGAAGACTTGAGGAACACAATTACTCAATTTAAGCCAATTGACATTTGTAAAATGCTACACTCTAGAACTGCAAAATACACGTTTTTATTTTCAAGTACACGTGGAACAGTCAGCAAGACAGACTAAGAGCTGGGCCAAAAAATAAGTCTCAAGAAATTTCAAAGCACTATAGTTGAACATTGCTCATAAAGTTGAACATCTACTTACCTTATGACCAATAATTGTTTTAGGTATCCAAGAGAAATGGAAACATGCCCACAGTGAGACAGACATACACAAGAATGTTTATAGCCACATTATTCCCAATTACCCAGAAGTGTGCACAATCCAAATATCCATCAACAAGAAAATGGATAAACAAACTGCGGCATATCTACATGATGGAACAGCACTCGGCAATAACAAGGGATAAACTACTGATACACACAACAAAATGGATAAACTGCAACAACACTAGGCTGAGCAAAAGAAGCCAGACACAAAAGATTGTGTACTGTTTGATTCATTTAAATGAATCTCATGAATAGGCAACACTTAGCTAGAGTGACAGACATTAGAATGGTGCAGTAGTTGCCTGTTGGGGAGGGGAGATGGCAGGAATTGACTGGGAAGGGGTATAAAGGATCCATCTGAAGCGATAAGAATGTTCTAGGTCCTGCTTGGGGTTTGGATTATCTAGTTGGAGATTATATGTATATACCCATACATATATACATACATATAGATTTTTTTTTTTTTGAGACAGAGTTTTGCTCTTGTTGCCCAGGCTGGAGTGCCATGGCATGACCCTGGCTCACTGCAACCTCCGCCTCCCAGGTTCAAGTGATTCTCCTGCCTCAGCCTCCCGAGTAGCTGGGATTACAGGCGGCTGCCACCACATCTGGATAATTTTTTGTATTTTTGATTGAGACATGGTTTCACCATGTTGGCCAGGCTGTCTCGAACTCCTAACCTCAGGTGATCCACCTGCCTTGGCCTCCCAAAATGCTGGGATTACAGGCATGAGCCACCGCACCTAGCCTAGAATTTATACATATATATATATTTACATATACCTCACCTGTCAAAACTCTTCTTACTATATATTTAAGATTTGTATACAATTCTTACTTTATATAATATATGCAATTAAGTGTAAATTTACTGTATGTAAAATGTACATTAATTTTCAAAGAAGAAATATAAAAATAAAACCACTGAGCATTATTAGTGCCAGGCACAGATCCAAAGAGTTAACGTGCATTAACTCATGAAAGCTTTACAAATCTTACAAATGGGGAAACTGATGCACCCCAAGGTTGTGTAACTTGTTTAAGGTCACACAACTCACTCACTCCAATCGACAAGATTTGTGTCTGGCATGCTCACCATTGGATCCCAGTGCTCAAATAACAGTGAAGTGTAGCTTTTGAGATGAACATCTCTGTGAGGCAAGAATCATCCACTCTGTTGTCCAAAAGGAACTGAGGCTCAGAGAGGCTAAGTGACTTCTAGAAAGTGGTAGAGTCAGGATTTGAACTTAAGACCAGCTTCTCAAGCTTCTGGCATTCAGTCACTTATCTGCCTGCTCTTGAGAGAAGGTATGAGCCATGCACAGTCCCTCACACACCGCTGGGTAAGTTGGACTTTTTCCACTGCCCCTTTGGGAGAAGTTCAAATGCTCTGTCCAGAACCTGGTCTGTGTCATCACCACCTCAACCCAGGCAGCCATAGATACCCTGTGGGGTAAGGGTGAGTGATTTCAGTGAATATGGCTAATTTTAGGGCTAGAAAGTTTAGAATTTCCCAATTTCTCACCAATATACTCCTTAGACAAATCTTTCTAAGCACCAACCAAGAGACGGGGCTGGGGATACAGCAATGAACAAAGTAATGGAACTTACGCCCCAGTGTGATGAGGCAGGTGATAAACAAGGGAACAATGAATGTCATCTAATTTCCAATGACGTAATAAAAAATAAGTTATGGAAAGAGAAAGTGGTAGAGAGAGCATTCGGCCTGGTATTTTAGTCCATTTTTCTATTTTAGTCCATTTTCACACTGCTATAAAGATACTACCAGAGACTGGGTAATTTATAAAGGAAAGAGGTTTAATTGACTCACAGTTCCACATGGCTGGGGAGGCCTCAGGAAACTTAACGATCATGGTGGAAGGCAAAGGAGAAGCAAGTACCTTCTTTACAAGGTGGAAGGAGAGAGAGTGAGAGAGAAAGAGAGAAAGAGAATGTGTGCACAGGGGAAACTGCCATGTTTAAATCATCAGATCTCGTGAGAACTCCCTCACTGTCATGAGAACAGCATGGGGGAAATCACCCCCATGATCCAATCACCTCCCACCAGGTCCCTCCCTTGACACATGGGGATTATAATTCAAAATGAGCTTTGGGTGGGGACACAGAGCCAAGACATATCACATGCTTCTCTCAGGAGGTGACAATTGATGGGGTGACCTGCAGGAGGTCAGGGAGTGAGCTGAGCCATGGGGAGATCTGGGAGGCGGTACCGCAGAAGCTGCGGGCACCACTCAGGGAAAGTGTGTGAGACAGGGTGGGGACAGGAGGTGCACACCATGCCCAGCTGGCTGGATGTGTTACTCCTGCAGAAATCGTCCTGGCCAAGTTCACTCAAGGTCTTCAAGACAATGAGGGATAAAGGAAGATGCCACTTCTGGCCAGACCAAAATTAGGTCACAACCTAGGAAGGACTAGGGCCAGGCTTTCTGCAAGGGGAGCAGAGAAACATCCTTCCCTGGTGGCCCTGAACACCTCTGGATAAGAACAGCCCCGGTCTCCCCACTCATGCCCAAGTATGGGGCACTTGGAAAACTCATTCAGACGTGGAGCAGGCATGAAGGTCCCATGCATTCTAGGCACTAGGTCAAGGATCGTGTTCATGACCTCGATAACTCCCCACAGTAATCCGAAGGTAGAAAGTGCTGATCCATTTTCTAGCTGAAAAAAGTGAAATTAAGCTCATTGCTGGAAGGTGACAGAAAAGGAGCTGAAGCCTAAATCTATGTAGAAACCCAGGCTTTTCTCTTCCATGATGCTAAGAAGGCTGAGAGCTTTAGATGCAATGACCTTGGCTGCAAGGTTAGAAGGCCAGAATATCTAAGCCTGCGGTAAAAGTTGCCTCGGTGGATGGATGGGTGGGTGGATGGATGGATGGACAGATGGATAGATGGATAGATGGATGGGTGGCTGGCTGGCTGGCTGGCTGGATAGGTAGTTGGGTGGTTGTGTGGATGAATGGATGGATAATGACAGACATGAATAGGAAAGCAGCTCATTTTCTGTAACCTATATGTATGTTTTCAAGAAACTCATTTCCTTTTTCTGAAATTCAGGGTCTCCATCTAGAAAATTGGAGGGTTGGACTTGAATTTCAAACCATCAGATCTTGTGAGAACTCCCTCATTGTCATGAGAACAGCATGGGGGAAGCTGCCCCCATGAGCCATTCACCTCCCACCCAGATCTCTCCCTCCACACATGGGGATTACAATTCAAGATTAGATTTGGGTGGGGTCACGGAGCCAAACCATATCACATGGCTTCTTTCAATTGATGGGGTGACCTGCAGGAGGTCAGGGAGTGAGCTGAGCCAAGGGGAGATTGTTTTTGTACTATTGTTTTAGTAGTAAAATCCTTTCTTCAAATGCTATCTTATGGGAAAGTTGAGTATGATAAAAGAGGACTTTGTTCTGGATAGGGTCAGGGAAGGAGGTGGGCAGAGTACTAGAAGCTCTGCCCCTGGGCATCATCCAGTGAACTCCCCAAAACCAAGGAAAGCCTTGAACAGAGGTGATCCAAAACACCCCAGTTTCAGAAACGGGGGCAAACATGTTGAAGAGGGGTGGCAGAGAAATGGGGATCTTAGCCCAACTCCTAGCCTTTCCTGCCCACATCATATATCACTGCCTAGGCCAGGCATGTTGGCTCATGTCTGTAATCCTAGCATTTTGGGAGGCTGGAGTGGGAGGATCACTTGAGGCCAGGAGTTCGAGACCAGCCTGGGCAACACAGGTGAGACCCCATCTCTACAAAAAATTAAAAAAAAAATAGCTGGGTGTGGTGGTGCATGTCTATAGTCCTAACTACTCAGGAGACTGAGGTGGAAGGATCACTTAAGCCCAGGAGGTCGAGGTTACAGTGAGCTATGATCACGCCTGGGCAACAGAGCAAGACTCTGTCTCTAAACAAACCAAAAAAAAAAAAAAACCCCAAGAATTTCTGCCTAGTGGTTTAGCAAGGGTGCACTTAGTTAATAGTGGTAGCCCAGGGGACACAGTGATGTCTGCTTTTAGCTCCGCTGAGGATGTCCAGATGGGGAGCTGGGCATTGTCTGCAACCCTGCCACATTGCTCACTCTACCCAGAAAGCTGCAGAGAGGAGTGAGTAACTCTGGCCAACCTCTGCTACCTACTGTGCCCTATTTGTGGACCAGACCACAGGTGGGAGCTGGTCAAAGTGGTCAACCTCACCTATTGGGTGATGAGCTTCTTTGGGATCCCCCAGGAAAGAGGACTACACCAGGGTGGATATTCATTTGGTTTTCCTGAGGATGCAAAGCCTCAGTCAGGGTGGGGAATGCTGAGGGCCACTGTTGCTCGTTGGGGGAGGGGTGCGCGGGGGAGGAAGGGACATCATTTTGTGAGCTGGCCTGGGCCTGGTGCCAGGAGACAGCACTCCTGTTGGGGGCCAGTCCCAGAATATTGGAGAAGGGGCCCACATAGTCAGGAATCTCATGGAACTCTTGGGAGACGGATGTCCTTGTTTCTCTGTTGTAGAATATTCTGTTTGAAGTATAGAGCTGAGCGCTTAGGGACATGGAGGCAGGGAGCCTTGGAGTCGGGGGGAGGGTCCAACTCTGCCTTCACTGATCAAGTGACCTCCATTCAGCAAGTTACCTGTCTCCTCTGAGCCTTAGGGTACAGAGGGGCATGTCTGGGAGTGTCTGGCCTGTGTACACCCTGTTTCCTTAGGATGGAGTCCCAACTGTGCTTAGCACAGCTGAAAGAGCCCCCTGAGCTGCCTCAGTTTACCTCCAGCCTCACCTGGCATCACTCTTCCTCTGTCTCTCCCTAGGGCTTTTGCACATGTGGTTTTATCTGAAACATCCTTCTCCCTTTCCTCTCTGTCTCTTCGTGTGTGTATTCTTCAAGGAAATACTAGCTGCTGTAACAAAACTCCAAACATCCACAGCTTAAGATAATAGAAGTTTATTGATTGTTCTCAGAGCAGTACAAAGTGGGTGTTTGGAAAGAAACAGCAACTCCTCCCCTCTGCCATGCTGTTTTATACACCAGCCCTGTCTGGGGGACTGAGCCCTCACAGTAGGGAGAAGTCAAGGCCTCGCCTAAGGAGTGAGATCATTTCTGGGGCTAGTGATCAAGGCAAGTACATGGCTCCCAGACCAGGAACTGGGAGGCAGGAGCAGAGGCCGTAGGAGCTCTCTTATCTTGCTCAAGATATGAAATACTTAGGAGGCAGTGAGTGCCCAGATGGCAACTCTGTACTGAGAGCAGCCCAGCACTAGCACACAGTAAGTCTAAGAGTGGGGCTGCAGGCTCCCAAAGGGCAGATTGGAAGGGACGGGATCCAGGGCAGAGCTTACTCCATGGGGGCCAGGCTCTACCTTGCAGTGGACAGAGAGTGTGTCTTTCACTGTTGTCTTCCTGAAGGGTTTGATCTCTTTGGATATCCAGTGAGTCTCAGCTATGTCCGAGGAAGAATTTGTGTTCACCCTCGTGCCACAGCCTTAAAGAGGAACAGCAGCTGTTAGTGATAGGAATCAAAATGGGAACAATAATAAAAATAACCACAATCACAATAGTGGCTCAGATACATGGAGCAGGTGCTGTGCACCAGACCGCACTATTTTAAGCTCTTCACCGGATTAACTCCTTTAATTCATGCAAGTACCCTGTGAGGCAGGCGCTATTTCTACCCCCATTTTACAGCTGAGGAAATGGAAGCAGAAAGATTCAGCAAGTTGTCCAAGGCCACCCAGCTAGGAAGTGGCTGGGCTGGGAATTTGCCCCAAACAGCCCCATCACCAAGGGATGGGGGGTAACATAGGCCTGTCTGAGCATCTGGTCTACCACCCGTTGTCCACTAGGAGGAATTCCTCCCATGATAGCCTTGGAAGTTCCAGGGTACGTTTTACTTGTGGAAATGATTTTCTTTTCAGAGATCTGCCTTGCCTCCCTCTTTTTTTATTGTTGAGGTATAATTTATATGTAATAAAATGCACAGATCTTAAAATACAGCCCAATAACTTTTAACAAATGTTCACACTGGCATGACCAACACTCCAAGATAGAGATAGAGAACACTTTTCCATCACTCCCATGCTGCCTACCAATCAATTCCCACCACTAAAAGCTACCACTGTTTCACATTGCCCATTCTTGAACTTGACATAAACAGGATTGCACAGAGCACCTGCTTCCCTCTTTTGCCCCCTCCCTCCTCTCCCCTCTGTCTCAGGCCAGTGTCTCCCTAGTCTCAGCACCTTGGTTCACACTGAGCTGTTAGGGATTGCGTGCACAGATGGCGTGAACCTGCCCCATGCTCCCCATCCCATTCCCAGAGTCCACAGCAGGCATCACTCATTAGTGAAGGTGCTCGTTACCACTGGGCCCATATGTGGCTTCAGACTTCTTAACACTATGAATTGTGGACCAGAGAACCCCTGTCAGTTGACTACAATTGGGATGGGAGTTGAAATTCATTTGCCATCTCAGAATTAAAGTACATATCTATTGCCTCGTGGGATCTGCATTTAAAAACATTTTTATTTTGAAATAAAGACTTGCAAGAAGTTGCAACATTAGCATAGAGAGCTCCCATGTACCCTGCATCCAGCTATATCTTGCACAGCCATAGTATAGTCTCAAAATCAGGAAAATGACATTGGTACAATACTGTCAACTAAACTACAGACCTTATTTGGATTTCACCATTTTTAAAAACATATTTATTAATTTGTCTTCATAACTCTATGAGGGAGGTAATTACATAATCATCACTGCCATTTTACATTTAAGTTTCCATTCTAAGGTTCTTTTTTTTTTTTTTCTTTTTTTTGAGATGGAGTCTTGCTCTGTTGCCCAGGCTGGAGTGCAGTGGCACGATCTCAGCTCACTGCAACCTCCACCTCCTGGGTTCATGTGATTCTTCTGCCTCAGCCTCCCGAGTAGCTGGGACCACAGGGGCCTGCCACCACGCCTGGCTAATTTTTGTAATTTTAGTAGAGATGGGGTTTCACCCTATTGGCCAGGTTGGTCTCGACCTCCTGACCTCATGATCCACCCACCTCAGCCTCCCAAAGTCCTGGGATTACAGGCATGAGCCACCATGCCCAGCTGGATTTCACCATATTTTACATGCTCATTTGGAGAGAGAATATATATTTCTGTGAAGTGTAAGGATGGGCATAAGCAAAGAAACTTCCTTATGCTACCCTCCTCTTCCCCCGATAAATGAGTCTTTCATTGATCTAAGTGCCTCTCCCTCCATCAGTACCATGACGTCTTAATTAATGCAGTTATATAATTATAAAACTGTATTTTAATAGGAGTCCAAGACTTAAGCCAAAAGGAAGAAGCCATGGTAGCAAATTTTTGTGAAACCTGGATTCTATGCTTGACTCTGTGTGACCTTGAACAAGTCACTTCACAATTTTCAGTCTTAACTTTTTTATTAGTAAAGTGAGGATAATAATAATCTTTACGTTGCATAACTGAAAGAAGGATTCCAGGAAATTATAAATAGGAATACTCTTTGACCTATAAAGTGCTATCAAGGTGTTAGGGTTGGTATTTTTGAAGGGGCTCAATGAACAACTCCTCTCTTCCCTAAATTCTGAACCAATTAAGAAATAAGACAAAACTGTTACTATTATTACTGATAAAACTGATAATCGTATTGGAAAATTACCCATCAGATGTAATGTTCACTATTTGGGTAATGGGTACCCTAAAAGCTCAATCCCCACCAATATACAATATACCCATATAACAAATATGTGCATGTACCCCCTGAATCTAAAATAAAATGAAATTTTTTAAAAAAACTGATAATAGAACATGCAGCTTATTCTTTTGAGAACACAGGCTTCCTTATGCTGGACTCTGGAATGAGGTAGAGATCCCCAGCTGGGGGCTCTGGGCACTATCCTGCCCTGGGATGGCTTGGGCTAAGTTCTCAGCAACCGAGATAGAGACATGGATCTCTGAGACAGTAATTGGTGATGGCATTGGCAAGGTTTGTTGATGAATTTGATGTGGATGCTGAAGGAAAGGGAGGAAACTCTAGGAAAATATCAATGTTTGCAGCCTAAGGAATTTGGGAGATGATAGTGTCATTTACAAAGAAGGAAAAAATGGGAGTTTGAACTGGTTACTGGTAAGGGAAAAAAATCACAGAGTGATAGCCCACGACTTCTTTGATA
Organism: Homo sapiens; assembly: GCF_000001405.40. Taxonomy (NCBI): domain Eukaryota; kingdom Metazoa; phylum Chordata; class Mammalia; order Primates; family Hominidae; genus Homo; species Homo sapiens. The sequence continues at coordinate 44,995,155 of NC_000011.10, read as the reverse complement.
GGCCCCAGATGGGCATTGACTCCAATCAGATGGATGCTTAGCCCTGGTCAGCGTCGAAGTCCTGTCTCCATGATATCCAGAAACTTGTGCCTACAGTGTCTATGACCAGGGATGAATGTCAGCTAGAGGGTGGGGCCATGGGAGCACCATCAGTGCCCTCTGAAAGGTCAACCGTCACATGGACTCCACTCTGCCCAGGCCCACGTGGCCCCCTGCCCTCAACCTTCTCAATGCTAGGGCACCTCCAGGACTTACACTGCACCCTAGTGGGCCTGGGGACACAAATAGGACACTGGTCTTTCCCTTCAGGAAAAGACAGCCTGGTGGGAGAAGCTCACCCGCCCTGCAGTTACCTCCTCTCCTAAGAGGCTAAGTGGCTCAAACCTGGGCTTCATGACTCCTCATCTAGTGGTCTTCCTACTCCATCTGCCTCCCCTTCAGAACAATCCCTCTCTTCCCGCACAGCCCATTCTCTAGGGGCTGCCGTCTCTCCCATCGGAGGGGACGGTTGTGATGACAGCCCCAACAGCGACCTGCATGTGGTGCCCACTGTGCTCACAGGACACTGAGCATTTCACTGTGCTCTCTGCTTATTTCCTTGCAAACTGTCCCAAGGTCACCCCAGGGAGCTTTACCCCAGATCACATACAGATTGTGTTTGGGAAAATATTGTTCTCTCCCAGCTGGGAGCCCAGTGCGTGCCAGAAGGCTTAGGGTAGGTGGGGAGGGGAGTGGAAGGGAACTCCCCACTCTGTACTGAACTCAGCCCTGTGGGATAGGGAGTGCATCGTAGGCATGGAAGGACCCATGGAAAAAATACAGTGCAGAACAGCGGCCCTTCCCCTACAGGATAAAGTTTGGACAGCTCTTGCTTGTCTAATCCTGGCTTCAGCAAGTCTGGCCTGTGAGGATGGCCAGGAGGCTGGTCTTCTGAACCACGATCAGAAAGAACAACCACAGTGAACCCACAGAACCACCTGGAAGGTGAGCTGAGGGCAGAGGAAATGAATCCAAGTTCAATACGCAGATGTTCCACCTCCCATCTGCTCAGAGCTTGCCCAGCAAGGACTCAAATTGGGAAATTGTGCCAAGATTTTATCAACCAATAACTGAAAAAATGCAACTGGCTTTTCCTTGGCCCATAAGCCAATTAACAATTTACTTATTTATTATTGTTTTTAGTGAATAAAATAATCATCTGTTGAGAGTTTACCACAGGCACCATGCTAAGTGCCACTTATACTCCGGCTCGTTTAATTCCCTCATCAACTCCAGTACTGTTATAATATCCATTTCGCTGAACAGAACCTAGAGAAGTTACATAGGTTACTTGAGGTCTCACTGCTAGGAGCCGGGGAGGTAAGAATTGAACCAGACCCCTGCAAAACAGGGTTTACACTCTACCGAGCTGAGGCTCCACCATGCCCCACAGGAAGGTCGCATCACTGAATGTCTACGAATAATCCATTGAGTCCTAAGAGCAGGAATTCTCATGCAAAACCCACACAGTTTTAATGACTGTCATTTCATCCTATGTTTTGGTTAGCAAGTTAGGTAAGATCTCTTTATCACTATTTCATTATTATTCTTGTCCCAAATTGTCTTCGCTATTCTTAAGCAAGGACTCTTCCAAATAAACTTCATGCTCCCACTGCTATTTTCCCTGGAATTACGTTATATGTATTAATTCTGTTAGGGAGAATTGACATCTTTACAATTGGGACTTCCTTTCTAGAAACTGAATGTGTCTCTATTTATTCACATATTCTTTCCCCCCTCCTGGAATGAAGTGTTAAAGATTTCTCCTTATAGCACTTGCAACACTTCTTGTTAAGTATATTTCCTAGACTTTTTCAGCTTGTTGCTGCTATTATGAGCGAGATCTTTTTTTAAATAACATCTTGAAATTAAAAATAGTAACTAAATGGGAAAACAATTAATTTTTACCTAGTTCTTCTATCCAGTTATTTTACCAAACTTTCTTACTAGAGCCGCTCATGTTTCCCCAGCAGAGTTTGAATTTTTCAAGGTAGAAAATCGTACCATCAGCAAATTGTTATTATTTTTGCCTGCCTTTTCAATGTTGATCATTCCTATCTGTGTTTTCTCATCCTTGTCACCACCTGGAGTGATGCTTTCATGTGCTGAGGCTGGGTCATGTCATGGTGAGATAAGAGCCTGATACTATTGTAGGTATCTTTTGCATTTCATATTTTGCTAAGTGCTTTCTCATTCCCCATCTCATTTGATCTTTGCAATAGTCACTTAATCAATCAAAAACTGTGTGCTGAACGGCATGACACGTGTGTTTCTAGTCCTCAGGAAATGTGCAGACCAGTGTGAACACAGGAAGTAAACAAGTGCACAATTAATTTGACAAACACAAGCAAACAACACACAGACCAGCAAAAGTGTAAATTACCACCAACCCTATTTTACAGATGAGAAATCAAGGCCCCAGATGGGGAAGTGACATCCACAAGGTCCTGTAACAAGTAGGTGCCAAGGCTGAGGTGCAAACCCTTCTTCGCATCTTGAGGCTGGGGACAGCCTCCTGGCTTGCCCCTACCTGTGAACATGCTTCTTCCTGGCCCCAGAGGGCCAGCTGTCTCCCAAAACAGTGCCAGTTTCCTTGGCAGTGCCCATTCCAGCTGGCTGAGGGCCGAAGATAGATCTCTCTGGCTTTCCTTGACAGCCAGCCAGGGAAGAGAACATTACCATTGGCAGGGCCTCCGTGGAGATCTGCAGCACAGGCTAAAGACCTTGAACCCCACAGCTGTTGCCACTCAGTAGGCACCGCTTGCCTTTGGGTTTGCTGTGTTGCTGGGTCCCACTTTCCTTGAGAAATAAGCTCTGGCCACAGGATGTGACCTAATTCTGGGTCATGTGGCTTAAGGCCCAGCTGAGAACCAAGGCCAATGCCAGACCTTCTAAAGTGGGAATGAGTATGGCCTTTGGAAATGAGGTCACATTTGTCTGTAGATGCCCAGTGGCTCCCATGGTGGCTTGGAATATGGTGGTTGGGGCTAGAGATTTCTATGGCTCTCACTTTCTATGGTTCTCACAAAACCAATCCTAAAGCTCCCAGCCTTGAGCCCTCTTTGACCTGGTCCAGCCATATTTCCTCCATTAGCGGCCTTTGTGTTCAAGGCCAAATGGTGGTATTCCCTACCATTTGGAGGCTCCCTCCAAGCTTGGTGTCAGGCAGACAGATATTCCAGTTTGGGAAACTGCTGGACCTCTCTGAGCCTCATTTTCTCTGTTTGCAAAATGAGAATGCTAATCTACCTGTCTCAGTGAATCATAGGGTCAGAGGATAAAAGAATCACAGTGGCTGATATTCACATAGTACTTGCTAGATGCCAAGTACTGTTTGAAAGGCTTTACAAATACCTAATCCTCACATCAACCCCATTAGGCTGGTGTTCTTATTTCCCATCTGTGAAGAGGGAACCAAGGTACAGGGAAGTGAAGGAACAGGCACAAGGACCTAATCAGTAGTCAAGATGGGACTGGGACTGTGTGGAGGGCAGCCTGGCTCCAGGTCCCTGCTTTTATTTCTTTTCTTTCTTTCTTTTTTTTTTTTTTCACTTGAGACAGAGTCTCACTCTGTCATCCAGGCTGGAGTGTAGTGGCATAATCTCCCATCTCGGCTCACTGCAATCTCCACCTCCCGGGTTCAAGGGATTCTCCTGCCTCAGCCTCCCGAGTAGCTGGGATTGCAGGTGCCCACCAACACGCCCGGCTAATTTTTGTATTTTTAGTAGAGACGGGGTTTTGCCTTGTTGGCTAGGCTGATCTTAAACTCCCGACCTTAAGTGATCTGCCCACCTCGACTTCCCAAAGTGTTGGGAGACTTACAGATGTGAGCCACCATGCCTGTGCCCCTGCTCTTAATCATTGTGTGATAAGTGTGTGTGTGTGTGTTGTGTGACAGCCATGTGTGTGTGTGTGTGCATTGTGTGCCTGTGTGAGACAGAGAGAGAAAGCTCACAGCACTGTGCCGGGCACCAAGTGGTCCAATCACTCAGGGGACATCAAGTTTCCATAAATCTTATCTCTGTCCCTCCCTGACTTGGCACCTTCTGCGTTGTTTTATCAATTTTGTATTCCTAACTTAATCTCCCTATGGTGTGGGGCCTGGGTTTCATCTGCATCTGAATCTCTGGTGCCTGACCCTGAGGCCCAGCCATCCCTCCGGCCCTCAGCATTTCCTCTACATCTGTCTTCAGTGCACCCATCTTGCCAGCTTGCACCATGTCTGTGTCTGAGTCCCTCGCTTGTTTGGGGGTGGCAGCTCAGTGCCCCTCCCAGGCTGTAAGCGCTCTTCCTCTGATTGTGAAGTGCTGGCCTCTCCTCTTCCCTCAGGCCTCAGTTCCAGTGTCACCAGCTCAGAGAGGCTTCCCCTGACCATTCTTCCTAAAACAGCACAGACCACCCCCAGTGCCTGACTCCTCGTGGCTCTGTTTTATCCCTTCATAGAACACGTTGCCCTCTGAGATGATCTCATATATTTGTTTCTGCCTCCCACACAGGTATGTAAGCCCCAGAAGTAACGGGTCCTTGTCCATGCGGTGGTTTAGAGTCAGCTTTGTAAGCTGTAGTGGGCTCACAAATTGCCTGGGATTTTGCTAAAATGTGAATTCTAATTGAATTCCAATTGAGAGGACCAGGGTGGGGCCTGGGAGTCTGCATTTCCGACCAGCACTGGGTGCTGCAGCTCCCCACTCTCTGAGCAGTGAGGCCCCAGCCCTATGAGTCTCAGCCCTACTGGATCCGAAGCACAGGGGGTGGGCCCCGCAGCTGGGGTTTTAACAGACAAATCCTATGAGACCTCTGATCTAGAGCAGTGTTGAGGGCCTCAACCCCCAGAGCCAGGGCTGCCTCAGTGCCAATCCTGAGGCCACTTCACTCCTCTGTGCCACTGTTTCTCTGGCCGTACAATAACGGGGATGATAACCGCCTTCCCCATGGGATCGCTGTGAGGACTGAGCGAGTTAACACATGCCAGCTGTCTACCGCTGCCCTGGCAATTTGTCCAATGAGCGATTAGGATGCCAGCCAGACGCTGTCAACAGGAGGTGATGGGAGTCAGAACCGAAGGTTGTGCCAGGCTGGGCGTCTTCCTGGCTGACGAGAAGCCATGTTTGCACCGACTCCCATACTCCAGCAAGATGACAGTGTTGACCTCAGCACCAGGCTGCTGCCGAGGCAACTGCAGTCAGCTTCACAGCCTTTGCTGAAGGCTGGGCCTCGCAGGAAAGGAGAGGCCCGGGGTTGCCGGCGTTGACCTCTCACCTGGGTCTGCTGCTCCAGGGATGCGGGCTTGAGGGTTACCTGGGAACCAAAGGAGGGCAAGAGCCTGGGTACAGGCACTTCCCCTTCCTGTGTATCATGCTCTTTCCTAGAAGAACTCACTGGGTGCACAGGTCAGCCTGTGAGCTGGGCCTTATCCCATTTTACAGATGAGAAAACCAAGGCTCCGGAGAGCTCCTGGAAGGATCTATCAGCAAAGCTACCTGTCCTTGGATGATGGGAGAAGTGAGGAGGGCTGGTCCTGACCTGGAAAGGAAGTTCAAGACCCCTGCCCTAGAGGTCATCATCCTTCATGCATTGATCTGAGGCTGAGGGAGGTCCCCTAAACAAACTCAGGGTCCCAAAGCTGACTGGTTACTTAGCACTGGGCCTCTGACCTGGGGTCCTGACAATTGGTTGCTGATAAGAATCAGTGCCATGCCCAGTCAGGCAGAAGGTGAGCCAGGTACTAACAGGAGGGTGGCAGGAGAGAGGGCTTTACTGGACACATTGCCTCTGACGATCTCATCCCTGCACCTCCCAGTTCAACCGCAGTGCTCAGAACCCATGCTCCACTCTACTCCTTTACCATCTTCTCATCAGAGTCTTAGCAGCCCTCGGGAAGGTCTGGGAAAAACGAGCCCATGGGGGGAGCCCACTCACAAGCCCACTCCTAGATTGCTTCTCCCCTGGATTTGCACAGGCTGCCCTCACTACCAAGGCTAATAAGCTAATGGCACACAGTGTGCGGGGGGTGGGGAGAGATGGCTACTGTTGATGGAGCCCCTGTGAGAGGCACCAGGCTCAGGGAAATCTGGAAGCATAATCATAACTCACTGTGGGCAAGTTCTTGCTGTTTACAGGGAGCTCCTCCTCCTGCTTCCATTTAATCCTCACTACCTTCCTATAAGTGAGTACTACCATCTCCATTTTGCAGGTGAGGCTCAGAGAGCTGGAGCATTTGCCTAAGGTCACATAGCCAGGAAGCAAAGTTGCCTCTGTAGCTTCTGTCCTTTGCTTGAGATCCCTGCTGCTTAGAGAAGTAGAAATGGGTCTCTGTCTTTAAAGTTGTGGCTGGCTGGCTGGGAAGCTGGAATTTGTATCTAGAATCTGCTTCCTTCCTTCTTTTCCCCTTCCCTTCCTTTCCCTTCCCTTCCCTTCCCTTCCCTTCCCTCCTTCCTTCTTTTTTTCTTCCTTCTTTTCTTATCCATCGTCCATCCATCCATCCAACAAACATGTGCCAGGCATTCTGCTAAAGAACCCTGAGAAAGGCAGTAAAAAGCAGACATAATCCAGCCTCCGTGGAACTTATGGTCTGTGGAGGGGGCAGAAAGAGACAGCCGTGACTCAAATAATGACACGAATAAATAAAAATGGCCACAGTGACAAGTGCTCTCTCAGTGAAAGTGTGTCTGGGACTCAGGTCAGAGAGGGCCCCCTTCCCTGCCAAGCTGAAGTCTGAAGGGTGCATGGGACACAACAGGTGAAGAGAATGGGGAGCTATACCCATGAGGGTGTGGCTGTGCAGAGATGGGGCCACCCATGCCAGCTCTGGGGTCAGGCTGGGACTCAAATCTTGGGGTTGCTGCTGACCAGTTAGGCAACTTTGATAAGCCCATCAAGCTTTTAGCCTCCATTTCCCAAAAACCAGGCTTATAAGAATACCTACTTTATAGGAATGTCATGAAGATTTAATGGGATGAAGTGAGTAAGTCTCAGCGTGGCACCTGGCCCCAGGTAAATACTCTGATCAACATGTGGCCCCTTAGTAAGCGTGGTCAATGAATAAACAAACCCATAAAAGCACTTCGCAGGAAGGTCTGACTGTGGTACAAACTGAGGGTGTGTGTGGAAAGTTCTCTTAGATCACCTAGCAGTGGTTCAACCTCGGCTGCATGTAAAGGCGCCCTCCAAGGTTGGAGATCTGGATACACAGAAAAGACCAAGAAGGGCGCTCCAGACTTGGGGAAGAGGCTGAACCCATTTTTGGAGATTGGGGTGGAGTATGGCATTTGGGAAGCGAGGCATGATGAAGACTGAACTGTGTGGGAAGGTGGCTTCCACAGCAGGCGGCTCCGACACAGGCAGCCAGGGGCAGGGGCTCAGGCGGTTTGAGGGCCGTGAGAGGCCTTTGGTCTGGTTGGACTGGAAACAACCCTGCAGGCGGGTGGGTTTGGAAACTCTCTCATCTGCAGGGCTGCCTCGGTGGAAGGAGCAGGATGGCAGGGGTGTCATCTTCCATGCCAATTCCCAGTGATTGGAGCAGCTCCTAGAGTGCCGTGTTGAGAAGACTCAGGTTGCATCTGAGTGTGATTAGCAACGGGAGCCAAGCGTTTGCAGGCCCAGGGAGTAGCACAATTGCCAGGTACTTCCCATCCTGGCTGGGTGGAGTTGGAGAGGACAGCTAGGGTGGGGAGTAGGGATTTGCTATTGGCTAAATATGTTTGTGTCCCCCCAGATTCCAATGTTGAAGCCCTCGTCCCTAATGCTATGATATTTGGGGGTGGAACCTTTGGGAGGTGATTAGGTCATGAGGGTAGAGTCTCCAGGAATGGGACTAGTGCTGTTATAAGAAAGACAGAAAAGACAGAGAGAGAGAGAGAGAGAGAGAGAGGAAGAGAGAGATCATCCACCCTGTAAGGAGAGGCAGGAAGCAACAATTTGCAAACCAGGAAGAGGGCCCTCACCCAGATGCCAAATCACTGGCATCTTGATCTTGGCCTTCCGAGCCTCCTGAACTGGGAGCAACAAAAGTCTTGTGTTTAAGCCACTCAGTTGGTAGCATTTTGTTATGGAAACCTGAACTAAGCCAGAATCGCTCTTTACTTTGGTGGTGCTTTTCCTTCAAGAAAGAGGACCTTCCCCACACTGCAGCAATTATAAAGCCAGCCATTTCGATAGCAAAGTAGGGTGAGGACAGCTAATGAAGGTATTGGATATTTCAAAATAGTTAGAAGAGAGGACTTGAAATATTCCCAATACATAGAAGTGATAAACACTCGAGATAATGGATACCCCAAATTCCCTGACTTGATCATTACACACTCTATGCCTGTAACAAAATATCACATGCACCCCATAAATATGTACAAATATTATGTAGCAGTTAAAAAAATGTTAAATGAAAGGAAAATAAATACACCCACCAGAAGAAGAGAGCTAGGTCTGTACTGGATAAGGTACAAGGCAGGAAAAAGTATAATTAGAAAAAATAAAGGGGTTGGCAAAGAGATTCCTAAGATGTCTTCTAGTTCTGATATTTGGTGGCGAGGAATTCCCCTAAATGCCTTTGAAAGGGCATGAGATTCCTGTCACTGGAGACATTCAAGGAAAAAAAGCTAGCAGAGCAGTGAACTGGACTGCACAGGGCCCATGTCTTAAAAAACAGCTAGGTGAGAGGACCTCTTGGGGTTCACAGTGCAATGATTCTGCAATTCGGCCAGCAGCTGCCCAGGAGGCTGAGAAATGACTTGCTTCTGAAGCAGGTGCAAGGACCGTGAGGGCTGGGTCTGTGCCTCAGAGGCCCAGAGATCAGAAATTAGGACCCAGAGGCATGAGTGTAGGAATTTTTACTGGACATCAAGTTCACCTGCCTGTCCCAGACAGATAACCTGATAACGACCAAAGTGCCTCTCCTGTTTTCCTTGCTGTACACCAGCTTTTACCTTGGAGTTATTTGGGGCCTGGGATGGTCTCCCTGGAGCCTCTCTTTTGAATGAGAGACTTGTAGATGTATGTCTTCTCTATCCTCTACTGTTCTGACAAACACATCCAGGAACAGCCAGTGCCTTCTGACCAGGGACAGAGGGCAGGAAAGGAAGTGCCATGCTTGGGTTCTGATGGGGTCGTGGTGACCTTCTAGGGTGCTTCTGTTCCACTATGCATTCAGGGAGGCCAGGACCACAGGATAGGCATGGCTGCTCAATGCTGTGTGCATGCTTTGAACCACGGGCTCAGCCCTCCAGCCCCAAGTTCTCCCTGCACTGCATGGAGCAGCGGTGGAGCGGCAGCCTGTGTGCATGGATATAGAGCCATCTCAAGACAGATGCCGCTACCTGCAGGAAAAGGCAAGGGGCCATGCAAAGCTGCTGTTCTCCCATTTGCGTTAAATGTAAATTTCAAATACATGTATGTTTTTACACAGATTATCTCTGGAAGGACATTCCAACAAAAATACCTGTGGTGGATACTCCCTGGGAGCGAGACTAAATTTTCATTCCATTACTTTGTGTATCTTTTGAATTTTGTGCCGTATGCACAAATTAACTTTTCAAAATTAGATCATTTTTAGAGCTCTACTCTGCAGTCAGACTCTGTGGGTTCACATGAATGGCCTTAGCCTCTCTGTACCTCAGTTTCCTCATCTATAAAAAAATAAAGGTGTGTTAGGAGAATGCATGAGGCTGGGCATGGCAGCTTATGCCTGTAATCCCAGCACTGTGGGAGACTGAGGCGGGCGGATCGCCCAAGGTCAGGAGTTCCAGACCAGCCTGACCAACATGGCAAAACCCCATCTCTACCAAAAATACAAAAATTAGCCGGGCATGGTGGTACCCTCCTGTAATCCTAGCTACTCTGGAGGCTGAAGAAGGAGAATTGCTTGAACGCATGGAAGGGGCCCTCAGTTCTTCCCAAGGAACGGGGAGGGCACCAAGGACAATAAGAGAGGGTGTGCTGCGGACTTGATGGATGGGAGAGCATTTGGCAAGGGGAGGGATGCATGTCAGGCGGAGGGCAAAGCTTGGGCAAAGGCTCAGAGTCAGTAAATGGCTGGCGGGGGAAGGGAAAGCTGGGGAGCACACCCATCCTCACACATACACGAGGCACACTGAGCCTTCATCCTTACCTCACCCAGGGTTCAAGAGACAGCCATCCATTAGCACCAATTATACTGAAGCAAATACAAGGACATCAGCACGTCAATAGATGAAACAACGAGGAGATGCTCAAAAACCAACGTCATCTTGTCTGCGAAGTTGCCCCTGACCAATCTATGTAAAATCACAGCATCCCCCTCCTCCAATGCCCTACCCTCCGCCTCTTACCATCCTCTGACCCACTCAATAATTTAGTTGGCCAGGCATGGTGGCTCATGCCTTTAATCCCAGCACTTTGGGAGGCTGAGCTGTGAGGATCACTTGAGCCCGCAAGTTCCAGACTAGCCTGAGCAACATAGTGAAACCTCATCACTATAAATAACTTTTCAAAAATTAGCTAGGTGTGGTGGCCCATGCCTGTAGTCCTAGCTATTTGGGAGGCCAAGGAAGGAGAATCACTTGAGCCTGGGAGATTCAGGCTACAGTGAGCTGTGATCAGGCCACTACACTCCAGCCTGGGCAACATAGTCTCCAAACAAAATGTAGTTATTTGTTTATTGTCTGTTTCAGGTCACCAAAATGAACATCTCATGAGGGTTGGAGTTTTGTCCATTTTATTCTCTGATTTATCCCCAGTACCTAGAACTGTGCTAGAGTTTTAGCATCTATGATAGATGCTAAAATAAGAGTGATCACCATTTATTGGGTAATTACCATGTGGTCATCATTCCTCATGTGTACTTTAATTTTCACAATGCCACCCTACAAGATGGGCATTTAAATTCCCATTTTGTGGAAGAGGAAACTGAGGGTTGAGAGTTATCAATTCAAATGCTGTTCCTTGGGTTCAGCTAAACCTTGAAAAGCACCTGGGTGTGTTTTTGAGTTCTCAGAAGCAAGAAGTGAAATGTTCATGCCCCTGAACAGCTGGGCTGCACTCGCCCCACCCAACTTGACCCTGGGCCTGTGTCCTTCGGGGTTGGGGTGCGGGTGGTTCTCACTTTCATGAGGGCTCCTTCCCTTGCTATCGGCTTCTCCTTTAACAGTGACGAGCAGCAGCCTGCCGGGTTGTGACTCAGGTCCTGGAGCCAGAGGGTTGGATGCCACCTCTTACTATGGACTGTGGGACATAAGTCCCACCTTCCCCACCAGCAACATGGGCGATGAGAGATAAATAAAATAATTGACACCATTTCTGACACATATCAGTAGTTGTATGACTCAGGTCCTGGCAGGAAATACAAAACACATTTGAGGCTTTAACTGAAGATAATTTAATTAAGAAGGTATTTACAGAAGTGCAGCGTATTAATATCCCAGTCCTGCTGTAAAAAATTACCCCAAATTTAGTGGCTTAAAACAACACAAACTTATTTCCTTACAGTTCTGGAAGTCACAAGTCCCAAATGCTAACATCAAGGTGTCAGCAGGGCTGGTTCCTTCTGGAGGCCCCGGGGAGAATTCATCGCTTGCCTCTCCTGGCTTACCTTGGTTCCTGGCCACATAACTGCCACCTCTGCTTCCATCATCAGATCACCTTGGCCCTCCTGCCTCCCTCTTATGAGGACCCTAATTACATCATCAGCCCCCCACTCCTTGGGTAATTCAGTATAATCTCTCCATCTAAAGATCAGTCAGTTAATCACATCTTTTTAAATCTTTTTTTTTTTTTTTTTTTTGAGATGGAGTCTTGCTCTGTCACCCAGGCTGGAGTGCAGTGGCATGATGTCAGCTCACTGCAACCTCCGCCTCCCAGGTTCAAGCGATTCTCCTGCCTCAGCCTCCCAAGTAGCTGGGATTACAGGCGCCCACCCCCACACCCAGCTAATTTTTGTATTTTTTAGTAGAGCCGAGGTTTTGTCATGTTGGCCAGGCTGGTCTCAAAACTCCTGACCTCAAGTGATCCGCCTGCCTCAGCCTCCCATACTTCTGGGATTACAGGTGTGAGCCACTGCACCCGGCTAATTTAATCACATCTGCAAAGTCTCATTTGCTATATAAGGTGGCAGGTTCGCAGATCCCAGGGATTAGGACATGGACAACTTGAGGGCCATGACTGCCTATCACACATGAGAAGGGATGGAGAGGCAGTGGGGGCTTAGCATCACTGGGAAGCTGTGCCCAACCCTAGGCCTGAAAGGGCAAGGATCCGGGAGGAATAAACACCAGTCTCTCCTGCCGGGGCCTTCCATTGGCTGCAGCCATCAGAGGCCAGAAGGCAGAGAGCCCATGGTCCACAGATGCAACTGGGACCTGGAGCAGAGAAAGGAAGGGATGGAGTGGGGAGAGACCGAAAATCAGCAGCACAAGACTTGAGTTGTCTTAGCTCGGACCATTGCTGTGTTGTGGCCTGGGTCTTCTGAAGGGGGTTCAGGGCATGGGGTGGCCTGCCTCTGTCTCGGCCTCCCGCTCCAGGACTAGCAGACCCCTCTCACACCATCCCAGGCAACTGGATGAACAGTCTATTCTCAAGCCAAGCTGCCAGGATTTGGGGCAAAAGAGCTGCTGCGGAAATTCAAAGCAAAACAGCCAGAAGTCTCTTCAAAGTGCACTTCCTTAACAAAGGACTTAGAAGAGGTAGGAAGAAAAAGGCTCTGGACGGCAGGTAGCCAGCTCAGCAGCACCATGACAACCCTGAGAATGGTGAGCTATGTGGGGACTGGCTCTCTGATCTTCCCCAGACCCCCTCGCTGGCCCTTAGACAAACAGGAGGGATGGGGAGCCCAGAACTGAGAATTGAGAGACTGGGGTCCAGTCCTAGCTCTGCCATTGACTCTCTGTGTAACCTTGGGCAAGATATAATCATTCTCTCTGCACCTCAGCTTCCAGGTCGGTGAAATGGGGATAATGTTACAAAGTGACATGGTCAGGTTCTCCAGAAGCAGGGAGCCTTATGCAAGTAATTTATTGTTTGCAGGGGGTGTCTGGGGTGAAACCTATAGGGGTAAAAGAAACAAGAAAGTAAGGGAAGAAGCCAGGCAAAGATGTGGGTCCAGTTGAAGTCTAGTCTCAGCCCCATCCCACAGGGAGCTCTGGAGTAGAGCTGTCCCCTTGAGACAAAGGCAGGGCTGTGTATCCATCTTGGGGGAGGCTGAGGTCCCTGTCCTTTCCCTGCTATGGTTGACTGTGTAGTGGCCCACAAAGGCGTCCACATCCTCATCCCCAGAACCTGTGAATATGTTACCTAACATGGTAGAATGGGCCTTTGCAGCTGTGATTCAGCTAAGGGTCTTCAGATGGGGAGGGTATCCTGTGCTATCAGAACAGGCCCAGTGTTATCACAAGGGGAAGGCCAGAAGATCCAGCAGGAGAGGTAATGCTGCAAGTGAAGGCTGGAGGGATGTGAGGAAGGGGCCCCAAGCCAAGGAATGCAGGCAGCTCCTAGAAACTGAAAAAGGCACGGAAACAGATTCTCCCGAGGCCTTCAGAAAGAGCTCACCCCTGCTGCCATCCTGATTTTTGACCTCTGACCTCCAGAACCATTAAGAGAATGCAATCCATGAATATCAGCTTAATCCACTGAGGGGAGTGGTCATTTGTTTCAGCAGCAACAGAAAACCGATACACCTGCCAAGGCTGAGTGGCCACACGATTTGACCCAGGCCCAAGGGTCCTTGTCCCAGCTCTGTGGGTGCCAGCAGTTACTGACCCTGTTTAATGAGCATCTGCTCTGTGTCAGGCACAGGCGACAGCATCTGTGCTGCACCCAAATCCCCTTGGATGCTGCTTACCAACTCTGAGTGCCCCGCCCCACCCCTGGCTTCTGTGTGCTTTGGCGTCTGATGGCCTTCAGGCTGCTGGAGCCACTTTGACCCTGAGTGCAGAGAACTGGAAGCCAGGGTGGGACGCTTGGCCAGTGGCAGAGGGCCTTGCTTTGAGTCTGACCAACACAGAGGCGTGATCTACATTGTGGGCACCCCTCCCCAGCCTCCTGCATGTACCCTGGCTGGGTGCCTCCCTCGCCCTCACCAGCTCCCCCAGGAGCACACCCTTGATGCATCCCTTGTACAGGAATCCTCATCTCAGACTTTACTCCTGGGGTCTGGCCAGAGCAGCACTGTACCCGGGGCCCTTTCTATCTGGTCCTCACAGTTCCTCCCCGAGGCGGGGAGGGTGACTATTCTTATCTGACAGGAAACTGAGGCTCTGATCAGCTCACAGACCGCAAAGGTTAAGCCAGAATCGGAACCCAGACCCTGGAGAGGATGCTTTTCCTTCCTGAACTTGGATTCTGCAGCCTTCCACACAGCCCCTTCCCCTGGACTCCTCCTGCAGCCCTGGGGAACGGGAATCGTCCTGGTCTGCATTTCCTGCAGCAGGAAGTGGCTGGGTGCAGTGACTTGGGCTCTGGAGGAGAAGGGTCTTTTTGGGACCCCGCCCATCTCACCCCCAGGCCTGGGGGGGATTACTGGGGCCTGAAATGTGGGTGCTGTAGCTGTGGCTCCCTGAGGGAATGAGGATCCCTGAAAACTCCACAGGCTTCATGCTGATTCTTCGATCAAATCTTGGCAAATGACTTATCCCTCCTTTCCCCGCCCCCTGTTTTCTCCTCTGTAACCTGGGGATCATAATCTCCACCTCATATAGCTGTGGCCAGAATGGAGGGAATAACATATGGGAGCGTGATTAGCACGGAGCCTGGCACAATGAGAGCGCTCCTTCCCTGCTCAGTTAATCCCTCCGAGCCTCAGTTTCTTCGTCCATAAAGTGGGGAGAATATCTACCGGGCAGTCATATCTGGAGAAGCTGTAGTTGGCAGGGGTCAGGGGGTCAGGAGTCCTGATCCTGGCTGACCTCTGACTAGCCACTTAACCTCTCTGTGGTCTGTTCCGCCCTCTGATTTGTGAGAGCCACGTGAGTGAGTGCCGTGACGTGCTCAGAATGTGCCCAGCACCTAGCAAATGCCATTGTTGTTGTGTGTGAAGGCCTGGCTATGCGCCCGGCATGCAGCAACGGCTCAGTAAACAATGGCTGTTTATTCGTCAGCATTTCCTGGCCCCTGTAATGAGGAAGCTCACCTCCACCTTCTCACTCAGCCCTGTGTCTTCCATTCCCAAACTCCCAGGGCCCTGTGCTCAGGCTGACTGGCTGCAGTTGCTGTTGTAAGGAGCACGTACCCTCCACGTCCCTCCACCTTTTCATGCCTCCAGCTCTCACCCCAAACATGCCTCTTCCACTCTTCTCTCCCAACTGGGGCCCCCATCCTGTACCTGCTCTTGTTCCACAGCTGCCATCAGCTACTTGGTGATGACTCACACTAGAACTGGGCTGATGCTGCGCAGGTGTGTTCTCCTTCCCCGAGCTCCTTAAGGCACCGGCCCGGCCGTCGTTGAGTGATGGCCAAACCCTGGCACCCCACAGGGGCGCTACCTGTCTCCTCTCCCCAAAGAAGAGTCTGACTTGGCAGCCCCTTCCAGGTGGACAACAAGTTCCCCGTGACGTCCCACAAATGCCTCTCCTGCTCTCCTGGGGTCCCTTTGTGTAGAAGCAGCCGCTCTGTATGTTCGTGTTGGTGCATCCTCACCCAGAGGGGAAAAGCAGCCCGAGTAGCTCAGCCTGATGCCTGTCGGACCGAAAGCAGCAGCCATGGGAGATTTTACCTTTCTTTTTCTGGACCACACAGGCCTGCACTGCAAGGCTCCTTTTGTTTTCTTTCCTAGGGCTCAGGATGGACAAGGTAGCCCAGAGCTGGACCAACTGCCAAGAGGAGTCCCTTCTGCCCTCTGCCCTCTCAACAATAAGACTGGCTCCGCCTCCCTCCCACTGGGCAGTCCCCATTGCTCCAACTGCCTCCTCTGTTGCACCCAGGAACTCATCTGGGCTCCAGCCTGAGGGAGTCAGGCCCATCTCATTCTCCAGGCAGGACTGAAACTGGGCAGGCAAGAATTTGGGTCTGACCCCAGGCTGCCTGCCTTGTTAAATAAGACCAACCTAGAAAACAAACAAAGAGTGAAAACCTCCAAACCCACCTGCTTGGAGCTCAGCCAGTTCAAACAATATTGATGAGTCCTGGCACTGGGCTAGGCCTGAGGCTCAGGGAGGAAGCCACACATTGCCTACCCCTGAGACAATCACAGTCTAGTGGGAAAGACAGACCAGTGGGTTCCAGTACCCAGTGAGGTCCAAGGCACTGCCAAGGATACCAAAGTCCAGGGGACACAGGCCGAGTCCTGCTGGAGATTTTCAAGCCCTCTGCTAAGAGGAGCACACCACACAGCCCATCTCCCTTCCCCTGCATGAACTCCAGCTCACATTTTCTTCTCTAGCTCCTCCTCTGACAGGCAAGCCTTTCTCTTTCTTTCCCTCTCTTCCTCCTTGAAGCAGCTCCCAGCCTCACTTGCTTCAATCTCTCTGCTCGATCTTGCACACCCTACACACACATGCATGCACACTCACACACTTTCTCACACACATACACATACTCTCTCACACACACATTCTCTCTCACATACACACACACTCTCACACACACTCACATACACACACACTGTCACACACACACATTCTCTCTCTCACTTACACACTCACACACTCTCTCACACACATTTTCTCACACACATTCTCACACACACAGTCACACACACATTCTCTCATTCATACCCACAGTCACACACACATTCTCCCTCACATACACACACACTGTCTCTGTCTCACACACACTCACACACACACATTCTCTCTCACATACACACACACTGTCTCTGTCTCACACACTCTCACACGCACACATTCTCTCACATACACACACACTCTCATACACACACACACATTCTCTCTCACATACACACACACTCTCCCCACCCCCAAACATACCCTCTTTCCTCCTCACTCCACATAATATGGAGCGATTTAGTATCACCTTTTCTCACTTAAATGTCCCCTTGGCATGCTCCCCCCACTCTCTGCCATCCCCACTGCCCCCTCTGCCGCCATCAGCCTCCTCCCTACAACCAAGAGACTCAGCTAAGTGTTGTCTCTGAAGGGAATTCCGATGACCACAGTTTTCTCAACCTCATTTCAAATTTTAAAAAGCCTGGCTTTATTAAGGGCTAAACTGCTCAGGAATTTTTAAGCACCAACATAAGACTTTAAAGACATTTCCTGCTAATGAGATTAAGTGAGATAACGTATGTGGCACGTGGCCTTCCTGCACTTCCTGCATGCCTGAGATTGCGCTCTGAGGCTGTTGCTTCAGACCGAGCCTCAGATGGCCAGAGGGTCTCCTTCACTTTGGAAGGAAAGTTTGCAAAGCCTTGCAGTGTGGTGCGACGCTGGCAGCACTGGAGAGAGTGCCAGGAAGGAGTCCTGCAGAAACCTTCGGGCCGGAGTGTGTAAGGGGTGTGTGGGTGCATATGTGTGTGTGCATGTGTGTGATCTGGAGGTGAGGAAAACGAGATGTGTAGGGAGAACTCCAACCACACACTGCCTGGCTCATCCCTCCCTTAGGGTCTCACTCAGCTGCTGTCTCTGGCTGCTACCACCATGCTGGCCTCAGGAGGTCACTGTGATCATCACAGTCCCTTCTGCTTTGGGCTGAACCCTTTTCCCTTAGTTCCCTGCAATAGAATGGAGGTTGGTTGTCATTTCCAAGAGAATTTTGCAGGAAGAACATGATGAAAACCTGATTATATTTATACTCACCTTTGCACTATAGTTATTTCTTAAAGCTCAGTTTCCAGCTCCCAGAGATCCCGTGGAAGTGGCAAAGACATCTACAAGCCTCTGATTCTCTACCCTAAGATAACCACAAAGACACAAGTGTCCACCTGGGCATTCGTCTGGGTGCGCTCTACTGACCAAGGGTCAGCCGCGGTGCCTGGGCATTGAGCAGAGAGGGGAAGGGAACCTCCATATCCTGAACACCTTCTGCCCTGTGCTGGACTGCGATAGGAACTTTATATTCCCATCCGCTAACTCACTCATGCCCCATAACAACCTCATGACACATGGTCCAGCAAGGTCAAGCTGCTTGCCTAAGGTCACAGAGTTGGAAATAAGAACCCCATTCATGGAATGTACTATTGATAAATGCAAGGATTTACAAGGGCTCAAGCTCAATCTAGGCAAGAAGCATGGGGCTTTGGTGGTGACCCAGAGCCTAGCTCTGTGGCAGCTCAGCCCGGCCATGCTTCCTTCTCAGCTGGAGCAGGAATTTTGGTTGCTAGGATCCTGGCGAGCCTCAGCCGGCTACTCCTTTCTCTCCCTCCTCCACCAGCCACTGAGTCCTTGTGCCCCGACCCAGCCCCAGCCGGGGTCTGTGGGTGGGGCAGCACTCCCTTCTGGTTCTTAGTTGCCATGGACCTTACCCTCTGGCAGGACTCCTGCTGTCCTCTCCTGCAGGGTGGATGGCAAAATGGGACCAGCACAGCTCCTGATACAATGAACCCTGGGCTCTAATCCCAGCCCTGCCATGTATAAGCTGTGTGACCTCAAGTATGTGAACTCATCTCTCTGTGCCTGTTTACTCCCTAACATGCAACTAACAGTAGTACTCTACCCTAAGAGCTGTTGTGAGGCTTTCCTCACCTTTTTAAAAGAAAAGAAAAGAAAAAAAAAGAAACACTATATAGCATTTACTTCGTGCCAGACATGACTTTAAGCACTTTATCCCTAATTTCTTCCTCATGACAACCTTATAAGGGAGGAATTGTTGCTATCTTATTTTACAGATAAGGACTCCAAGGCACAGAAAGATTAAATAACTTGCTCAAGGTCACACAGCTAGTAAGAGGCAGAGGCAGGATTCAAACCCAGGCAGGCTGGCTCCAGAGTTCAGGCGCTTAACTTCCTACTTTATAGTGAAATGATAAGTGTGAAGCATTTTAGCATAAAACTCAACAAGGAGAAAATGCTTGGTCAATGGTAGCTATAGTTGCCATGTGACCTCGGCAGGCCATTTTACTTTTTTTTTTTTTTTTTCCGGGCTGAGTCTCCCTGTCCTCTGTAGCCCAGGCTGGAGTGCAGTGGCGCGATCTTGGCTCACTGCAACCCCCGCCCCCCGGGTCCCCATTCAAGCAATTCTCCTGCCTCAGCCTCCCAAGTAGCTGGGATTACAAGGCATGTGCCACCATGCCCAGCTAATTTTTGTACTTTTAGTAGAGACGGGGTTTCACCATGTTGGCCAGGCTGGTCTTAAACTCCTGACCTCGTGATCTACCCACCTTGGCCTCCCAAAATGCTTGGATTACAGGCATGAACCACCGCGCCCGGCAGGTCATTTTACTTCTGTCTCAATTTTTTCATCCCTAAAATGGGACTAGTGATCACTCTGTGCTGGGCTTGGGGTGAGAGTTCATTAGAATAATGGGTGTGAAATGTCTGACACAGATCCTAACACAGAGCAGGGCATAGGCTCTTGGTGGCTCTCCTTTCTAGAAGAGACCTACAGAACGGGGTCGGGACTGGTGGTACCTAGACACATCCACTGAGTCAGCAAAAGCAAGGTGTAAGAACACCACCAGCCTTGAGGGGCCTGGGCAGAGCAACACATGTGTGGTGAGGGCAGCCAGAGATGCAGAGCATGGATGCAGGGCCTCTGACGTGGGAGGTGGCATCTGGGGTCCAGATGCAGGATTGGGAAGAAAGGGGTGAACACTTACGGGGCCATCTAATCCTCACAATGACCCTGAGAAAACAAGAGTCTCAGAGAGGGGACGTGACTTGCCCAAGGCCACGTCTCTAGAAAGGGGTGGCAATGAGGTTTGCCTCCCAGACGCCTCTGTGTTTCCTGTCTCCCTACACTGCCCATCAGCAGGATGAAGGGCCCAGCTATGAGGTCAAGCTGTAGGTTGGGAGTAACTGTTTCTTAAGAAAGTCCAGGCGGGACGCGGTGGCTCACGCCTGTAATCCCAGCACTTTTGGAGGCCGAGGCGGGCAGATCACTTGAGGTCAGGAGTTTGACACCAGCCTGGCCAACATGGTGAAACCCCATCTCTACTAAAAATACAAAATTAGCATGGTGTGGTGGTGGGCGCCTGTAATCCTAGCTACTCGGGAGGCTGAGGCAGGAGAATAGCTCGAACCTGGGAGACGGAGATTGCAGGGAGCCGAGATTGCACCACTGCACTCCAGCCTGGGTGACAAGAGTGAAACTCTGTCTCAAAAAACAAAAAACAAATGAAAAAATTAGCCAGATATAGTGGACACGCACCTGTAGTCTTAGCAACTAGGGAGGCTGAGGCAGGAGAATCACTTGAACCTGGGAGGCGGAGCTTGCAATGAGCCGAGATTGTGCAATTGCACTCCAGCCTGGGCAACAGAGCAAGACTCTGTCTCAAAAAAATAAAAGTCCAGCAAAAGAAAGGCGACAGTCCCTCCTGCAAAAGTGTCCCAACTAGGCAGGTAGTACAGTGGGGCCTCGAGCCGGGGAATGCAGAAGGGCTTGGCTGAGGACAGCAGCAGGCGGGCAGGCAGGCAGGGGTGAACCGGAGGCACGGGTGGCTGGAGGCTGCCTGGAGTCTGGCTCAGCCCTGGGGAAGGGGGTGGTCAGTGCCTCGCCAGAGCATGGAGGGAGGATACCCTGCGATCCAGAGAAGGGCATAGGGTGCTTCCCCCCACCTCTGCCAATCCCCCCAGAAGATTTTCCCCATACACAGTAAAAGGAAAGGCTCTCAAAGCAACCCACTGGGGGACTCACAGCAGGGGTGACAAGAGCGCTTTCTAGGGCAGTTGTGTGCTGTCTTCAGAGGCAGGAAGCCACTTCCTGTGGTCTCAATGGTGCCCTGTGAAAAACCAGGCCCTGGCCCAGCAGCCAAGAGGGCCGGGATAGGTTCACCCAGACCCATTGTCCTATGAGCAGATTTGTTTTTTCCAGAGCAACTCTTCACAGCTTCTCCCCTTCCCTTGGTGACAATGACAGCCAGCAATGGCTAGACAGCCTACTCCCAGCCTGGCCTGAGTCCGGTGGCCCCAGCGTGAGATCACCACAGTGAGGTCTGACCTCAGCATCGCCATGGGGATGCTCGGATGCCACGCTGCCTGTAAAGCACCTTTTTCCCCCAGGAGAGTGGGAGGGGACCATGGCTGATGCTGACTATGTATGATGTGGCCTGCTCCTGGCTGCTGGGGCTGTTTGTCCCCAAACATATGTTGTCAGATCTCAGCTGAATGGGGTGGGCCAGGGGGACTCACTCAGGACCTATGGGCTCTATTGCGTGTCTATGTGTTTGGGGTGTGGCGAGAGGTGTTTATTAGACCTCACGGGGAGCCTCATTTTCTTGCCTCCCTGGGCTCGCCTGGGCTGCTGTTCACTGTGCTCCTAATGGGCCTCGGACTGACATTCACAGCAACCTGGTCTCCATAGCAACCAGCTGTGACATCACAAGGAACCCACGGACCCTGTAGCTGGAGCAGAGGAAGCTTGAATGCCTGTTTGGGGAAGAAAGCCTTTGCTGCCCATCCTTAGGCCTCTCCTGTGATAGGGGAAGAGGACATAGAAACGCTGAGAGAGCCAGGGCCTCCGCTTCTCTGGAGGTTTGAGCGGGATCTACTCAAAATCCTTCCCTCCCTTTCTTTGTCCCCTTTCTCCTCATCCCTCAAAAAATATGTATCTTAGTTTCCTCAACTGTAAAATGGGGATATTAGAAGCCCCTCTTAATTGAGTATTTATTATGTGCCAGGCAC
Organism: Homo sapiens; assembly: GCF_000001405.40. Classification (NCBI taxonomy): domain Eukaryota; kingdom Metazoa; phylum Chordata; class Mammalia; order Primates; family Hominidae; genus Homo; species Homo sapiens. The sequence continues at coordinate 44,973,421 of NC_000011.10, read as the reverse complement.
TATTACAAGCATCTTGCATGAATTTTCTCATTTACTTCATAACAACCCTATAAAGTACTTTCTTCTTAGTATTCCCCCTTCTGTAAGTGGAAGGAAAGGAAGCACAGCAGAAGGATTGGAATCAAGACAGCCTGGCTCCAGAGCCTGTTTTCATAACTACGAGAGAATGCACCAGATTCCTTCTGAACGCCGCCTGCCGCGTGCACGGCTACAACTCTATTTCCAGCCATGCTGTGGCAAGCAGTTCCGGGCGGGCTTCAGCTCCCTTTGCACCACCAGCACCTCGCCTCCTGTCAGCATGAGGCAGTTTTCATTTTCTGCCCAGGGGCTTCCGCAGCGCCCCAACACAAGGTTGGCAGAAGCGGGCTCAGCCGGAGGACTTGTGGAGGGAAGTTGCTTCCACTGAGCCAGCCTCAATCTGGGGTGCACAGGCGCCACCAGGTGAATGCTTCTGCCAGGCCGTCATCTGACCCATAAGGTCCCTCTGTGCACTGCTTGGAAGGTCCTGGCAGGGCTGAGCCCCAGCCACCCACGGCAGTGACCTAATAATGCACCGTTATCTTGGCTCTTCTGCTCTCTCTTGTTTCCCACTCCTGTTCGTCCCTCATTTCTGGTCCCTAGAATGACTTCCAAAATAAACTCCCTGTACACAAGCCTTGGCATCGGGTTCTACTTTGGGGGGATCTTAAGCTAAGAGAGTCGCAGCCCTGAGAACGCCACTACAGGAGGGCATTCTGGAGCTGGGTCACTTGGTGATGTGCAATGAGGGCCCTGTTGTCGTGGGACGTGTGATGGTGGCCACCCTGGTATTACGGTGATTAAGACTGTCCCTGTGCTGGGCTGGGAAGAGGTACAGGTGTTGGTGGGGTGGGGGATCAGATGAAAGCACTAGCATCTAAACAATCCAGGGGCGATGGGCCTTACAGGGATGGTGAGGCTGGCTGGCGGCTAACTGCTCTGGAAGCCTTAAAGGAAGAAAACAGCAGGCTCAGGTTGATCCACTGTTAACTCAGGCCATGCAGTGAAGAACAAAATCCCCATAGTGCTGTTGTAAGACACTCTCTCCTTCTGCAGCCAAAGGGTATCCTGTACTGAATATCAGGCTCGGCATGGAATTGGGGGCAGGAGGGTCACAGGGTTGTGAAGGAGAAGGAGGGCATAGCTTGGCCAGATCTCAGCCAAAGCCAAGAACCCTGCTGGGCAGAGAGTGGGATGCTGAGACCTCAGGTGGGGATAATTGGGCAGATGATTCTGAGAATCTTGGGGGCCCAGACTCCCCTGGAACTTTGAGCACTGAACCCCCATAACTCAGCAAAGCACTCCTTGGCCAGTTGGGCCAGGCCAAGGCTGGGCTTCCTCTAGGGAAAGCTACCATGTCCCCCCATCCCCACCCCATCTCCTGCTTGGCTCAGTCCCCCACTGAGAAACCCCAGTCAGTAATGGGTATTGTCCAAGCAGAATACGAAGTCCCGCGCTTAATTCACATCCAGTGAGATTGGGATTAATTCAGTCTTGAGCAGAAATACAACTTGGGCAACTGGAGAGTAGACCTGGGCTTGGGTTCAGCTAGACCTGGGGACTCCTCCCATTCAGGGCCCAGGCAGAATGCCACCGTGTTGATTTCATGACTTGTTGGGATGCTTAAGGAAGTTCATGGATCCAAAATGCAGTATCGGTGACTGAACAGGTATTTACTGTACACCAGGCACTGTTCAATACAAGACAACAGCTGTAAAACAGCTCTTGTCTGTTTTCGAAGCACTCACATGAGGTAGTGAAGATAAAAGCATCTAAACAGACCATGCTACCAGTAGTAAAGCTGCTTTTGAGATGTGACTAAGTGCCTGGCTTTGTGCTGAACTCGCCGATACACAGTATCATAATATTCTTAAAATGACCCTACAAGGGAGAGATTTTCACCCCCATTTTACCAACGAGAATGGGCAATAGAGCTGGGATTTGAACCCAGCCTTATCTCGCTCTTCCCTCTGCACACAGCCTGCTTATCTTGAGAGAGCGTGACAGCCTCAGCGGAATGGTGTCCAAGACGCAGGGAAGAGAAAGATAGATCCGGCCTGGTGGGACGGTCCAGCAAGGCTTCCCAGAGGGGTGATAAGGCAATTTGTGTATTTCAAAAGCTGAATAAATGTGAACCACGTTGGGTTATGATTAAGCACCTACAGTGAGGGCTCCATCTTGGGATCAAGTTTTTAGAAATTGTTCTAATCAAAGCAAGCACAAGCTCCAGCCACTGCATAATACTTAAAGGTGGCTCCCCAGGTCACAGAGCCCACTTCTTCCCCCAGAACCTTGAGAGACCACCGCTGCTGTGCTCAGCCCTTTCTCTCTCTCAGCCTTTCTGACAAATGAGCCCTGTGGGGTGGGGGGTTTCTCATCAGGGTGTTTTCTTGGACTGGAGGGAGGTAGGGCTGTACTGATTGGACTCTGGAATTTTGAATCAGAGGAAGTCACTCAAGCTGGGTTCAGCAAAAAAGGAGGACTTATTTATGAGGCCCAGGGGTGTCTTCGGCAGGAAGGGCCAGGTCTGAGGAGACTAAAGCATGGACTAAAGCACTTTCCTTCCACTCTGGTCACCTTTACTTGCTATTCCAAGTTAACTCAATTCAACAGATGCTAGGCTTTCACACTGCAGCCAACCTTTAGGTGGGTAAGAGGGCAGGCACCAGGTTCCAGTGCACCTCACTTCCGGCCGCACCCCCGGAACCCAGCATGCTACAGAGCAGTATGGCTACCTCCAGCATCCGTTGAATTGAATTGACTTGGAATAGCAAGTGAAGGTGACCAGAGTGGGAGGAAAGTGCTTAATGTTGCAATTTAAGAAGACGAAGTCCTCCCAGAGGTGTTGCATGTGTGTCTATACATGCGGTTTCTCTCTGGGTAGACCTTTACAAGCCAGTAATGTCGACAAGGGTCACTCTTCCTCATTTCCGGATGAAGAAACCAAATTGCCCAAGCAATTTGGTTTGAAGCAGGTTGCCCAAGGTCACACAGCAAGAGGAGGCTCCGGCTCAGTATTCCTTACTGCACATTCAGAAATCCCAAGAGAAGGGGGTTTGCATCACACCTAGAGATAGGTTTCTAGGTTCTAAAATAAACCATACAATGTTAAGACACTATTTACAGATAGAAGGAAATGCTTTGGAGCCACAGGGGCCTGGGTTTTGAATTCTGCCTTTGTCATTTCCTAGGCGAACTTGGGCAAGCTATTTATCCTGTCTGTAAGGACAATGTAGCTTCAGAGTATTATTGGGATTGGAGGAGTCAGTCAATGCATTTTACCACTGCAGCGAGTAAATGCTCAATCAATGTATGCTCAATCAATGTTAACTATTGTTTATTACAGTCGTAAGTCACCTAACCTCTGAGCCTTAGTATTCTTGGCTACAAAATTGGGGTAATGATACTTCCTGAACAAAGCTGTTGGGAATGAGACAACATGAGATAAAATGAGATAACATGCCCAAGTCCTATCCTGGCACCTGGCTCCCCACATGTTCACTCCTTCCCCCTGCGATGCTCCCTCCTGTCAAATTTACGCTTCTAGCATAAATGACACGCCGGTCTAAGAAAAGCACCACTTGTGAACTTGAACGCTTATAGGCGTGAGCTGAGGAAGCATACAGCGATTTCCCTCTCCCACCTGGTGAGAGAGCCTCCACGGGCTCTAGGGTAAAATGGTCGAGTGCTGTGTGGGTGTTCTTGGTGCTGGAAGGATCCTGCTCTACTCAGTTCCAGGATTCTCTATGGGGCCTGGAGGTGGATTCTCCAGGGGGCCGGTTAGCTACCAGACAAAGGCAGCCAGACCTGGCTGTCAATCTGGGCGGGACAGTTGGGGCACTTCTACAGGGAGATGCTTTCGGCTGGGTTGACCAGAGGTAGAGCAGAATGTGCTGGGATGCAGGGCACGGACAACTTCTGAAGACTGAGCCAGACTTGAGCCTCCTTCCCTCCGTCTTTTTTAAACAAACCACATTTTTTGTTTGTTTGTTTGAGACAGAGTCTCGCTCTGTCACCCAGGCTGGAGTGCAGTGGTGCGATCTCAGCTCACTGGAACCTCCGACTCCTGGGTTCAAGCAATCTTCCTGCCACAGCCTCCTGAGTAGCTGGGATTACAGGTGCCTGCCACCATGCCCAGCTAAATTATTATTATTATTGAGACAGAGTCTTGCTCCGTCACTCAGGCTGGAGTGCTGTGGCACGATCTTGGCTCACTGCAACCTCTGCCTCCCGGGTTCAAGTAATTCTCCTGCCTCAGCCTCCCAAGTAGCTGGGATTACAGCCACGCGCCACCAGGCCCAGCTAATTTTTTTATTTTTATTTTATTTTTATTATTTTTTTATTTTTAGTAGAGATGGGGTTTTGCCCTGTTGGCCAGCCTGGTCTCAAACTCCTGAGCTCAGGCAATTCGCCTGCCTCGGCCTCCAAAAGTGCTGGAATTACAGGTGTCAGCCACTGCACTGGGCCAATTTTTGTATTTTTAGTAGAGACAGGGTTTCATCATGTTGGCCAGGCTGGTCTTGAACTCCTGACCTCAGGTGATCCACCCACTGGTCTTGAACTCTTGGTCTCAAGCAGTTCTCCCATTTCACCCTCCCAAAACGCTGGCACTATAGGAATGAGCCACTATGTCTGGCCATTAAACAAGCCACAAATTAATGAGCACTTATTATGTTCCAGGCACTGTGCCAAGCAGTTTACATGGATTCCAGCCACTACCATCTGCGTAGCCAGCCTTAGGCAAATGCTTAATGTCTCTGAGCCTCAGTCTCCTCACTTGTGAAATGGGCTTCGGGATGGTGTCTACCTCATAGGGCTGTTATGAAAATTAAATGAGCTAATGCATTAGCAGTCATACTAAATGCTAGCTAAATTTTGGTATTATATATAGATATTCATCCATTTAAGCTTCACAACAATCTCCACTTTTTTAAATAAGAAAATAAAAATTTAGAGAGGTTAAATCAGTGGTTCCTAGGTGCTGACCTGACCACATGCAAATGCACATGGAGAGCATGTGAGAAACCAGGGTCTCTGCAGAGGATGATTCCCTGAGTGAGCCTGGCACAGGCCCCAGTAATGCAGGTTTGTCATGCCTGCAGCATCCCAGGTGATTTGGAAGTGGGAAGCCCTGCTGAGTTAGGTGTTTTGGCAAAGGCCCCCCTGCCGGTAGGGACAGAGGTAGGATTTGAATGTTGAGGCAGGACCCTAAATCACCATTATTTACTACGAAGAGCATGCCCCTGGTGGGCCTGCCCTGACCTGCTCTCTGCCACTCCCTAGGGCTGGAGGATTCTGGCCTGGCTCACTCTCTGAGGAGAAGGGCTGGGTGGAGCTCTCTTGAGCAGGGTCACTCAAGCAACCATTTGCAGGCCACCCTGTCCCCATCATGGGTTCCTTTTCCAAAAGCCACCTGAGCCGAGACAGTGGGTACTCATCAGCCCTTGTGGATTGTGGAATGCCTCACCAATGGTCAGAAGCACGTCTCCCCTGGTGGCTCCCCACAGTCGTCCTCCCAGGGCCCATCTCCACCCTCTGGTGCCACTGGGCATGCGGAGAGCCTCTGGCAAGCTGCAGGAGCTGCCAAAGCATTTGGTTATTTTGCTCATTTTATTAATAAATGTGCACCTATGCCAACCACATGGCGACTGCCGCCTAGGAACAAGAGTCGGAACATGCTCTGGGGAGATTTCTGGCTGGATTTTGGTGACAAAGGAAACAGACAGGGATCTATGGGGAGAAGGGAGTCAGGCAGCTGACAGACATTTGCGGGCTTGCAAGGACCTCTGCAGTTTGTGAAGGCCTTTTTGGGAAAAGGAGAGTTGGGTGGAACTGTATGGAAGGGGCTTGGGGCCCTGACCCTTCAGCCAGAGGGACTGTAAACCGCATGGAGCTTGGACACATAGCTTGGCCTGACTGCAGGCAGCTGGACACATCTTTCTCCCAGGGTCTGTTGGCTCGTGGGTTCCTGGTGAGGGCGGAGCTGATGGCAACAGTGCCGTACCTGCAAAGGACTTTGAAAACCCCAAAGCAAAGAGAAAGACCTTCCACCAGAGGGGCTGCTGGCCCAATGCCACGCTCCATGGAGGGAGTTGGCCATCACATGTGCGGTGCTGGGTCTGGGGGCTGTACACACAAAGCTGGCATTATTGGCACCTTTCCGGGATGCTGTACAGAGAAATACCCAGGAGTGACGTGACCCATAAGGACAGGTTGGATGAGTGGGCCTTTGTGTAGAAGAAGCCAGCAGGCAAACCTCATAGGGAGCAAGCCCCAGGCCTCCAGGGCTCCAGACCCCTGTGCAGGCACCAGAATGGACTCCTCCTCCAGCCAGGAAGTGTGTTCTATTCTATTACTGGCCAGAGAATAAATAATCTGAAAGCCTCGCCAGGATCTGCCGTTTACCCTTTAAGGGAATGAACTTCTGTTCATTTGTAAAGGGGGGAAAAAAAAGCCTTCCCAGATGAAAGTCTGGGCTGAGGGAAGAGTGAGCTAGGCAGATGGCATGGATGCCAGCAGGAAGCCCTTACAGCCAGCAGGCCGGGCCCAGGGGCCCTGGCATCCCGCTGGACAGTCAGTGCCTCCCACAGCAGCCCCGGTCCTGGGCTCCTCAAATCTTAGCTCGGGCCTCTCTACTTAGTTTGCTCATGCCCTTAAAACAGCAAAAAATGTCAATCACACATACTCAATCTAGTAATTCATTTATAAATAATAATCATGCATGACTATACCAACATGAACATTGTCAAACATGCACAAAAATACAAATTTAAAAAATAAAACCAAGATAAAATATTTTAAAATTCCTTAATTACTATGGATGATTTCTTTTTTACCACTATTACCTTTATTAACAAAGCAAAAATATACAGTATAGCTAGGTTCATTAGTAATAATAGTGGATATAAATTCTTATTTCAAATTGTCTTCTCATTCATAGTATAAATCTGGGGGCCACCTTCTTGTGGGATCCAACTGGATTGTCACCGTTTTTCCTTCCTCTGTTGGCCAGAGTGGCACCATCAGGAGTGACGTGTCCACGCCACGCCATGCTTTTGATCATCCAACATTTGAGTTAGGTTCAGCATTTTTCACTTTTTTCTTTGTTCCTCCTTTGTCTGGCTTCTTTCTAAGTCATGTATCCATTTGATAAATCTATGAATCTGCATAACTGGTCTCAAATGAGTAGAAAAATTCTTCTAAATGCCAACAGCGAGAGTGAGGGCAGAGTGGCTGGCCTTTCTGTGTGGTCCAGCTCCCATTCTTTCCTCTAGTGACATTTCATATAAAGACCTAATATGGACATCAGCGTCAATCTATAAATACTAGTAATGCTGAATTCTTTTCTCTTTTTTGGATGAAATAGAAATAGAAATAAAAAAATTAATATTCCTTTCTCCTTAAATAAGTCCCTTAAACACCTCCTGCAGTGCCTGCGTGCCCCCGACTTTGGAGACCCTTGTGTCTCTAGAACTCCTCACTGTCCCTCTCCCTTCCAATCCAATCCAACTGCAAACAGAAACCAGCATTAGCTTAGGAAATTGTGAACCTGACCAAATCACTGCCCTTCACTTGCTCCCCATGGCTCATGATAGGTCTTGGGGAAAAGTAAAACTTCTTACCAGCTCTGGCCCCCGCCGCTCCTTCAGCATCACTCGTGGCCCCCCATATGACACATGGCAGGTTCCCTTTCTCATCCTTCAGGTCCCAGCTCCAAGGTCACCCTTCAGAGAAGCTTGGATCGGCCCCTCATCTAAAGAATATTACTCTCCCCCCAGTGACTGTCTCAGGGCTTCCTTTATAACTTTTAAAGTGCCCATCACATGTTGTCACTATGTAAATCTGCTCATGGACTCTGACTACTGTCTCCCCAACTAGGCAATGTGCTTGGAGTTCATCAGAGAGGATCCATGTCTGCTGTTTTCATTGCTATATGCCCAGAGACCAGCATGGTCCCGGGATATTGTAGGTGCTCAATAAATGCATGAATAATGAGATGAACGAATCAGGTCTGAGAGGATCTACAAATGTTTCCTTGGACTGGGCTTGTCACAGCTGGAAGCTGCTAGTTATGGGGAAACTCCCACCTCCCTGGCCTCAGCCCTCCCCAGCCTCCCTCCTCATACCAGGGAGCTGGAAGCCCAGCTTCAAGGAACTCAGAGAAAGCCTGAAGTAGTTTTCCAGGAGTGGAAGAGGCTATTGAGAAAGTGGTGTCCACTTTCTGCCTAGAGGGCTGAGAACTTGGAGTGTCAGGAGGGCCAGGGTCATTCCTAAAGACACCCAGCAAGTCAGGGCACGAGCACTGCCCGGAACGCAGGTGAAGGGCAGAGTCAGGGACACTCTTGGCTAAGTGGACTGAGGAATCTTGAGACATGAGTGGTTGTTGCGATTGGTGGATTCTGTCCCTGGGCTGGGCCTCTGAGAGGGCAGGGGCTGAGGCCCAACTTCTCCCCTTTGGCTACCAAACCTTGTGCAAGACCTCCCCATAGCCTGGCCAGGGAGGCACAGAGGCAGCTCAAAGTCTTTTCCCAGGCAAGAGGCCTAGTAAATGTTGGATCAGTGATTCACACCTGGGTCTCTCCCCAAAAGGGGACGCCCTTGCTCTCCCCCTCCCACATTCCCCTCAAAGCTTCTCCCTTGAGGCCCTTTTGGTTCAGGCCCAGCAGCTGTGAGGCCCTTTGCAGAGCTGATCACCCCGCGATTATCTCCAAAGCTGAGGAGCAGGTGTCTGCAGGCGTGGCTCAGCTCCTACCTCTGAAAGAAAAGGAAATCCGACCCTCTGGGAAACCTTGGAGAGAAAGCAGAAAAAATATCCCCTTTCAAGAGAAGAACTGAAAGGGACCCTTGTTTTACCAGATTCCTTGACAGCCTCTCTGGAGTGAAGCTCTTTTTAATATATTTTTAAAGAAAAATGAAGCTCAGGAGAATGGCTGGGGGAAGCAGCTGTGCGGAACATTTCTAATAGTCTTTCCGTTTGACTCTCAGGTACTGATTCTCTATCATGAAGGCATTGGCCTCAACAATCCCAAGTGGACGGTGCAGGGGTCTCGCATTCTGGTTGCTTAGGTTCGGAAGATGGGTTGGAAGACTTCCTGCAGGAGGTGGGGACTTGCATTGAGGTTTGAAGACTCTGCAGCAGCTAAAGTGGGAGAGCATTTCAGGCCAGAGGAAGAGGGTGGTAGAGACACAGAGGTGGGGAGGCCTGGCCAGGCCTCAGGAGAGGGAGGCAGAGTGGAGGGGAGGGAGGAGGGAAAGGAGGACTGTCAGGAGGGAAGCTGGAGGAGGGACAGGAGGAGCCTCAAATAGGGCATCAGGATGTCTAGGTTCCACTCCCGGCTCTGCCACTGACTTGCGGCGTGATGTGGAGCGAGGGATCTGTGCCTTCCCAGGCCTCAGTTTTCCCATCAGAAAAACTGGTGGGAGGCCAGGTGCTGTGGCTCATGCCTGTAATCCCAGGATTTTGGGAGGCCGAGGCAGGCAGATCATCTGAAGTCAGGAGTTTGAGACCAGCTTAGCCAACATGGTGAAACCCCGTCTCTACTAAAAATATAAAAATTAGCCAGGAGTGGTGGTGGGCACCTGTAATCCCAGCTACTCAGGAGGCTGAGGAAGGAGAATCGCTTGAACCCAGGAGGCGGAGGTTGCAGTGAGCCGAGATCACACCACTACCACACTCCAGCCTGGGCGTCAGAATGAGACTCCATCTCAAAAAAAAAAAAAAAAAGAAAAGAAAAGAAAAAGAGGTTGGGAGTGAGTGATGCCTAGGCTTTCCTTGGGCCTAAAGCTCTGCCGGCCCCTGCCCTCCCACACCAGGTATCCCCACTTCCCTTCTGGCTCCAGTGGAGGCTGCAGGTGCCAGGCAGCTTCCCAGCCTTCCCCCAGCAGCCTGCTGTGGGGACCTGCTAATCCCCCTTAAACTCACTTCTTCCTGGCTGCTGTCACCAAGGGTGCCTTTTGAGGGCTTTCTCACTCAGGAAGAGAGATCTCTGTGACTTATCCAGCGGGAGGGGGGAGGCCCGGCCTATGTCGCCCCCTCACCCACCAGCACCAGCGGCCCTCAGGCCATCTGTTCTTCAGGCTGGGGCCCAACAGAGAGGCCATTCAGTACTGGGCGGTCTGTGTCTGCCCCCCTTCCCCAGCCCAGGCCTGAGCAGATGGCCCACCTGAGTCTCCGGAGCCTTGGGGCCCAGCAGGAAGCTGGGGCGGTGGGGTCCACCCTCCTCTTAGAGAAGTTGTCAGCACCAGACTTCAAGTCCTGGCCCTGCCTCACAGGGCCTCTGTCCTGGGTTGCCCTCTCCACCTCCCACTGGCCAGCCAGCCCCAGCCCAGGCCATTCAGAGAGGTACCACGAAGGCTGCACCTGCAGATGCCACCCAGGTCAGTCCCCTGATTTCATGCAGGAGGCATCAGCCATTTGCCAGAGGTGGCAGCCCATTGGAGGAACCCGAATCTCTGGCTCCTGGTGAGTTCTCTCTGTGATGAGCATCAGATCACTTGAGTAGGGGAGAGAGGAGTGGCTACAAATGCAGATCTCTCAGCTCAAACCCCATGGATTTGGACCCCGGAGGTCTGGAGAGGGGCCTGTGAATCTGCATTTGTAATAAACTTTACAACTGAGTCCCTGAAGTTCTCCTGGGCACTCCCATCCGGCTGTCTCTGTTCATTTCTAGCCTGAATGACAATTAAAGGTCAGTGACATAGGTGGAGCAATAGTAACTATACCCATTTAATAGGTGAGGAAATCAAGGCCCCAAAATGCATACAGTTTCATAAAGTAAATTTGATGCTGTAAATTCATACCAGAGCTAGGCACGGTACCCAGTACTTCAGGCTCCTTAGTTAATGGCTTTTGGACACCAGTCCCCTGGGGAGATCAGGGATGGCCCTTAAACATGCCCCTCCATTCTGCCCCTGCACAGCTACAATATTTAAAGGCCCTAAGTCCTGAAAAGACTATGGTGTCTCCCCTCATCCCCAATGAATTCTAAACAAAAATAACACTAAACTGTAACTGTAAGGAAATCCCATGATGACAACAGTACTTTAATACATTTTTGTAAATAAAATTGTTTAAAAACATTTTTCCTTATCTTATGGGTGGCCCTGCTTCTGTGGTGCCCAATGCAATATCCTGGCTTCCTAGGAGATAGCTCCTTGTCTGCAATGCTCATTCCAGTGTGGAGTCTGGGTGAGGGGCAGGTTGGTCCCTCCCACCCCTGGACATTGTTCCACCTCCTTTAATCCCACCTGGTTTCCTCCCCGTGGAACTGGAATGCACTCACCAGGAGAGCCTAGCATTTCAAAGATGTGCCCTGGCAAGGCAGGCTCTTATTGATGGGGATTTTAAATGTATGCCTCCTGTCTCCTTGACAATCTGGCTTCCATTCCTGTGGGAGCTTCTTCCAGGGAAAGCCCAGGCTCCCTCCCCTCTAGGGAAGGGGCCCCTTTCCAACCCTCCTTAGAGAGGACAGAGACTAGAGGGAAGGGCAGCCCACCCACGGGTGCAGGCCAGAAGCCCCTCTCTCTGCTTAGACCCCTCCATGTTAGATCATGTTGGAGAATAGAGAAGCCAGGAGGGGCTGCAGGGCCAAGAAAGCCCTGCTATGTGTCCCTGAATAAGCCATTGAACCTCTGTGAACTTTACTAAGATATAACAGGACCTATATTCTAATCCTACCTTATAGGATTATTCCAAGAATGAAAGACAATGGTGCACATGCGCATAAGGCATTAGCACAGCGCTGGGCTCACGGTGAGCATTCCACACACTGTACTTACTGTTCCTATGAGCTAGGCTGGTATCATAAGAAAGAGCACTGGAGGCCAGGTGCGGTGGCTGACGCCTGTAATCCCAGCACTTTGGGAGGCCGAGGCGGGCAGATCAGGAGGTCAGGAGTTTGAGACCAGCCTGGCCAACATGGTGAAACCCCGTCTCTACTAAAAATACAAAAATTAGCTGGGTGTGGTGGTGGGCACCTGTAATCCCAGCTACTCGAGAGGCTGAGGCAGGAGAATCACTTGAACCCAGGAGGCAGAGACTGCAGTGAGCTGAGATCATGCCACTGCACTCCAGCCTGGGCAGCAGAGCAAGATTCCGTCTAAAAAAAGAAAGAAAGAAAGAAAGAGCACTGGAGCAGGAGTCAAGGCACCTGCTTTCTAATGTGGGCTCTGCCACTAATTTGGGCTCTGCCACTAATGACTTTGAGCAGTTCCTGAAGCCCTTCAGGCCTCAGTTTCTTCATCTGTAAAATGAGAGCATAGGGCAAGATGAGGTGTCTAGTCTCTTCCAGAGCTGACTTTCCATCACTCCATCACTTCCCATAGCTCTCATTCACCCATTCATCCTTCCCAGCTCAGTTAAACACCACAATCTCTAGAAACCTTTCCCAGAGACCCTCGAAGCTGTGAGTCTCTCAGCACCTGCCAGGCACCACATTTCTCCCATGGGTCCTGTGGTAGAAGAATGTGTCCCGTGGTGATTCCCAAGCCAACTGTGTGGACCACCTTAACCTCTGATTCCCAGCCCCAGGGAAAATCAGGAGATTAACAATCAGTTCCTTTGGGCTGATAATATTCCTTCCATTTTACAGATGGAGACACTGAGGTCCTGGATATTTAAAAAAACAAAAACAAAAACCCATATGACACTCTCAGGGAGCCTGGGAGTCCCAGAGCTTCAGTCCGATTTTCTGCAGTGACTCAGGGCTTAGACAATCATTACAGCAGCGATTACTCCTTAAATTGGTTATTTTTCACTGTTGAAGCTGTTGTGTGGGCCTTTTTTTTTTTTTTTTTTTTTCAGTTTGGATTCACCAGGCTGGGGGAGGGAGAGATTGAATGTGAGGCAAAGCAGAAGGAAGAGAAAGAAAAAGGGGAGGCGGGAAAGCCGGGCAGCAGAGAAAGGCCCAGGAGTCTTTGGGATTTCTCACCATGGGGTGGGGGAGGGGGAGGCTGCCCCGGACCCCTGGGGAGGCAGGAGAGAGGGAAGTAGGAGTGGGGGCAGGGAGACGACAGCAGGTGGTGGGGCATAGTTCCGAGGTTAGCTGCAGCCATGGGCAGTTCTAATCAGCTTCTTAGACTCCTGGGATCAGTGCCTGGGCTAAGGGTGCTGTGTGTGAGGTTGGGGGTGGGACCTTACCACCTCCACTCTCACAGTCTACCCCCAACCATCTCCCCTCCACCTTTTCTCTTCCCACACTGTTCAGATACCTGCCGTGTGCTTGGCACTGTGCTAGGCACAAAGGCATAGCAGGAAACGAGATACAGCCCTGCCCTTGAGTAGCTCACAGCCAGCCCTGGGAACCTGGAACCCAGCCGTCAAATTCACTACAGGGATTGGAGGGAGCTACTGGGGTCAGCTTGCGGGGGTCTATGGGGACCGAGGGATGTGGCCCAACTTCGGCATGAGGCTTGGGGGATGGGCGAATGGGGGAGAGTGGGTAGGGAAAAGCTGCCAGAGGAAACTTTGTTTGTTTTTTGTTTTTTGAGATGGAGTCTCGCTCTGTCGCCCAGACTGGAGTGCAATGGCAAGATCTTGGCTCACTGCAACCTCTGCCTCCCAGGTTCAAGTGATTCTCTCATCTCTGCCTCTCCAGTAGTTGGGACTACAGGCATGTGCCACCATGCCTGGCTAATTTTTGTATTTTTAGTATAGATGGGGTTTCACCATGTTGGTCAGGCTGGTCCAACTCCTGACCTCAAGTGATCCACCCGCCTTGGCCTCCCAAAGTGCTGGGATTACAGGCATGAGCCACCGCGCCTGGCCCGGAAACATTTTAGCTGAGATAAGAGAAGCATGGTGAAGAGCTGGCAGATGAAGACTGGGGTGTGATGGGTAAGAAAGGTCAAGCCGAAGGAACAGCAGGGACAAAGGCAAGGTCCTAACCCGGGACAGAGCCCGGAACAAGAGGGGAGCTAGGAGTAGCAACTGCTCAGATGTCTGTCTCTTGCACTAGATTATGAGCTTCTCTGATTCATAACTGGGGTTGCATTCATCACTCGTTTTGTGGATGTATCTATGTCTGTACGCATGCATTCATTCCTTCATTTGTTTTAGCTGGAATAATCTAAAGCTTATTATGAATCTTGCAGGATGAAGCTGTAGATCTATGATGGCCTGTCCCCTTAGGCTGCCAAGTCCTGCTGCACAGGCTGTGCACTGCACCACTCCATCTGCCATAGGTGTAGCACCCTGCAGCCTTGCTCTACATGGTCATTGATAAGTAGTAATTATTCTCTCCCTCTCTGCATATATAATCCCCATTTTCTGTTGTGTACACTGAGAGAAGGGAGGAGTCCTGCTCGAGTTCTCATGGCCTGGGGGAGACCCACAGGAACTCTCCCTATCTCAGTATCCCCACTGACACTTACTTTCTCAGTAGGCCTAGATAGTTGATCTGAGAGCTTCCGGGTCAGATGCCCTTCCTCACTCCAGGACCATGGAACTGCCAGGCAGAGTGGGCTTCTGTTTACTGCCTTGGGCTGAAAACACATATCAGCGATTGGCAAAACACAGGGAAGTTGCAGCTCAACCTGTTAGACTGGCAAATGTATGCTATGCCCTTCTCTTACTGTAAGGATATAAAACAATCACTTATTTATACTCAGGAACCAGAACACTTGGGTCCTCCTGCCTCCCCCTGCTCAGCCCCACCCTGAACAGAGGGGCTCCCAGAATGCCCTGGGGCCTGTGGCAATGGGGGAGAGAATGGAAGGGGAAAAGGAGAGCTGCCCTGGGACCTTTACGGTGGAGGGCAGAAACATTATTAAGTACCTGCTGCATGCTGACCCTTAACTGTTTTTCTTCTAATTATCAAAATAGTCCTGTGAAAGGGAGTCAGAAACCCAGGGGACAGAAGGAGCACGGTTTGAATCCAGGCTGTGTCTCTTATCAGCTGGAGACTTGGGAGAGTTGCTTATCTTTTTTTTTTTTTTTTTTTGAGAGTTACTTATCTATAAAATGGAGATAATAACAGCAACTACCTCCACAGGGCCAGTGTGCAGAGTTCACGAAGCCACCCACTGCAGGTGCTTGGCACAGTGCCCAGCATATAGTAAGTGTTCAGTAAACACTAACTAGCATCATGAGATTCGGGGTTGCTGTGAGCCCTGTTGTACAATGGAGAAACAGAGGCCCAGGGAGGCTACAGAAGTTGCCAGAGGCCACACACTTAGGAGTTGGCATAGCCAGAGGTGAGTGTGTGGAGTTTTGAAGGGAAGGTCTGAAGACTGTCACTAAGCATTAAATCCGCCTGAGGCTTCAAACCTTCACTTTAAATTCACCCAGTGCTGTGTGCCCAGCCTTGCACTGAGGGGTGAGATGGAGTGGCTGAGTGAAGAAGATGTGTTAGGCTCCTTGGAGCCACCATCCCAGAGCACGTGGCCTGATGGGGACAGACAGAAGATAGTAGTTCCCATGAAGCAGTGTGGCAGATGCTGTCACCAGCTGCTCCCAGAGCTGGAAGAGGTAGCCTCCAAGGCTTCCTAGGATGTGTGGGGGGTGTGAGTGGGGGTCGGGGAGGGCTGGGAAGGACTTCTCAGAGATGCCTGGTAGAGGGCTCAGCGTTTGCAAAGGCCAGGAGGGTTGAAGTACCACAGCATCTGGAGAAACTGTGGCAAAAACCGATCCGTGGTGGTTATAAAGACCCCTTGTGGCATCCAAGGGAAAAAAATGTGGGCTTCGAAGCTGACAAATTTGGGGATTCAAAACCCTGGTACATGAAGCCAGCCCTTTCTGGGCTTCAGTTCTCCATTTTAAAAATGGACTACCTCACAGAGGTTGCCCACAGAAGTCGCGCAAAAAGTTGGTCATTTCTCTCTCTCCCCCATCCCAGGGTGAGAGTGGGGCAAGGATGGGCGGTGGTGAGTGGCGGAGGGGAGGCCCTGGGTCAGCCCTGGGGTCCTCTGGGTCTGCAGATCTGCCTCCGGGGTCAATTCTCCCGGGTGGGCGGAGGTCTGCGCCCTGCCAAACCGGTGTTAACCCGCCCCTTGACCGCTGACCGGTGCGTGGGAGGAGGAGAGCACCAGGTGAAGGGCTGATGACTCTCCAGCAAGTGTTCCCTCCATCCGCCGCCGGCTCGGATCCCCAGAGACCCGGATCGCAGCTTCCCTGCTGGCCGAGCCCCCAGCACCCGCGGCGCGCCCCAGCCCTCTGCTCCTCCTCGGAGCAATTACATAACGACGCCTCTGGTGGGTGGCGGAGAGGCCTTCTTTGTTATTGCGATCCGCCTCGGCAGCGGCCCCGCTGTATTAATAAACCGATCACTCAAAACGCCAGCCTGGGCTTTATGTATGTAGATTTGGGTTGGGGCGCCTCCGAGGGAATTATCCACGCTGCCCGCTCCTCACCCAGGAGGGAAGGAGGTGGAATCCCTTCCCTCCCCTCCCCTCTGGTCTTTCACCCTGCCCTTCAGCTCAGAGTCCCTCGCCCACCCACCTTGCTCAGCAGCCCGGTCCCAGGAGGGCAAACAAGAATATTCCAGAATCAAAAAGTGTGGGTTCCAGGCCCATCTTCACTTCCCTGATGGGTGATAGCTGGCAAATGGAAACTCATTAGCCTTACCTGTAAAATGAGCCGAATAATAGCAAAGTGCCCATTTAAATTAGATAATCTAGGAATCTGCTTTGCAAATTCTAAAGCAATGGTTCTCAATCTTTGGCTTGTATCAGAATCACGTGGGGGGCTGTTGGACGACAGATTGTTGCCCCTGTGACTTCCTTTCCCAGAGTTTCAGTTGTCTGAGGTGGAAATGAGAATTTGTGTTTCTAACATTTTCCTGCCCCCAAGTAGGCTTTGAGACTCATACACTCTAAAGAGATTTATAAACTAGAATCTATTTGTCAGATGTTCCTGTCGGTCCGCAGGTGACTTACTGTCCCCAAACTGTATGGCTTCACTGGGGTGGGGGTGGTCCAGGAGTGGCAGGCCTTACAAGGGATCAGCAATGCCTGCCCTGGCCAGCGGCAGCACCAGAACCACCTGAGCTCTGGGCCAGACTGCCAGGGTTCCAGTCCCACCTCCCTGCTTTCTAGGGTGTGATCTTGGGTAAGTTATGTAACTCAGTGGGCCTCCGTTTTGCCATCTATAAAATGGGACTAGTAATGGTACCAACTTCGTGAGATTTGTTAGGATTAATGACATGTAAGATTCTAGACCAGCGTCTGGTACATAGTACGGGCTCAGAATGCTATTTTTTGAAATAATGATAAAGCCCCTGGGGTTTTATCATTGGACAGGAGGCAAGTGAAGCGGTGGCCATTGGCCTAGCCGGCTGCCCAGGGTCCAAGACTATGATCCCACAGCCCAGAGTGGCTGCTCTGGGCACTCACTGTGAAGAGGTCCTGGGGGTCGCCCAAGATGAGGGTCCAAAATCTGCTACTCACTTCCCTGCATAGCAATTCTTTTCTTGGCCAGGGCTCAGCACTCTGAAAATCTGGACCCAGCCTGAGGTTCTTAAGTCAGCTATGCTGACAAGGGGTACTCCATACTCCATCTGCCCTGAGTTTTGGAAGCCGTCCCTTCAGTACCAGCACAGAGCAACAGTGTCCCAGGCCTGCGATACAAGGTCCACAGACATCTCCCCGACTCTCCCAGCTGGTGGAGGGTGGATTTCTTGCAGATGGCCACATGCACACAGCTCACCGCCATTTCCACATGTCCATTCATTAATTGAGTCAATGAACATTCATTGAGAACTGACTGTGAGCTCCGGACTCACATGTACTATCTCACTTAACCCCCCAGGTACCCTATGCATCATCATGATTTTCTTCTTTCCATTTGGCAGATGAACACGCTGAGGCTCAGAGACACTGAGTTACTTGCCTAAGGCCACAGAGCCGGTTAGAAGAGGACTAGGACCTTGAACCTAAATCCAGGATGGTTCTAGTGGCTAAATCCCACTCTCATACTGCCTCCTTGAGCCCTCCCCCACAGGAAGCAGGAAAGGGCTGGCCATGGTCTTCTGGTCCCCTAGCTGTCATACACTTTCTTTGGGGAGATCTGAGCCTCATTTCTTCCACCCCCATCCTGATCAGTTCTCTCTCCCACAGATAAGAAACTGCTTGACATTTCCTGGTCCTGGTGTAGCAACAGAGGTGGTGGGGATGAGTCACTGGAGGGAAGCAGCTGGCAGTTGTGTGGGGTCGGGGAAGGAGGGCTGGTCAGTGCTCACTCTGGAGGGGTGGGGGCAGGAAGCACTGGGGAGGCCTGCCTGGGAGTTCCTGAGCTCCCAGCTGCTCCTTCCAGTCCCCAAAGCTATGTGTAACAGAGTTCTCCTCACCAGGCAGGTTCACAGAGAACGAAGCTCTGGAGGAAATGAGAGGAAACCAGGAAGGGGAACCAGAAGCAGTTGTGAAAGCCCAGCTCTCTGCCTCAGTCCTTGTGTTGTGGGATGGCGGCTCCTTCTCTCTGGGTTTTGTGCCAGCTTCAATGAACCCTGGCTAGACAACTCTCACCCCAGAGCTCCCTGTTCCAGTTGAGAATGCACCAGCACTCCTGAGGCCCTCTCCCTCCGCTCCTCCCAGGCTGCCGCATAATAACACCAGTGGCACTGATTGATAACTGTCGATGTGCCTGCCCCATGTTAAGGGCTTCACGTGCAGCCTCTCTGCTAAACCTCCAATAACTCCCACCAGGTAGGCCCTGTTATTATCACCATTTTACAGATGAGCAAACTGAGGCCTAGAGAAGTGAAATCACTGGCCCATGGTCCCATAACCAGGACTTGAACCCAGATCTGTCAGGTCCAAAATCCCTGGGCTCAACCACAACAGGTCTCTGACAACATCATGTTCCTCCACACGTGCCCATCAGTGCTGAAACCTTTCCCCTGGCCCCAACCCCAAAGACTAGGCCCAACCCCCGCTCCGCAGGCCTCTCTCCTGCAGTCCCAGGTGATAACAGTAGTCTCACTCCAAGCATCTTTGAAATCCAATTACATCCCCATTCTTCCTCGTCCATAGTGGTTTCTGGCTGCAGACACTGGCAATCCCTGTGCCCACCACACCTTCCTGCAGGGGCACAAACACAGACACACAGGCGCACTCTTAAGTGCTCACTCACACCTGGCCACCAAGGAGGTGTTGCTGCCCCTGCTTGTGGAGGGCGACCAGGGCAGATGGAGCCCCTGCTGCTCCCAGGTTCCTGTGGGAGTCTGGAGGAGTGACCCTCCCACCCCTGCAACAGCCGCTGGCTGCTTCCTGGCTCCATCCCCAACCCCACTCCCATCCCCACCCCCCTGGGGCCTTGAGAGGAACACTTCACCAAGGTAAGAATCACAATAATAATGTCAATAATAGGAATCAGCATTTCCAGTTTGCAAACCTTTTTCATCGAATCACCTCACTTGACTCTCACAAGTTCTATGAGGCAGATATTTTTATATCCGTGCAGGCGAGGGTCGTATAGCTACTTAGGAGCAGAGCCAAGGTCCTAGCCGACTTATCTCACTCTCACCTAGAATAATGATGACTCCTCATTGTTACCGTGCACCAAGCATCTATTCTTGCCTGTCGTTAGGGGCACACTTAATGAATGTCAATGTTACTCCTCACAGCAGCCCAGTGAGGTGAGTTTTTTTTTTATGCCCAGTGTAAAGATCAGGTAACTCAGAAGAGTTGAGGGCAGAATGGCTGCCTAAGGGATGTTTCTGAACTGGACACATCACTTTAGAAAAGTATATAGGGGCCGGGCGCGGTGGCTCACGCCTGTAATCCCCGCACTTTGGGAGGCCGAGGCGGGCGGATCATGAGGTCAGGAGATCGAGACTATCCTGACTAACATGGTGAAACCCCGACTCTACTAAAAATACAAAAAATTAGCCGGGTGTGGTCGTGGGTGCCTGTAGTCCCAGCTACTCGGGAGGCTGAGGCAGGAGAATGGCATGGACCCAGGAGGCGGAGCTTGCAGTGAGCCGAGATCACGCCACTGCACTCCAGCCTGGGCGACAGAACGAGACTCCATCTCAAAATAAATAAATAAGTAAATAAATAAATGAAAAGTATATAGGGAGGAAGACAATAAGAGCCTCTAATGGGTGCTTTCTGGAGAGCGGATGCAGGGGGTTATGGATAGAGCCAGCTGCTTCTCCCCTGGTCCCCCTCCAAGCACTTTGCCTGTTATCTTGAGCGGTTACTGTTGCTGCTGTTGACTATCTGTGCAGTCATCTACAAGGGGGCTGTGAACTCTCCAAGGACAGGGACACTGTCCTGTTCACCCCTGGGGCCCCAGCACATAGCACCTTGCCTGGCATAAGGGTGAGGCACTGTCAGGATGGCCTCGTTCACAAAGGATGGTGGGGCAGCCTTGGCCCAGCCTGAGCTCCCAGCCTCCCCAGCTTCCCCGTTGATAAGGAGACTGAGAGAATACAGACACCCAGAGGGCAAAGGTTATCCACTCCAAATACCACTTAAGGTGGGAATTCTTCCTCTGCTGTCCTCATCAACCCTTCCCTGGATTCTGCTTGCATGCTGCTAGTGACAGGGCACTCATTCATGACAACTAAGGCAGCCTCTTCCATGTTGGAAAACTTGGAGTGATTGTGACAAAGGCCTCCCACTGATGTATGATCAGGCTGGCTGGGATTACAAGCACAGACCCTGCTGCTAGTCTTTAGGGTTACACCAAGCAGAGCACTGGCAGGTGTCCCCAAGTCTGGGAGGACATTGCACATGAATGACGCTGGGGGCCCTCCCTTCAGCAATCCAGAGCCCTGAGTGCCAGAAAGGCAGAAGAGGGAGTGACAAATGAATTCATCAACCCAGCTTGGCCCAGCTCTGTAAAGGCAGTGAGGTGAGACTGAGTTGTTGCAGAAATTACTATAGAGCCTTGAGTCAGATGGCTCCACCCAACACACCTTAAAAATAATCCTCATCTAGAGTCACATACTTTGATTGATTGATTGATTCATTCATTATTGGCTATCACTGTCTAGGTGTTTGGCTGGGGGCAGTGTCAGTGGCACTGGGGCATCAGAGTTTATCTACCTTAGTAATCAGGACAGTTTATATTCACTGAGCACTTACTATGAACCAAGGACTGTTCTGTTTACTTCCTTGCCAAGGGCACAGACTCTCCTGCCCAATCCCAGCTCTGGTGAGGACAGTGGGAGCCTGCATGGCACAGAGTCCATGCACAGTAAACATGAGCAGCTCCTATTAACTCTAAATCTCTACAGCAACCATAGCCGGTTCTTACTATTGGTTGCTCTAGGTGACTTACTTTGTCCAAGGCCACACAGGCACTAAAAGGCAGAGTCAGGATTTGAACCTAGGTGATCTGGTTCCAGAGCCTGCTCTATTAACCGTTAAGGAACTGGTGCAGACAGAACCGAGACCTGGAGTCAGAATGCCCACCTAGCTAGATGCCTGAGGCAGCCACTCACCTCTTTCTGTCTTATTTACTTGTGAAATGGAGCATGTCATCAGCCTTGCCTTCCTTTTCCCGCAGCCCCCCACCCCGGTTCCTGGCCCACTGTGACCATCAGATCAGATGAAAGAGATCCAGGCATTTCTCTAAGGAGAGCACAGGGTGGTGGGGGTTGGGGTGGGAGAGAGCACATTATTTTCCCACCATAAGGGGTTGAAGGAGCCCAGAATTTGGGGGTGGGGCCTTGTCTGTAGGAGCCTGGTTCTCTCAGGTTGACACGCCACCAGAGAGCCTCCATGACCCCCAACCCTCATCCTCACCCCAGCCCCCCATAGGATGTGTAGAGACAAAAGGTTTGACAACTGTAGCGCCAACAAGCGTCCTAGAGCCCCAGATAAGATCCTAGCCTCCTGACAGCGCAACTGACAGCAGCATCTCTGAGGCTGGATTTTAGGGTGGAGTATGAAGAAGGTGGCCGTAGTGACAGTGGGGTCATGTTATTTGGCCAAGTCACACCAAGCAGGGAGAGAGAAGGGTGGGCCTAGGCTGGAAGCCTGAAGGCTGAGTGAACTCAAACTTTAACGACCATGGCCTGTAAAATGGGACTAAGCACAGCGCCCTTATGGGTTGCTGTGAAAATCAAATGAGTTAATACTTGTAACTCCTTTAGCATATGGTGTCTGGCATCAGAGAGTGCGCAGCAAACGGTGACTATTGTCGTGACTGTGTTATTACACACTTGGGTATCACCGCCAGCCAAAGCAGTCCCTTCCATTTCAGGCACCGGCCTGGGCCCGGGAGACACCGCAAGGCTATTTAAGATGGTGTGGTTTGCCCATCTACGTTGATCGTCCCAAGAAAGGGGCACCGTCTGCAGAACTTGCCAGGAAAGTCATCCTGGGCGGCGCGGGCCACGCCAGGGTCTCCCCGCGCGGCTTCCTCCCCCGGCGCCTTCTCTCGGGCGCGCGTGCGCCCCCTGCAGGCGGCCCCCGGGAGAGCCTCGCGGGGGAGCCGGGAGCCTGGTTTCCCCGCCAACCCCCATCCCGCCCGCCCCGGCGGCCACCCTGGGGGCGAGGCAGCCCGGCGCGTGGGAGGGGACGGCGCGCCATTGGCTTGTGCGCGGAACCGAGAGGAGGGACCAGCGCGGGCCGCCAGACTCGGTAAGCCCCGGCCGCGCAGGGCGCCGCGCGCAGTCCAGCCGGCCCGGCCCTGCCCTGCCCTGCCCTGTCCTGCCCTGCCCTGCCCTGCCCTGCCCTGCACTGCCCGGCCCGGCACGGGCGGCGCGATGTGAGGCGTCCGAGCCCGGAGCCTCCGCCTGGCATCAGCTCCACGTAGCCCAGCGCCGGCACGCGCGAGGCCCGTAAGTTCTGCTCCCCGCCGCCGCTTCCGAGCCGCGGACTTTCCCCTCCCGCCGCCCGCCGCCTGCGCAGCGCAACCCAGCGGGGCTCCTGCGGCCGACGGGACCGCAGAGGGGCGGCCGGGACCCCGCGCGCGCTAACCGGGCGCCCCGGGACATCTCGGCACCCGCTGAGCCCGCTGGGACCCCAGGGGGTCGCCTCCCCAGCTCCCCAAGGCGCCGTCCCGCAGCCCCTTCCGTCTCCCCTGCGCGCTCTCCCCTCGCCGCCCCTCCCTCTGACTCGGTTTCCCCTCTCCCCCGGCTCCGCGGTCGCCCTCCTCCTGGACTGCTTATTTCGTCCTCGGCCACTGCCTCTCGGGCTCGAGCTTTCTGCTTCAGAGCAGGAGAGAAACGGAGCGAAAGCAGTTTCTGTCTCCCCGGGGTCTGACTCGGTCCCCCGCGCTCGGTTCTCTGTCCCCTCCCCCTCCCGCCATTGTTCCCGGCAGGAGGAGTGCGCGGCGCAAACTTGCGAGTTCCCCCAGTCTTTGCCCCCGCAGGGCCGCGGACGGAGGTGGTGGCGGAGTTCCCGCTGCCCACAAGTCTGGCCCGACCTTCTGGGGTGGGGGCCTGGGGGCAGGGGCCCTGGGCCGGAGAACCCGGGGCCGCCTAACGGCTCGGAGCTCACCGCCGGGGGACACCGGCGCTGAGGCCTGGGTCTCAGAAAGTGGGTGAGTGTCTGGAGCGGGGACATCAGGGACAGATTGCAGGGGGAGGGGCGAGGCTGAGAGAGTCCCCCGTCCCCAGGCTGGAAAGGGGCGGGCAGAAACCCAGGCCGCGCCTTAGCCCAGTTAGGGGGTGGGTAGGGGACGCACAGGTGGAGACGCCCCCCACTCTCCCCAAAGTCGCGCGATCTGCAGGAAGGGTACAGTGTGGGGCCACTGGCCGGGCGCTGGGTGGGTTAGGGCCCCTGCCGTGGGCAGAACACTCGCACCTACCCGGGGGAGGCTGTGTGGAGGAAGGGCCAGAACGCCGCGCCCACCCCGGCGCGCCCCGCTGGGCGGGGCGGGGCGGGGCGCTCGCCTTGGGTCCCCTCGCTCTACCTTCCTTCGCCCTGACCCAGTCTCGGGCTTCCGCCTCTTCCTGGAGCCCGGGGGGAGTGGGTTTCTCCGCCGGAGAGATGGAGGCTGGGGCAAGAGCAGCGCGGAGGCCAAGAACCCCCAGGCTCCTCCAAAGCCCAGAGCGGCTGGCCAAGGCCCCCTCACCGCCCCACTACCCTGCACTTCCTGATTGGTTTCTTTCAAACAAACTTCTTGACGGGGCGGGCCTGCGGGGAGAAGTCACCGGGGCTGCCCACCCCAACTATGTGGTCCCTTGGACCTCCACCCCTGACGGCCTGTGGAGAGGGGACCAGGATCTGCGGCCCGCAGATCCCAGGGACGCGGGGGTCGTTTTGTTGCAGAGCCAGGAGGGGGCACTGTCCGCTCCTTAGCCTCAGCCCCAGACTTCGAGAAAGGAGAGAAAAGATTTTTCTTGTTGGGTTGTTAGGAAATAAGACTATTCTCCAGGCTTCTGTTGTCCCATCTGTAAAATGGGTCGTCTTGTTCCTGAGGCCCCCTCTGTCCCCACCATCCCAGGAGGCCCCTGCCATGGCCGCTTCTTTCCCAGTCACATGTCGTCAACTTCCTCCGTGCTTCCAAATTTGGAGTGGAGGGCTAAGGCCGAAAGCCCCTTCACCCATGTCCAGCTGTCATGACCTGCCAGTTCTAGGACTGCGACCTATTTTCTGCACAGCTCTGCCTCCAGGCCCCTTGTGGCTTCTCCAGCTCACACCCAGCCTCCCAATTTCTTTTGATAGCCCCACCTCTGTGGGAAGAAGGGCCTGCCCCTCTTGGGGTATGGGGGAGGAGGGGGCTGGATTTAACAGGAATGCCCCATAGTCACACAGTTTGGGGCTGTTCTTTACTTTTGCTTATTGAACAAAATGTTTGTGAGCATTACACCAAAAATGGCTTATGGAGCAAAGTGCCAGGGACAGTTTCAGGCACTGGGGAGACAGCTGTGGACAAAATAAAAATTTTTGTCCTCATGGAGCTGATGCTTAAAAGCAGGGGGCAGGGGGAGGCAATTCCCTAATAAAAACAATAAGCAAATTATATAGTGTACTGAGAGGTGAAGGGGAAAAGTTGTGTTGGGGGTATTGAGGCCAGGGACCGGGTTGTCATTTTAAATAGGGTGTCAGGGAGGTCTCCCTGAGGAGGTAACTTTTGAGCTACAGCCTTGAGGGAGATGAGGGAGTGAGCTGTGTAGACAGCTAGAGCACAGCCCATGCAAAGGCCCTGAGGCTGGAATGTGCCTACCCTGCAGCTAGCAGGGAGTGAGGGGCTGAGGAAGAGTGAGTGACTGAGAAGGGATGAATTCCTCCCCTTTCACAGGTGAGGGAAGTGAGGCTCAGAGACAGTATGTCAGTCACCCCAGGACACACAGGCCAGGAGAGGCAGCTGCAGGGCGGGGTGCCTGATGTTCTGACTCCTGGTCCACGATACCTCCCCGGCACCCTGTGTCTCACTGTTTATCCTGCTACACTGGCTGGACCCCTCCCAGGGCCAGCGCAGCATCGTCCTCCTGCCCCAAAGTGACCCTTGCTCTCTCTCATCCCACTTCCTTCCTATGACCAGTCCCTTCTGAGCACCCAACTCTGACCTGGCACATGATCCCTAGAAGGGGACCTGCTCTGAGGCAGATTTGGTCAAGGGGGCAACTGAGGCAAGGAAGTAGAGTCTTCTAGTCTAAAAATAATGAGCAGCATTATTATTGAACATTAACTACAAAACAGGCGCTGTTCTGGATTTTTTTGGTGCATCTTCTCACTGGTGAGAGGTTGGTGTCATTATTACACCCCATTTAACAGATGAGGAAACTGAGGCCCAGGGAGGCAGAGTCACTGGCCCAAAGGCATACAGCTCATCAGTGGTAGAGCCAGGATGGAGCACAAGCCTTTTAAGTCATGAGCTAGTCCTTTAACCACTAAGCCAGCACCCCAGGATTGGGGAGACACTCAGTCCTGGACTATGGTTGTGGCCCATCTTATCCTGCGAAAAGGGCAGGGACCCTTCCACCTGCCTCCCCCAACTCACCCAGAAGACAAATCACCGCTTGCTTTTGAAGAAACGGGCTCAAAATGTGGAGCATCCCTTCGAGGAAGCTCCTGTCCTTTCCTCTCCCTTCCTCTCCCACCCTCTTCTCCCCTCTAAGTTCCTGAACAGCCACGGGGTGGGGGAGGGGCATGGGGAGAGTGGGGTGCAGGTCGGAGAGGGAGGTGCCTGCTGCATTCTCACCAGACCCCTAGCCCGATAGGATCTGGAAGTCAGGCTGTCCTGATGACGACACCAGCTGCCCTTGAGGGCCCTGACATGGTCACTGGGCCAAGGGGCAGGCTGGCCTATTCTCAGAGTCGAAAAGGACAGGAATTCTTCATGTTCTGCCCATGTGAATGACCGTCGAGACAGGAAAAACCTCCCAGTGACTTCTGAGCGGTGATGGAGGCCATCAGAGGGCCTGATCCCCTTGCCCACAGCAGCAGCTTCAGACCCCCGGGGGAGGAGCCCAGGAATGCCTCCTTCTTGCCACCTGCTCTGCCCTGACCTCTCGCCCTCTTCAGCACAGTAAGGAATGTTCATATTTGTCCCTAAAGCTTTGGAAATGTTTCTGATGAAAGGTTGGGCTTTCCTCTGCCTTTCTGGAAATTGGGCCCCTTCAAAAAGAAAGAGTAGGAAGATAGGACCTGTGTGCCAGTCCAGGCTGAGGGGTGGCGGGTCTTGGGGATGAGGCAGCTTGAGCTGGGGCCCAGCAGGGACCTGGAGTGTGGCCGCTGTGAGGCAGGGCTGGGAGGGGCCCTAGAGACCACATTCTCATTTTCTTAGACAAAGAAACTGAGCCCCAAAGACAGGGCCTGGCTTACCAGTGATGGCAGAATCTGCCTGTGACCTCAGCTGTCCTGTCTCCGAGCCCAGTGACTCAGGACACACTGCCACCTTCCAGCTCCAGGACAAACCTTCCACTACCAGATCTCAGGGCACATGTTCCTGGAGGTTCTTGGAAATGGGGCGTGGAACCTTTCTCAACTGCAGAGCTGTGTCATGGAGACGGGGGTTGCCACTGCCACGGGACTCGCATCCTGCGCCTGCCTCTCCCGGCCAGTTCCGCTCTGTCCTCACTCTTTGCAGCAGCCTGGACACTGAGCCCAGTGGTGATGCTGAGATGATGAGGAAGACGGATGCTGCAGCTCCGCCCTCCACTGGCTCAGGATCTGCTTGAGAGACAAGACTGACTAAGGCAGCCCCAGCCTTTGGAATAATGATGCTCTCGAGGGATGGCCTGATAGCAAGCCAGCTGGAGCCAGCCAAGGCCCATCCACCGGGTAGCCTCGCCTCAGCTTCCTCCTTAGCTGTGGGCCTCCGATGAAACCTGCACCCCAGAGGCCGCTGTGAGGATGTCAGTAGTGCAGCCGCTTTCATAAAGCCTCTTTTGTGTCCCATGACTTCTAGATTATCTCTCTAGCCCCCGGACAGCCTTGTGACTCAGGGACCACCGCCCCATTTACGGTGGAAGGAAGGGAGGCTCCTTCAAAGAGGAGTTTGTCTGCCCAAAGGCACGAGCCTAGTAGTGCAGAGCCAAGATCTGAACACAAGTCCCTTAGTCCCTAAGCCTCTCCAGTACAGCCATTGACAAGTGGATTCACTGCCTGATGGCCCAGGCAATAGATTCTGGGCTAGGGGATCTCTAGACTCCATCCTGCCCAAGGGGCCGACGGCAGCCCTGGGAGGGACCGCAGCTGGAGCGGATGACGCAAGCTCTGGACCTTCTATTCCGTCCCGCCCTCCAGGGAGCAGAGATTCTTTCTCCTGCCTCCCCTTCTCTCTGGCCGGGGGCCTGAGGCTCTGGCTCTCACTGCCAGCACCCCGCCCCCCAACTCTGTGTTGCCCTGTCCCAGACCCCATTTCCAGCTATTTTGTACTAAAGCGATAACAGAACAATGGGTCTCCCTGCATCCCTCCCCAAGTCCTGCTGGAGTCGCAGGGCCTTAACCCAAGGGAGGCTGGACCCCAGAGAGGAGTCCAGATGCTGGCGACCACCAGGGACTTTCCGGGGGAGTTGCCATGGGGAAGATGGGTTAGAGCTCAGTTCACGTCCACCAAACGCCCCCCCACCCCCACCACCGCACACATTGCACACACACATCAGCTTCTCTTAGGATGTCCAGTTAAAGAACAGTTACCTTGGCTTGAATTCCAGCTCTGCCACTTACCTCAAGGGACACTCGAATAAGTCACATGAGCCTTCGTTTTCTCATGTGTAAGATGGGGGTGATAATATGGCCATTCTCATAGGGTTGTGGTGGGGATAGCAGGGGATTCATGGTCTTGAAGTACTTGCCCCGCTCCTCCCAGCCCCGGGGTAGGTGGCCCTGGGGGCAGTCTTCCTTATGAGGGGTGGAGGAACAGGTGTGCTGCCTGCCCCTATCACAGAAGCTCTTGTTTGGAAAGGCAGTGGCTCCTTGGCTGAGGTGTGCAGCAGC
Organism: Homo sapiens; assembly: GCF_000001405.40. Taxonomy (NCBI): domain Eukaryota; kingdom Metazoa; phylum Chordata; class Mammalia; order Primates; family Hominidae; genus Homo; species Homo sapiens. The sequence continues at coordinate 44,945,125 of NC_000011.10, read as the reverse complement.
AGTGACTCCCCCTTGACTCACAGGGAGGCTTGGCCACTGATGGATGTTCTGGGCCCCTTCCTCTTCCCTCCCTCATCTTCCCCACTCCCCCAGCCAGTCAGGTTTCCTAAGCCAGCCCTCACGGGCATAGTCTTCATGCTGGGGACAGCTCGGCAGTCCATCTGTTTCTATAGAAACCAGGCTTCCTGGGAAAGAGACAGGGGGTTGGGGAAGTCCTCCAGGATCTGCATGGGAATGACGCCTCAGTCCCATCTGATCTGGCCAGGGCAGAGCCTGGGCAGCCACCTTATTCATGTTATTAATTGCTGTCCTTTACAGAGTACACACCAGAGGCCAGGCTCCTCAGCTGCACTTTCTTATCATCACACATCACAAACCTGTGGGCTTTGTACAGAAGTAGTAGTCTGGTTTCACAGATGAGGACATAGAGGCTCAGAGAGGTTAAGTAACTTTCCTGAGGTCACAGAGCAATAAAGAGGAGCAGGGATTTGAGCCCAAGTTTTCCCAATCGTTACAAATATGCTTACCACCTCCCTGTCTGTCATCCTCTTCTGACTCTTGTATCCCCAAAAAGCCCCTCTCTTCCTGGCTGGTTTAGTCTTGGGGACTTTGCTTGTTCCCGCCTCGCCCCTGGGAAGCATGTGGAGGTGCTCTTCCCTGGCCTCAGATTCCACAGCAGATGGGGAGGTGGGAGGGACTGCAGGGAGTCAGATCTTGGCTGAAGAGGGCCTCTTAGCTCCTCCCGACTCATTCATTCAATCACAAATGCCTGTTGAACTCCTCCTGTGCCCGGAGTTGTCCCAGGCTCAGAGAACAAGACCCAAAGAAATCCTTGCCCTGGGGCACTCCCCTGCGAGTGATGCCACAGCTTTCTGAGGAGGTGGGGCAATGTCAGAGGCCAGTGTTCTCATCCAGTCCTCTAACCTTCACGGCTGTCCAGACCCCCCACTGCCAGGTCCTCTGCCAAGAGCATTTGCACCCCATCTCCTGGAGTCTTCAGCACCCCATGAGTAAGGCAAGTAAGGCGCTGTGGTGTGATCCCCATTGTATTGAGGGCTGAGACTGCTCGCTTAAGGCCACCTGACCAACAGAGAGTGGCCACTTTTGAACCCAGTTCTGCCTAATTGGAAAGCCCTTTCCTGCCCTATGCCACCAGCTTCCATGTGGCCTGGGGCACAGCCTCCCCTCAGCCCGCCACGTCTAACCTGTGGGCTTCTGAGTGTGCTGGTTGGGCTTAGCCTGACAGCTGCTCATTCCACCTGTGTTGACAAAGTGCCTGCTGTGCACCCCAGCCTCACGGGGAGATACACGGAGGAGCACAGTACAAGCCATACCTTCAGACTGGTTGGTCTTGGGGAGTCAAACTGCCGTGAAATGACCAGGAGTAGAGGCTATAAGTGGCCAGTGGCTGCAGACACTGAGACCCGTGAGAGTCCAGAGGAGGATGAGGACCCAGTGCCCTGGGAGGGCCCTGGGAAGAGGGGCTGTGTGCAAGATAGCCTGGAGGAACAAGGAGCATGGTGGGGGGACAGAGTGTCCCAGGGACCTTCTCACTTGTGTAAAGGGTCAGCAATGAGAACCACTGTTGAAAGGTTTGCTGGCTGATCGGGAATGTGGGCGAGAGCAGCTGGCAGGGCAGAAGGGAAAGGTTCAGGATCCCAGGCCTGGGCCCTAGGAGCCATGTCCTCCCTTCTTGCCAGACAGGTGATGTGGGTGGAGGAGTGGCTGTCCTTGCTGCCCCTGCCCCCAGCCTCCTGCAGCCTGGCTCCTGGGGGAAACCCCCGGGGGCCCTTCAGAAGGCAGTGGGGCAGAGCAGGAAGCTTCACAGCACTGATGGCAGGCTTTTTCCACTGTGCACGGCTGAGTGGAGAAAGGGAAGTGGAAGGAGGGCCAGACTCCTCCCTGGGCAGGGCACTTTCCCCATGGGTGCCCACGTGCACTCCTTCTTTCTCTCTCCACCAGCACGTCTGCGAGGTGAGCGTTCTCACTACCCCCATTTCACAAGAGGGGAAACTGAGGCTAGGAGAGGTGTAGTGACTTGCACAAAGCCATGCAGCTGGCAAGAGGGCAGAGCCAAGACTCAAACCCAGGTCCCCTGCCCCCAAAGCCGGGGTTTGGCCATAGTGCACGGTGGAGTCTTCTGTCCTCACTTAGGCCTGAAATAAACACCTGGAGTGGCCCTGAAGGGGAGGAAAGGTCAAGGGGAGACCTCAGGGGTGTGTGCAGCTTGCCTCGCCAGTGGGGCAGGTGAGGGGCTGCTGGGTGGATCTGATCATTGCAGGGCCCAGTCCTGGGGGTGAAGTAGGGGTGGAGCGCCGTTCTCAGAGCAGTTATCTGTGCTGGAAGGTGGGTGTGGGGCCCTCCTCCCTGGAGGTCAAGATTCCATTTTCTCTGTGGGGCCACATGGGCCCTTTGTGAGTGATGCCCTCCCTGCTAGGGTGGGCTTGGGAGGTGGGCACAGTGGTTCCCACCAGCTCAGATGTCTGATGGCAGTGCCCGTGGATGAAGATTGTCCCACCCATGAGTAATTCTGTCCAGGACACTGTAGTGCCCACTCTTCCCAGCCCCAGCAGGTGGGCACTGACACGTCCCACAGCCGTTGATTTGCAGCAGCTGTTGTTGACTCCGTCCTGGGATGCAGAGGGGAATGCTCTGTGTGTGTATGTGTGTGTGTGTGTGTGTGTGTGTGTGTGTGTATGGTGTGTGTGTGTGGTGTGTGTGTGGTGTTTGTGGTTTGTGTGGTGTGTGTGTATGGTTGTGTGTGGTGTGTTGTGGGGGTGTGTGTGTGTGGTGTCTATGGTGTGTAATGTGTGGTGTGGGTGTGGTGTGTGGTATGTGGTGTGTGTGATGTGTGTGGTGGGTGTGTGTAGTGTGTGGGTGTGTGTGGTGTGTGGTAGGTGTGTGGTGGGTGTGTGTGCGTGGTGGGTATGTGTGGTGTGTGTGTGTTTTGTGTGTGCATTGTGTATGGTGGGTGTGTGTGATGTATGTGTGGTGGGTTTGTGTGGCGTGTGTGTGCACGTATTGTGTGGTGTGTGTAGTTTGTATGGTGTGTGTGTGGTATGTGTGTGGTGTGTGTGGTGTGTATGTGTGTGGTGTGTGGTGTGTGTGTGGCGTGAGTATGGTGTGTATATGTGGTGTGTGTGTGTGTGTACTGTGTGTGCAGTGTGCGTGTGTGTGCATGTGTTGGTGGAGAGGGGTCAGCAGGCAGAGGAAAGCAATGCATCCAATGCCTGGAAGCTTCTGCCCCTCGGAGGTGGGCCGTGGACACAGCCTGGGCCTGGTGGGCAGTGGCTGAGCGCCAGCCTTGTGCCCGGGGACTGAGATCTGGGGCTTTGCCCAGTGGGGCGGAGAAGTTAAGAAGTGTTAGTTAGATCCATTTCCTACTCCTCCATGGCCTCCATCCTGGTGCCACTGCCACATGGGAGGCCTGGGGAGGGTGGCAGTGTCTGTGTCTGATAATTGCCTGTCTTCACTGGGGACTTGCTGTGGGCCAGGCACTTCCCCATGGCTTCATGGAGATTACAGCTTTTATTCTCACAGTATCTCTATAAGATAGGACACCTTATTTTCCCAACTACACCTGGGAAGACTGAGGCACGTAGAGGTTAAGTGACTGACCTGCCCACGGGCACACAGCCAGGCAGTGATGGATCTGGGATTCAAATCCAGGGAGCGTCCTCAGCAGTTAAGCACTTACCCATTAGGCCTTCTGGCTTGAGCAGTGAGCTGGCTCTTTCTAAAGCACTGTCTGTCCATTATTTTGTTTCTCCTGAGACCAGCTGTAGGGGAAAAGTGAGGTTGGCTGTTTTCGTTTCACAGATGAGGACCCCGGAGCTCAGAGAGGAAAAGTAACTTGCTCTAATCAGTGGCTAGCAGATCAGCGCCCCCTCCCCCGGCCAAGGCTGGGAGCTCTTTCAGGATAGGGGGCCTGTCCCACCACCCATGTACCTTGCTCACAGTAGACCTCACTAAGTGCGGATTCCTCAGGCAAATGTGCAGGTGTTTTGCTGAGTGCTCTGAGCTTTTCTTTTTGCCCCGGGCTCCCTAGGAAGTGGGAATGATGGCTCCATTTCACAGATGAGGAAACCGAGACTCAGAGCACAAGGCCACACAGCAGGAAGAGGTAAGGCAGGACTGAGGGAGGCAGCACGTCTGGCCTGGGAGAGGGGTTAACCAGCCAGGAGGAGCTCGTAGAAGGGCTGAAATAAAGACCGACCTTACCGAGTGTTGGTGAGGATGTGGAGGAACTGGAACACTACTGCATTGCCAGGGACACGCAGTGGCATGGCTGCTCTGGGAAACAGTTTGATGCTTTCTCTGAAAGTCCAACAGGGATGTACCACACAGCTCAGCAATTCCACCCCTGGCATTTACATAGAGAAATGAAAACTTACGGTCCCACAGAAACGCGGGTTTGTAGCAGCTCTATTCATAATCATCAACAACTGGAAACAACCCACATGGCCTTCAGTGACCGAATGGATAAACAAGCTGTTACACGTACCCCAGGGAATACTGCTCTCCAATAAAAAGGAGCGGACTCTTGATACACACAGTGACTTGGAGGAATCTCAAAGGCATTCTGCTCAATGACAGGAGCCAGCCTCAAAAGGTTCTACGCTTTATCATTCCACTTACATGGCATATTTGAAAACACAAAAGCCATAGTGTCAGAGAATAGATCAGTGGTTGCCAGGGTGGAGGTGTGAGGGGAGGGAGTGGCCAGCGCCAGGGAGTTTTTGGGGTGATGGAACTGCTCGTTGTCTTGATCTGGAGCTGGTGGCTACAAAAATCTATACGTGTGCTAACATTCAAATAACTGCACAACTGAAGCCCGTCAATTTTGCTGTATGTATTAAAAGATAAAAGGCCATGGGGAGGCTGGAAGAGGAAGGGCGTGGGCCAGGCAACATCCTTGGCTGAGGAACAGGTGAAGGACCCGGTTCTCACCAGTGGCTTAGTGACTTTCAGGGCAGCCTCGCCTGGCCACGGGAGGGACGTGGCTAATTGTAGCTTCTATCTGGGTTCACCAGAAGGCAGTGGCTAGCAGCTGAGGTGTCAGGACGGCGTCCTGGGCCCTCCAGGAGCCGGGTGATGAAAGGTTAGGCCCTGGCTTCCCTGGCAGGGTAGGGTTGGCCTCCTGTCCTGATGGCTGGCACACACCGAAGCATTAACCGGGAGTCTCTTGTGTGCCGGGTGTGGGACTGCCGTCACAGTTACCACCCGCCGCTGTCTCCTTTCACCATGGGGCCTGTGTGTGGGGAGGAGAAAGGCGTATCCACTCCTTTTTGTGGATGAGGAACTAAAGCCAGGGGGCGTAGGAGGGTAGTTTGGCCTGGAAATGACATCACACTCACTAAAGACCGCCAATAGCAACTTTTGCAGTTTTTTTTCCCAATGCGACATGGTATACTGCCTCCCTAGTTGATCCGGTCTACAGCCACATTATTCACAGACCCCACAGTTTGAAACTGTGTTCTGATATTTGTTCGGGTGCTTTATTTTAAGACACCAGGAGGCTCAAAAATGGGAGGTGACCCGGGGACATCCCCGCACTCTGCCTCTGGCAGCCCTGGCTGGGGCAGGAGGGTGAGATTTGCCTGGGGCCACAGGGCACTGAGACAGCAGGGTCCCCTGCTAGAGGGCCCAGTGGCTTCTGACCCTGTCTGTAGATGGGGATGGCTTTTCTGCCTTGCCAGAGGGTGGGTGCAAGTGGGAATGAGATTCTGGAAGTGGTCCGAGGTAGGAAGTGGCACGACCGTTATTCACCTTGGTTGGCATTGAAACCCCGGGAGCTTGGTTTCCTCATTTGCAGCGTGGCCGTCAATAGCGCCCATCTTGCAGGGCAGCTGTGATTAGAGAAGCCAGGGCCACCCCGGAGCCAGCCTCTGAGGCTTCACCTCACCCCGTTTACACTGCTGTCTCCTCTGCATAGATTTGGCTGACTGAGGACGCGACAGGTACTCAGCTTCTTTCTGCATCTCAGTTGCCCAGCACAGGGGCTGGCACGCAGTAGGTGCTCCCAACCTGGTCCAAGATGTTGCTGGCGGTGGGGGAGTGGGGGGCTGGGGAGGATCATGGGCAGACCTGGGGTGCCGGGAGGGGCTGGTGGGGGGCTGATGGCCGGGAGGGCAAGGCCTGAGCAGGGAATCTAGACCACCTTAGTGTCCCCGTCAACACCCCTGGCAGCCTTCTCTGGCTCTGCTGGGTATGAGGGCACCCCCTCCCCTTCTTTGGTCTTGGCAGGTTTGAAGGGGGGTGGCAGGGAGACGGGAGAGGGGCTCACCGGCTTGCAGGATTGGGCAGAAGTTTGGTGGGGGCCCAAACCCCAGAACTCAGAAGCCCCTGCCCCAGGCTTGGACAGACCCTCCCCTTTTCTAAACCTCATTTGCCCCATGAATCCAGGCTCCTTTCCTCCCCATCCCCCCAGGAAGCTTGGATGTGGCCGCCATCCAGACCCAAATGCCCTCTCCTGGGCCCTATGCCTCCAGGGCTGGCTCTAAGGCACCATGCAACCTGTCAGATGGGGTGTGCTGTGTCCACCTACAGCAGACCAGCTCCCAGAGCCTCAGGGGCCTGGAGAGCATTTCCTCAACCCATTTGACAAGGAAGCCAGCTGTACTCCCCCTACTGCCCTGGGCTCGTGGGGAGGCCTCAGCAGGCCTGGTGTGGGGTGTGGCCTTCCGCTAGTCAGGCCCCTTCCCCTAGGGTCTGGAAGCTGGGTAGGAACTGTGGCCTGAGGCCGGTGTCTCCCCTCAGCCCTTCTGCAGAGGCCGGGCTGGAGGAGAAGATGGCGGCCAAGCAGCCCCCGCCTCTGATGAAGAAGCACAGCCAGACGGACCTCGTGAGCCGCCTGAAGACCCGCAAGATCCTCGGCGTGGGCGGGGAGGATGACGACGGGGAGGTGCATCGCTCCAAGGTGGGGTGCAGAGCAGGGGCCTCCGGCACCCACTGGGGAGGCCAGGCTGACCCACCATTAGGGGAGAAGGTTAGCCCAGGCCCAGGTAGCCGCAGGAGTTCTAGGACTTAGCTGATTTTCCTAGAAATGTAACAGCAATGCCAGGGGAATAACGAGATCATTAGAATTAAGTGCCTATTACGTGCCCGGTTTTCCAGCAGTTGCTTTTTAAATCTTCTTGTTGGCACTAGAAGATGCAGATACTGTAAAATCATTCACCCATTTTATAGATGAGGAAACAAAGGCTCAGAGAGGTTAGGCAACTTGCCCAAGGCCACACCGGTAAGTGGCAGGACCAGGCTTCAAGTCTGCATTTGGCAGAGCCCTGAGCTTTCATACGTCACCATCATATTTTCAGCTTCTTTTAAATCCTAGTGTCAAGGGGAAGCAGGAGAGGGGGTGGCCTCATGTGACCCTCCCCACCTGGGGGAACCTTTGGCCAAGCTGAGGTGCCCAGGCTGGTCCCTGGGTGTGCAGGGCTCTGGGAGGATGAGCGAGTGGGGGCGCTGAGAGCTGCCCTCACCCTGGTTGCCTCTGACCCCCTCTGTCCACAGATCAGCCAGGTCTTAGGCAATGAAATCAAGTTTACCATTCGGGAGCCTTTGGGGCTCAGGTGAGCATTTACCTGACTTTTTGGGGGAGGGGAAGGCCTGCGGCGGTGGGGCAGAATGCATAAGACCTCACCTCATTTGGCCTGGTCCCTGGATTTTATTTTGTCTCATTACCTTCCCCAAAGCTGCCATCCCTGGGGATCTGGGCTGGAGAGGGGAGGGTCCCCTGGGGCAGGGCTGTGATCTTCTTTCCACGCCTCCCAGGGTCTGGCAGTTCGTCTCTGCTGTGCTCTTCTCCGGCATTGCCATCATGGTGAGCCCCCACCCCCAGCCCCTGAGATCTGGCCCCGTGTGGCTCCCTCAGCCCTTCTCTGGCTCACCAGAGGTGCCTCCTCCATCCTGGCCCCTCGTGCAGGGGCCCATCTGTCAGGCTCTGGGGCTGCCTCCGAGAACCTGACTCCTACACTGCCACGCCTGTGCCTTCTCCAGGAGCACACTAGATCCCATGGTTTGTGGCCTGACTCCTTCTCCCAGGAACCCTGGAGTTTTCTGTCCTGGCATGGGGGCGGGTGGGGACAATTGGGTCCAGACCCTGGACTGCCCCCAAGGATGCTGATCCTGCTCCTGGCGGGGAAGGAAGACGTCTGTGGGAAGCATCAGCTGTCACCCCCCACCCTCTCCCAAGCGGGACCTCTGAGCCCCTCTCGCTGCCCGCAGGCGCTTGCCTTCCCTGACCAGCTCTATGATGCGGTCTTTGATGGAGCCCAGGTGACCAGCAAGACCCCCATCCGCCTCTACGGCGGTGCCCTCCTCAGTGAGTACTGCTGGGGCGGGCCCTGGGGGAGGCGACGGGCAGCTGGGAGACCCAGCGGGGCTGAGGAGAGCACGGGGGTCCGTGCCCGGGCACCCCTTCCTTTCTTCGGCCAGATGCTGCGCCCACACCCCGGCCTCTGATGAAGCTCTCTGCTGGGGATGTGCTGCCATCTTGTGGCCATTGGTGGAATACACCCAGTGGGTTGGAGCTTGCAGTCGCCACCATCTGCAAGGAGCGCTCATAAGTGTGTGCACTGCCTCTGGGCGTTGTGGTACAGAGATGGAGGAAGCCCAGGCCCAGCCTCTAGGAATTCACAGCCTAGAGGAGAGGCAGATCAATTCAGTGTCTGCAAAACCCCTCGCACCCCCCCTATTTTATCCCCAGAGCCACTTCTGTTTGAACCACTTCTGTTTCCTCTCTAACCTGAGATGCACACGTTAGGATTTGGAATTACAATTTTTAAAGCTCAGCATAGGTAATATGCCTCTATTTCTACGAAATATTCTATGGCTCCCTATTGCCTACAGAATAAAGGCTGAGCTCCTCTGGAGTTAGGGTTGCTGGAATAAAATAAATGCACACCCAGTGGCATGTCTGGTACCAGCAGACACTGGGTGGGCGGGGCCTGCTAGAGGCCAAGTCAGTGGTCTTCTGCTAAAAAGTATGGTTCATCCCCCTCCCCCAGGGGACTTCCTTAAAGCGAGTCCTTACCGGGCTCAGGTTTTCTGTCTGGGAGTCCGTGTAAAAGAAAACCCAATCATAGGACCAGGTAACCCATTAACTCATGAACTCCATGAACACAGCATCCTCCTGACAGAACCGGACATGGGCAGGGGCCAGGGGCTCAGTCCTCCCCCTTTATAAAGAGATCGAGTCTCAATGCGGGGAAGTGACTCGCCCAGTGTCACATAGGGCCTTGGAATGACAGGAGCAGGCTGAAGCAGCAGCATTGAGTCTGGAGGGGACAGGATCGGGGACAGACAGCTTTGATTTGAGAAATGTGAATAGGGGCGGAGGCGTGGAGTCCAGGACCCCAGCTGTCTTGCAGCAGTGGCCAGAGGAAGCAGGAGCAGTCCTCCTGCCCTGCTGGGAGGGAGTCAGCTGTCCCACCCCCAGCCCCCTTTTCATCCCCCGCCCCAGGCATCTCCCTGATCATGTGGAACGCTCTCTACACGGCTGAGAAGGTCATCATTCGATGGACCCTGCTCACCGAAGCTTGCTATTTCGGGGTCCAGTTCTTGGGTGAGTCCTGAGGTGGGCAGTGAGGGAGGCTGATGGGCCGCTTCGCCCCTGACCTGCCTGCTCTAGCCACCTGGGTGTGTGGGAAGTGATGAAAACCTGTCTGTGGGGGGCTAGGGAGGGGATAGAGGGATAAGGACTCACCTGGCTGTGTTTACTTGTGTGCCTGCACACCTGTGCACACATGCCTAACACACGTGCCTGTAGCTTCCCAAATCCACACACTTGTATCTATGGCCTTGCACACACATGTACCTGCGGCCCCCCCACACCCACTGCCCACTGTACCCAGCACGTGTGTAATAACACGCATTCAATTTTGCCCACCTGCTGTGCCCCAGTTCCTGCCACATGGGAGACATCAGAGCAGAAACATCTGTGGGGTTGGCAGGGGCAGGGGGCAGGTCCTGTGCTTCCCACCTGGGAGGATCCTGGGCTCAGAGCAAAGTCAGGGAGACGGCCACACCAGCGCTCCGGGCTAGGGGGGCAGCGCTGGGACACATCCCCTCCTCTGACCCTGTGGCCTTGCTGGACTCTCTCCCACAGTGGTCACTGCCACGCTAGCTGAGACGGGCCTCATGTCCCTGGGGATCCTGCTGCTCCTGGTCAGCCGCCTCCTTTTTGTCGTCATCAGCATTTACTACTATTACCAAGTCGGCCGAAGACCCAAGAAGGCCTAGTTGCCCGCTGGGCCTGGGGCCCTGCCCATGCCTGGGCCAGAGTGGCGCTGGGGCCTCGGCTTCCCTTTGGCTCCTGGAAGGCAGGAGGGTCCCCTGCCCTGCCCCAGTCCTGCCCCAGGGAGGCAGGGGGTGGGGGGCCTTCCTTTCCTCCTGGGCACCCCGTGTGCTGTGATCTCCTGGGCTTTCAGGCTTGACATGCTGGTCTGGGGAGAGACAGGGCCTCTGCTGCCCTGTTCTTCACCCTCACAGTGATACCTCCTTTCCTTGGGTCTCTTGGCCTCCAGACCCCCTCAATAGACACTGACTAAAGTCAGGCTGGAGTCATGAGGGTAGTGGGCTAAGTCGAGGGTCCAGCCTCTTCTGCCAGGAAGCCCTTCTTGCTTTTGAGAGAGGCTGTGACCACCCCCCATCCTTCTCCCTACACTCCCAGCCAACCTAGTGCCCAAGCAGCTAAACTTGGCTTCCTTCTAATCCTGGAAAACCCTGTACCCCTCCTCCTCAATCTGGCCCTCTCCACATGCACACCCTGAAAACACACACAGACACACAACACACACACATACACACCCCTGAACACACACACAGACACACATACACCCATGATGTGAGCAAACACACACACGTGCGCCTTCATAGCCCAGCCAAGGGCATGCAGGCAGGGTGTGCTGCCTGAGATGGCACCTCCCTTTCAGCCATTCTTCAAGAATGGGCCACACACAGCTAGAAGTCCTCTCCCAGCTAGAAGTCCTGTCCCCACTCTCCTGGCCTGACAAGATGAGCTCTCCTGGGACCTTGCTCTAGGGCACTCTGCCTCTACCCTAGGACACTGGAATGCCCTGGGAGCCCCCTCCCTGCAACCAGCCTGAGTTCAGCCCCACGGACAAAGGGACACACAGCCCCCAATGGAGACCATTGTAAGTGGTGGGGCTGGGAGAGGAGGAACAGAAGGAAAGCCATAGCGCTCTCTTGCCCCTTGGCATGTACCCCAAGGCCTGATGGCCACTGGGCTCAGCCTGTCCCCCACTCCTGCCTGCTTCCCGGTGAGCTGCCCCCCACACGTGCAGCCCGGGCTGCCTCCAGGGTCTGGCTGAGTGGGATCAGGTGGCCCTCCAACTCAGCACAGGAAATAAGTAGAAACATTTCAGCAGGCCACCTCCCCTCATCTTCCCCGCCCTGTCCAGCGCCCTGGCAAAGGCTGACAACTGGCTGTCTTGGGGCCGAACAGCCCCTGCCCTGCCTCTGAGGGCCCACCAGCCTGTGCTGCATACCCACCGCCCAGCTTCTCCCTGAGGGCCCACCAGCCTGTGCTGCATACCCACCGCCCAGCTTCTCCCTGAGGGCCCACCAGCCTGTGCTGTACACCCCGTTAGTCCCTGATCCCAACCTTCTCCCTCCTGCCAGCACACCGATGCACACACCGGAAGTGGCGAGCCCAAGCCCTGGGGACAGGTGTAGGGAGAAAAGCAGCCCCAGGCCTCAGACTCGCTTCCCATCCTGGCATAGAGTGGGGGATGGCTGGAGGGTGTCTATAGGTACAGCCCGCTCTGGCTGCTGCCAGGTGGGCCCCTGCCAGGGGTCCTCACCCCTGTCCACCCTGTGCCTGGCTGTCCCTGCACCCAGATACAGCAACATGGCCTGTACCCAGCAGAGTGGTGGCACCACCATGGTTACAGCGGATGCCCCGAGACTCTGCTTGGTAAACGTGGCAGAGCAGAATGGGAGGCTGGACCCTGAGGAAGGGCCCCTCTCCTGGCATCTGTCTCTTGCTACCTAAGCCTGTGCCTCTCCCTAAAGAGCTGCCTCCCTGCTGCCGAGCCCTGGTCTGGCCACGAGCCACCACTGCCTCCCGCTGCTGCCCACAGGTGGTGCCGCCAATGGGCAGTGCCCTCAGGCCGAAGCCTCAATCCCCCATCTGAGCCAGGCCTAATCCTCTAATAGTGATGGTTGGTTTGTCCTCCCATAACTGCAGGTGGATTCCACCTGGGGAATGAGGCTGCGTGTCGGGCGTCTGCTGGCCCTGAGACATCCAGTCTTCCACACTCAACTGTGGGATGGGAGGGTGGCGTGGCCTTACCCCATGAGGCTGTCCAGGCTCTGGCACACAGCTGTGCTCACAAAATACTGGGTGGCTTGGTTAGAGCTAATTGTAGTGGAGCCTGCAGGTGAGGGTGAGGGAGGGGGCTGCAGGTCAGGTAAGATCTGGAAGACAGACGTACAGCTTGGAGGGCAGGGGGACTCTAAGGCAAGGAGATTTACAGTTGGGAAGGAGGCAGTGGCAGAGGGGTGAGGGACAGGGGCCCTTAAGTCCAGCGAGGAAAGCTCGGTGTGGGCCCGCTCTACGCTCCGTTTGGGGTGACCTGGAACGCCTCTTCTCCCAGCTCCCTCCAGCCATCAGCAGCCTCTTGTCAAGCTTCTGCCTCGCCCCAGTCTATCCCCAACCCCAAATCAAGACCACCTTTCTTCACGGTCACTATTTATTCTTTGTTCCTTTTTCTTTTTGTAAGAAACATTCACAAAAACCAGTGCAAAACCATCAGTGTGGGCGTCCTGTTTTATATTACAAAACTTCCTCTGGATATATCATATAAAAGGGGGGTCTCACAGGAGAGAAACGTGATAAATTAGCTCTGCAATCTACGGCAAGGAACATAGTTTTTAAAATAGACTTTCAACATATGACCCATGGGGGAAGGAGGAGGGGGCTTCTGGGGAGACGGCGGGTGCTGGGGCCTCGGCTGGTTTGGGAAATCCTGTCCGGGCCCCTTAAGCATGGATAGAGACATAGACAAGGGAGGCTGTGGACAGGCCTGAGCACCAAGGCCAGAAATTAACAGGGACCCTGGGGAGGGGCCCTCACCCCCAGCCCATAAAGAGCTATTCCCTTTCTCTAAGAGGCAGTAGCTTCAGAGCAGGAAAGTGGCTTTCGATACAGGCAGGGTTTGTGATGAGCGGTGTAGTCTTCTTGTTCCTTGCCCTGTTAGTGGGGTCCGAGGAAGTCTCTGTTATGGGCTGTTGTATTTCGGGGTGAAAAGAAACAAAGAGGTATCCCTGCCCACCCCTCCCCCACAACCCCAGCCACCACCAGAACCTGCTGTGGGTTGTATCTGGACCAAGCCAGCTAAACCCTGTTTCTCCCTGTGCTCTGGAGGGAGGCTCAAGCCTGATTTGGGCTGAGCTTTCTTTGCCTTGCCTCCAAGGAATGGCCTCAGGCAGTCTTGCAAATAGCTACCAGCCTGAGCGAATGCCAACAGGAGCAGAAACTGCCTGTCTTCCCTTTCCAGCCTAAGAGGGTGGCCAGTGGCTGGCTGGCGAGCTGAATCAGGGCTGATTGAGGGTTCCTTGGCACATTTGTAGAAAGCTGCTGAGGGGCAGTCTTGTGTCTGCCCTTGAACCCACCTTAGCCAGATTTCCCTTCATGACCAGCCCTTTCTCTTGGGTCCTCCCTCTGACTTCTGTGGGCCCCAGAAGCCTGGGATGCCCCTGGATTAGAGCCATAAAGCTGTGCAATTTGCCTCAGTCCTGCCCAGCATGGGTTTTTTGTTTTTTGTTTTTGTTTTTGTGTGTCATCCTCAGACCAGCCATTTGCCTCTTCCAAAAAGCTGGGGCTAAGCATGTGGGTGGTTCAAGAGGGGCAGCCCCCAGGCCCCAGGCTGGGCCGCGGTACCAGTGGCAGGTCCCCCTGGGTCTCAGGAGCTTAGCTTCTACGGACCTCAGGTGTCATTTATGGGGTTGCCAGAGCAAGCTGTTAAAGGGCGAATTTGGTAACACTGAGCTCAGAGACCTGGTGGGAGGGCAAGGACTGGCGGGCACAGCAGGAGGAGATTAGAGGAGGGTCCACCTGAATCTTTGCAGCAGGCACAGAGCTTCTGGCTGCATCTCAGAAGGGGGCAGACGCACAGGCCAGGGAACACGGGGCTCTAGGCTGTGGCTCCGAGTGTCCCTGGTGACTGGAAAGCCTGAGGGGAGGCTGGAAGCTGATACAGGATGCCGGTGGCTTGTGAGACAGAATGAGCTCTTTCTTCCTGAAGAGGGACAGAGGGGAGAGAAGAGAGCAGACATCACACTGCTCCTTCCATCCCTGCCCGTGGCAGACATCACTAATCAAACTTACGGTGCCTGGCAGACATCACTCATCAGGATTGCACTGCCGTCTCCCACTGAGCCCAGACCAAACCTCAGATCCCCAGCACAGCCTCCAGCAGCCACCCCTGATCTATCAGGGTAGGAGCATCTTGCAATCCAGTTGCCAACACTCGTCTAGAGTTTGAGAACTGAATACTTGTGGGTGTGCATCTGCGAGTCTCCCTGCCCAAGCCTGGAGGGAATACTAAGAAATGTGCGGACAGTGAAGAGACAGGAAACCTTGTTGCAGCAGAAATGGCCTCGATGCCTTCGGGATTCTTTAGCCTGGAGAGAAGAGGGCTCAGGGGAGTCAATGTGTGACCTCAACACTCCAGGAAGGAGAGTGGGCAAGTGGGATGCCATGGACAGAGCCACAGAAAAACAGAAACCTCTTCTGTGTATTAAGCTGATGCTAAAGTCAGAGCAGTCCAAAGGCAGGAGGCTGCCTTGGGAGGTAGTAAGCTCTCTGTCCCTGGAGGTATGCAAGAGGGTGGAGAAGTCTTGGCAAGGATGTTGAAGAAGATATCCAAGCCTCAGTTCTGGGTGTGGAGAGGGAGACCCAGATGATCTTGGGGATTTCTTCCACTCTTGGAGCTGGGGAGTTGGGGAAGGACAGGGAAGGGGGTGGCATGTGGGAGAGGCGGGCAGTGTGGACAAGGGAATGTGATGTGCACCTCTGTGTGTTCCTGGGGACTCAGAGAGAGGTGTGGGGAGGTAGGAGCGAGGGCGCGGTGGGAAGTCATGGAATGGTGTTTTCTTAGCTGTAGAGCAGGGAGGAGGCAGTTCCTGGCTGACTTGCCCTCTCTTGTCTGGGGGAACCGGGATGCTGAGGCCAGGGGTGCATGTGGGCAGCAGAGCTGACAGAGTCCTGGATGCAGTGACAGCAGCCTGGAGACAACTCAGCTTCTTTTCAGAACTGTCACGCCTGTGCTGTGTGTCTGTGGATGGTCACTGTCCTCTCTGGGCCTTTGAGATTATTTGGTCCAACAGATGGGGAAAGCAAGGATCCTACCAGCTGGGCCATTCTTGGATGCCGTGTTAGCAGCTCACTCTTGGCCCCGGCCTGAAGGGGGGAACAGTCCATCCTCCAGTGGACCAGGGATTGCGCTGTGGGTTCCGAGTCCTCAAAGACATGGCAGCTGAATCTCCGTGCAGCCCCTGGGCTTTGATGACTTCTCTGAGATTTGCTTTTGCCTCCTTGTTGCCTAAATCCTCACTTTCTTGGCATCAGGTCCTGGTGCAGTGAGGAGAGAGGGCCCAGGGTCTGGCTGGACCAAAGAGGGCGCTGGGCCTGGTGTTCCTTTGGTCTCTAGAGCAGCCTGCATCCTGGGCCAGTTGCTGGGGTCTCTGGAGAACCCACGGCACCTGCCCTGAGTCCAGGCGAGGATACATCAGTCCATATTTTTGTCTTCATTTTGTTTTGTTAAAAAAATAGCTCTATTCCCCTGGCCCTTCTCCTGGCCATCTCTGATGGCCTCATCTTCTCCCCTGGGGCCAAGAGGACAGCGGGGAGGGGCACGGGAGGACACTGGGTGCTGGGCAGTGGTGGGTGGGGCGAGTCTTCAGGCTTCAGGCCATACCCTCTACTGGATGCCCCGGAAGAGGCACATGGCAAAGATCATGGCGAAAAGCTGCAAAAAAAGAAAAAGAGCAGGAACTGGCTTATCAGGCTGGGCCCTTTGTGGGCTGCCTGGCCCACTCCAGGGGAAGGGGAGTGAATGCCTGTCACTCTTAGCACACTCCTCCCCTAAGGATTCCTGACATTCCCCTGGGGCCAGCCCTTCTCACCAGCCCCTACCTGGCTTCCTTTATGTGGTGGAGTCATGGACCAGGAAGACTTTAGAAACGAGTGTTGGGTTCAAATCCAGCTCCCTGACATAGCAGGGTTGTCCTTAGGCAAAGCACTTCCCTACACTGGGCCTGAGTATGTATCCAGAGCTTGCCATGTGCCAGGCACAGTTTTTTTTTTCTTTTTTGAGACAGAGTCTCACTCTGTTGCCCAGGCTGGAGTGCAGTGGCACGATCTCAGCTCACTGCAACCTCTGCCTCCCAGGTTCAAGCAATTCTCCTGCCTCAGCCTCCTGAGTAGCTGGGACTACAGGCATGCGTCACCACGCCCAGCTGATTTTTATATTTTTAGTAGAGACAGGGTTTCACCATGTTGGCCAGGATGGTCTCCATCTCTTGACCTCGTGATCTGCCTGCCTCGGCCTCCCAAAGTGCTAGGATTTACAGGCGTGAGCCACAGCGCCCAGCCAAGGAACAGTTTTAAGTGCTTTATTGGGAGGTATGTAACCTACCTGAGGTCACAGAGCCACCAGCAGGGGAGCTTGGGTTTCAGTCCCAGGCATTGTGACCCCAGAGCCCATGCTTACAACCCCTGCAGGCTCGCCTCCAGCTCACAGGAAGGTGGTGAGATTTAAGTGTAATGCAATTACCTAATGATGTAATGTGCCTCTTATCTAGAAGTTGCTCAGTAAAAGGTTACCAGGACTGCTATGAATAGGCAGGCAGCTGCAGCCCTTCCCGGAGTTATGAGCTCCATCCCTGAACACCTGTCTGAGGGCCTGGGGTGGTGGGGCAGGGAGACCCTAGCTCAGGGACTCTGACCAGATTTGCTGATGTTCTCACGGCCAGAGCTCATTGCAAGTAGCTGAGGGAACAGTCCCTAGACCACAGGTCATGGCCAAATCACCAGGAGGCTCACTGGGGTGGGGAGGGGCTACCGGGACGGGGCCATGTAAAGGTCTCCGTCTTGAGCAGGATTCTGCCTCCCATGGGGCTGGCCAGCCAGGCTCATGGGCTGGGCTGGGAGTGAGGCAGCAGATCAAGTATATGAATGCTGCTTCCTGAGCCCCAGTAGCATGCTGTCCCCGTCATCTGTAATCCCTCTGTGCCCTGGGAGCAGGGTGATCAGCCCATTTTGCAGATGAAGAAACTGTGACTTAGACATCCTGCATTTGGAGAGAGGCAGAGCTGGGAGCCGGACTCTAGGGCCCATGCTATTCCTTCATGGGACACGTCCCTGAGATTTCCCTGGGCTTGCTGCGGATTTATCTTGTTCATTGTTGCCCTCCATGAGGGGACTTGTTCAACTATAACAGTGCTGGCGAAGAATAGGGCTCAGTGTGTGCTTGTTGAATACATGAATGAATAATCAATGACCCCTCCCTCTCCGCCATCTGCAGTAGCCTCCACGAAACTGCACTCCGTGGCGCTGCAGGCACAGTGGGAAACCAGGCAAGGCGAAGTTCATGGTGCCAGGTGCCCAGGCTGCTGGAGGGGGAAGCTGAGGATTGGGCTGCCTGACTTCCTTCCCCCGCAGGCCGAGGACTGACTGAGGCCCCAGAGTGCCCCTTCCTGGGTTTGGTCAGATGTGGGCAACGCTCTGTCCAGCCCCCAGGAGCAGCAAGTCGGAGATCCCAGATGATGGAGATCCCAGAGGACAGAAACGGGAGGCGGCCGCTCCTCCCTTTGGCTGAGGCGCCACCTAGTGGTGATTGCAAACGGTCTGCAGGAGCTTACCTTTCAAGGGGACTCTGGGGCCCTCAGATAAAGGAGGCTAAGGCCACCGTTGTGGATGAATAAGGCCCTGTAGGCCCTGAACACCCCACAGAGAAAAGGCCTGATCTCAAACCACGGGCTGCAGCCTGTCCTTCAAGGCAGCCGTGCTGATGCCTCTGCAAGCGTGAAATCTCTCTGGACCATGGAGCTGGGGCGGAGGTGGGGATGAGGATGGAAGAGTGAGAGGGAGTGGGGATGACACTCAGGGCCTGCCCATCCCCATTTCTGGGACACTGGCTCCCATGTTTCATCTCCAGAGTTCAAGAATGACTCTCAGGCAGCACAGACACAGCCGGGCTTACCACCCCATAGCACCCACAGTGGGGGCCCCTTGGGTCCCAGGTGAAGGAAATGAAGAGGAAAGGAGGCTGGGGGGATCTGCCTAGGCTCCACGTGAGGCTTCATCCTGGGGAGCGGCAGAAGTGGGGGCCTTTACTTACCTCGATGGCCAGTACCCCGATGGCAAGGGCTCCGGCCAAGTAGACGTAGGTCTCGAAGGTGTTGAGGATCACCGTGTAACAGCCCTGGGAGGGAGGGATGAGAGGTCAAGCTATGGCCAGGGTTGAGAGTCCTGGAGTCAGAGTCCAGCATGTGGACTAGGGTTCATGGCAGGTGTCCCCAGAGCTCTCACCCTATCACACGGCTGCTGAGACAGGACAGTGGGGAGGGGGTGCAGGGCAGGAGACCCAGAAACAGCGACTTGGCAGCATTGCACCAAAGACCCTCTTTGCCACCCGGCCCCTAAGGTGGGACAGAGAACTGACAGCGTGCAGGCCATGTCTAATGTTGCAACTACAGTGATTGGAATATTGGGAAATTTCCCATAAATATTTGGACTTCCTGCTGCTCTGGAGAAATCAGAAGAACCAGCAAGGGGAGCTATTCCTTTTCACATCAGCAGCTGCTGCCTTCGGGTGCCAACAGGTGGTCCCTGGGGATCCACAGCACTCCACCCCTCTCCCCCGCACAATTCCCTATTGTTTCACACCCACTCGCTCTACTGTTCCTCGTGACCTGCCTGGCTGCAGAAGGTGTTTTGGTTTTCGGCCACTTCCCCAAGGAAACACAGCCCAGCCTTCAAATCCCTGCTCGCATGCCACCTCCTTCGGGCAGCTTTCTGAACCAGCCCAGTCCACAGGCCCTGGACTTAATTCCCATGATCTTACTGCTTTCTTAAGCAATCCTAGAGATACATAAACTGAGACAGAGACAGAGATCGAGATCGAGATCGAGATAGATAGATAGAGATAGGAAAAAGCAAGCTAGTGCCAAGCCAGGAGCTGCCAGTCCATGGCTGCTGCCCCCTCTGACCCCAAGCACCTCACACCTCTGTCATTTTCATGTTCATAACTCTCCCCTCCCCCATGCTGACCACAGAGACTGATGCATGGTACTTGCTTTGAATGACACGTATTTTCAAAGTGGGAGAACTTTCCTTCCTTTATAGGAGCCTGCATATTCTTTGGGCCCAGGCTGAGAACCTGCAAGGGAACAAATCCCCAGATGGGGGTGGAGAGATCATGCCCAGCCCTTTTTGGGTGACGGTTGCTATTTCTGGGCTCTGTTGAGACCGGGGATTCTTGGGTGCTGACATGCTCACTTCTCTTGTCCATCGTGCAGAAGCCCAGCCCCTTTGGCCAAAAGTAGGACTGAGGCTGCACCCAGGCAGGTGGACAGCAGGGCCTGATCTGGGACTAGTGGCCAGGTGGTGTCCTAGTACCTGCCTGGAGGCTGACCAGGAGCTGGGCAGGGAAGTCCCCCAGAAGCCCTCCCTGGAGCCCCATGGAGCAAACAGGACATACCCAGATAGAAACAGACCCCACCGGCACGACGATCTGGGTCCATGATACTCTCAGGACTGAGTGTGCATGGGAATAATCGGGGAAGTGGTTGGCAATGCAGATGCCAAGACCTCGCCCCACAACACTGGATCAGTGGGTCTGGTGTGGAGCCCAGGTATCAGCATTATAGGACGATACCCAAGGTAATTTCTAGTGATCAGGCTGTGGCCAGGCTTTGAAAGACCTCAAGCCCAGAGATGACAAGGAGAAAAGGTCTTAATTGAACCTTCAGGCCTTGTCTCTGCTGTGGCACTGGGAGCCCAGTTAAGGGCTGTATGACTGGGATGGAGCCCTAAGGGCAACCCAGGGGTTCCTACCCCAGGCCAGGCCAGGCCAGGACATCAGTGTGGCTGGGGGTCCGTTCAGGGCTGGCCCTCCATTCAGTGAGGCCCAGGGTCCATCCTGGATCTGCCAGCAGACCCATGTTGGAGCCCCAAATCCTTTGTTAAGCGAGTTTTTTAAAAATTATACTTTAAGTTCTAGGGTACATGTGCACAACGTGCAGGTTTGTTACATATGTATCCATGTGCCATGTTGGTGTGCTGCACCCATTAACTCGTCATTTACATTAGGTATATCTCCTAATGCTATCCCTCCCCCCTCCCATGTGAAGCGATTTTGAAGCATTAGAACCCTAAAATGCAGAACTATAACAGCAGAAAAACTAACCTGCTCTGCGAGCAAGGAAAGAGAGGTGAGTTGTATAGTTTTGGGATCAGCCCTGGCAGGGGATGCCTCGGCCCTCCCATCATCCCCTCAGTGTTCCACGTGCCTGCCAGCCACAGGGACATAATCCCACCTCCTGCAGCCCCAACACACACACTGGGTTTGTGAACTCTTTGAGGGGTTTCCCGGACAGGGAACAGCAATGGCCCAGGAGAGTGGTATCTGGCAATGGTCCTTAGGGCCTGGTTGCCTAGGGTCCCAGCCAGCGCTGCCACTGGCTTGCTGTGCGACCTTGGGCTATTTACTTCCTCTCCCTATGCCTCAGTTGCCCCATCTGTACAATGGGGCCATGTAGATTACCTCATGGGATTGCTGTGAGGATAAAATGAGATACTGAAGGTAAGGCACTAGGAAGAGTGTTGGCAAGTAGCAAGCTCTCAATCTCAATGCCTGTTAGGATTACCAAGGATTACCGTCCGTCTCTCTGTGCCGCTCTCTTAGCATATCCTGAGTGGTGGAAAGTGTCTGAGCATAGAGTTGGGTGTCACTGCAATATAATCACACACACACACACACACACACACACACACACAACCCCAGAAGGGGACAGGAGAAGCAGCACATCTCTTCCAGAGCATGAAATTGACTTTGACATGCCTCACCCGGGGAAACTGGCAAGAAGCCGGGGACCTTGTCCAGCAGAGGGAAGCTGAGCCCTGCTGTGTGGCACCTGGGCCTTGACAGCTCATCTTCCCCTATCAGGCTTTGGCACCAAAGACCCTTCAGGCCCCTGGACTCAACCAAGCAGCCCAGGTTGCCCAATGGAAGCTTCCCAGGAACAGAGACACCCCTGGGGAGGTTGGGGCATGGACAGGATGCCACCACCCACTCTGAATGAGTGTCTGCTCTCTTGATAACTTTGCTAGGGCCTCGTGGGCTCTTTCTCACTTGATCTCATTACAGCCCTCGGGGAGGAGGGGTCTTACCTGCATTTTACCCACAAGAAAAGGGAGGGAGGAGCAGTGGCTAACTTGTTTAAGATCACACACGAGGAAGGGAAGCCAGGATTTACACTGAGGATTCCAAATTCCCGGTCTTTCCTCTGTGCTTAAGGGAAAGGGGGCTGGCATGAGCGGCTGGGTTCTCCCTCCTATGGGCCAGGCCCTGGCTGTAGCCCAGAGCTTACATCTACACACCTGGAGATTGCTTCACCACCACCCACCATCTCCACCCCGTGACGGTTTCCCCTGTCACCACCCGGTGAGACACATGGCGGGGAGCCTCTCCCCAGCCTGCCACCACAGACTATGAGTCTTCTAACCATGTGGGCTGTTGCCAGTGCCATCCTCCCTCTCTGCTGGGTGGGCACATCCCCCACCCCCTGCTGCCACCCACAGTCACCACCCACCTAATCTGATGAGGGGCAGCCAGGCCTGGTTGCCACCACAATGGGTCACCCACACGCAATGCTTCCCACACGTACATCTCCAGCACCGACCCCTCCAGCTCCACCCCATACACCCAGCTGCCCACTGGACACCTCTGCTCAGCTGTTCCAAAGGCTTCTTTTTTTCTTTTTTTTGAGATGGAGTCTCACTGTGCTGCCCAGGCTGAAGCACAGTGGCATGACCTCAGCTCACCGCAACCTCCGCCTCCCGGGTTCAAGTGATTCTCCTGCCTCAGCCTCCCAAGTAGCTGGGATTATAGGCACATGCCACCACGCCAGGCTAATTTTTGTATTTTTAGTAGAGACGGGGTTTCTCCGTGTTGGCTGGGCTGGTCTCGAACTCCTGACATCAGGTGATCCGCCCGCCTCGGCCTCCCAAAGTGTTGGGATTACAGGCGTGAGCCAACGTGCCTGGCCTCCAAAGGTTTCTTAGACGCAACATGCCCCAGACTGAATGCAAGATCGTCCCCAAACCAGAAGCCAGTCACTCAGCACCTCCTCCTGCCCCTCCTCCAATGAGGACCCATCACGAAGGCTGGTAGATTTTGCCTCCTGAACATTTCTCAGATCCACACACCTCTCTGTCTTTACCGCCATCACCCTGGTCTTACCTGCTGTCCTTTCTCACTGGCACCAGTATAAAAGCCCCCTGTCTACCCAGGTCCACCACCAATGTGGACCAGGGGGCCACAGAGCAACTAGGATGTCCCTGTGGCCACGCCATGCATCCCTGCACACCTCACCCCCACCCCAACCCCCACAGTGAACTCAACTCTTCCCAGATCCTTGCCATGGGCCTGCCAGCAAAGTCAGAAATGTATCCTAGGGCCGGACATGGTGGTTCATGCCTGTAATCCCAGCACTTGGGGAGGCCAAGAGGGTGGATCATTTGAGGTCAGGAGTTTGAGACCAGCCTGGACAACATGGTGAAATGCCGGTCTCTACCAAAAAATACAAAAATTAGCTGGGTATGGTGGCATGTGCCTGTAGTCCCAGCTACTTGAGAGGTTGAGGTGGGAGAAACACTTGAACCCTGGAGGTGGAGGTTGCAGTGAGCCAGGATTGTGCCATTGCACTCCAGCCTGAGCGACAGAGCGAGACTCAGTCTCAAAAAAAAAAAAAAAAATGCATCCTGGGCTTTAAGCAAGAGGGCTTTGGAGGAAAAGACAAATAGAGACAGTTCCACAGCAGCAGATTTTTAACGGGACGAAATGCCTAGGAGGGACATGAATGTCTCAGCAAAGAAACCCCAGGAGCCAGTCTCAGACCCTCAGGAACAACAGAGTCACTGGAAAGAATGAATGTGGCTGTGCAGGGACCTCTCTGATGAGCTCTGATTTTGAAGACATGCCCAGGAGAGGAAAGGAGACATCCTAACGGAGGATGAGTCCAGAAATGGGAAGCACATCTGATGCGGGGAATGCGGCCCATGGGAAGCCTCCTGAAAACTTACAAGTAGCATTAAAAGGTTCTAAGTTTGGCTGTTGGCAACGGGCATCTCAAACAACAGCTCCTTCACCAAGTTACAAATTCACTGGTCTTTCACATAAACCCCACGCTATGGTGGCCGCTGTATGCCATGGAACTGTACGTGGCCCAGGCTCCTTCTCTCTGGATGCTCTGCCATCCTAGGGGCCACCTCCCTCTGCCAAGTCCTAGCCAGAGAAAAAAGGAGGGGTGGGCACAGCACTTTCTCTTAAGGATGTGACTCAAGTTGCACAAATCACCTCTGCTCACCTCCCGTTAGCCAGAACTCGGTTACATGGTCTAGCTGCAAGGCAGGCTGGGAAGTGCAGCCTCTAGCTGGTGGTCATGGGGTGTGATAACCATTCCCTTCCCAAGAGAGTAGGGGTGAATGGATCGTGGGGGGCAGCCAGCAGCCTCTGCCAACATATGGAATCTGAGGTCCAGCGAGGGTGTCTTGGCGAAGGCAACACAGCAGTTAACAGCCCACCCCTGCCTGCCATGGAAGCCTGAAACTCCCCTCCCCGCCCTGCAGCTGCTCCCCACGGCAGGTCTCTCTGCCCCACGTCCACAGTGGCCTCAACTCAGGGCCCTCATTTCTCTATTGAGCCTCTTTCCCCCAATGCAGGAAGGCAGGGTGATGAGGGACAGAGAGAACGTGGCCCTCAGGGCCTCAGGAATCCATGGGGATGTGCCAGGGCCAGAGGGGCTGAGTTCCTGGGGCAGAGCTGAGGCTGGAAAGGGCCCGCCAGAGCCCCAGGACCCAGGCCTCTGCTCACTGTCACCTCCTCTGGGACTTTGCAAGTTCTGCCTTGAGCCCCCACCCAAGGCCCATTCTAGCCCCTCATCTGGTTTTATTTCTTCGCAGCAATCATGACCATGTGAAATGATTACTTCTCATTAGTTTGCTGCTTGTTCATCTTGCGCGTCCTCTAATGAGATCGTGAGCCTCGCAGGAACAGGGGCCTTGTCTCCTGTCCCCTGCTGTGTCTCTTGCATCTGGAACTCTCCATGAGACCCTCGTTAAAGTCCTACTCAAGCAAGGGGGCTGGGGCCCAGGCTTAGATCACCCTCGTCCTCTCCCTCCCTCTCCTCCTGCCTAGCCTGGTCACACACCCACACTGGCAGAGTGGGGGCTGGTCAGTGGGAAGAAGGGGATTAAGAGCAAGGGCATTGTGAACTCATAAGGGTGTGTGGGCAGGAGGCACACAAAGCCAGGCGCTTGTCTTCCCTAGAAATGGCACGTGCAGGAAGGGAAAGGGTTTCTTCCAAGGCTGCGAGGAAGTCCTCAGGTTGCAAGAGAACCTGAAGTCTAGGAGCTTCTCTGACCTTGGAGAGTCAGGTCAAGGAGACCTTGCTCCCTTAGGGTGCCCCACATGGCAAATAAGAGCTTCCTCCAAAATACAGTGCATGGCTAAGAAGGGCCCCCCACTGTGCAATTCTGGTTCTGTCCCCCTCCCTCCCTTTGGACCTGCATTATCAGAAACTCAGGAAACATCGGGAAACTCCTACTCACCCCTTAGCCCCAGCCTGAATGCCCACTCCAGCGGCAGACCATCTGCCACTGTCATCCTTCCCCATTTTGGTTGGATCTCAGGGGCTTGGACAGAGAGCCTCCATCAGCCCCTGCTCAGGTGCAGGCATCCCATATCATGGCCAACACTTCCCTGGGATTCCTGGGGTAGCTTCAGACCCTCTGGGGTGATAGCGCCTCCCACCCAGCTCTGGCCACCCAAATCCCGATAGACCCACTCCCCTGTCTGGAGAGCAGGGCCAGTACCTGCTTGTTTAGGAATAGGCTCCTTCCCAGGAGGCACTCCTCCCGGCTCAGCAGGACCCCGTCCCGACTTTGGGGTTCCCTCCGGCAGCAGGCCTCCGGCACCTCTTCACTATCCAGGGTCAGGAGTCGAAACACAGATGCAAACTTAAAGTCTTCAGGCCCGTTGACCCCGCAGCAACCAAACTAGGGGGAGATCCCAGAGAAGGTTCTGGTGGGCAGGAGGAGGACACAGGGGCGGGGACAGAGAAGGACATACAGCCTCTGCAAAGGAGTGGCAT
This sequence comes from Homo sapiens, assembly GCF_000001405.40. Lineage (NCBI taxonomy): Eukaryota > Metazoa > Chordata > Mammalia > Primates > Hominidae > Homo > Homo sapiens. The sequence goes on along the minus strand of NC_000011.10, from coordinate 44,919,721 downwards.
CAGAAGACTGGGTGTGGGCGGGCTCCACCTGTCACCACTGTGTGACCATGGGAAAGCCACTCAGCTTCTCTGGGCCTTCAGTGTCCTCATCTCTATAACAGAGGTGGCAGTAACAATTCCTACCTCACCAGGCGCTTAGCCATCCATAAACAGTTGCTGTGGTTATTATCATCATCATAATGACCATTGCTTGGGGACCCAAGACAGGGAGAGCAAACAGGTTTCATCCCGAGTAGGGACTGTGATCAAGTGGCATGGCTGCCTGGAATGCTGCGTGGATGGTGATTCCAAGGCCAGGTCTGTGATCAATGGGAGAGTGCCTGGATTGATTACTGATGCCTGGCGTGGGCATGTGAACACTGGGCATCGTGGCTCTGAATGTTCATAGCATCTCTGGGGCGTCACTCACTGTGATCATGACCGAGTTCCAGGTGGCAGAGAAGACGTCTGTGTCGTTATTGCCCTGGTAGTGCTTGGTGAGCTCCTTGGTGAAGAATTCTCGGGTGAGCTGGGGGCAGAGGGAGAAGATGGGCTTAGGCCTGGCAGTTGGGTGCAGCCCCCACCCTCCATCGTCTCTCCATCCACCTGCTTGGGAGTTGGGGGAATGAGAGCTAGGGGCTCTGCATCCTGGTGCCAGGTCCCCTGGGATTCTCCTAAACCACCAACTTGGGGCAGTCTTCTTATCCCCAGTGGAGAAAGGAAGTCCATACACATGCACATCTCGGTGGAGCCGAGGTCAGGGCACGCTGAGGACCTCACTCCACCTGCAGCTCTGCCCAGAGGGAGGGCTTATCTGGGTGGGGAGTTTGCACCTCACCCCACCCCTTCCACCTGAGCTGTTCCCCAGACAGAGCCAAGCAGATGCCCTGGGTCCCAGGGCCTGAAGAAGCTACAGGACCGGGCAGGAAGTCTTTGTACATCAGTTTCCAGAGGAGTCCTCCACAGTTTCTCCTACTCCCAAAATATTCTCCTTCCCTCCTGCTGCAGTCAAAGGCTAGGGCCCTGGGTGGTGCCCAGCAGAGGAGACCATCTGGGCACCATTGTCTGCTCACAGGCTGTGGTGGCCTCCTCCTCTGCTCCGTGCTGGCTACCCTCCCCGCCCGCCTCCTCTACCCCAGGGCCATTTTGTGTCTCCTGCCCCATTGCCCCTCCTCCCCTCCCATCTTTCTCCAACCCCCCGCCCCAGTCTCCCTTTGGCTATGGTGCCTGGCTCTGGTCAACTCAGGGGAGGCAGCTGGCACTCCAGCTGCCTGTGGCCTCTGGAACTTGGTGGCTTGTGGGGCCAAGGTACCCAGGAGGATACCAGCCAGGGCCTCCTCCGAGAGCAGTCTGCCCTGTGCTCCTACATTCCAGCCTCTCCGACTATTCTGACTGTCTCACTATCACTGGGCCGTTACTAGGCAAGGTTTGGAAGGGATGTTTCCAGAATAAGGTATGGGGTTGTACCAGATGCTTTGGGAGCAGAGAAAAGCCCTTGCAGGAACAGGCTTACTGGGGTCTCTCCCTGGTCTGCGGGGCCTTGCCAGGCGGGTGGGGCCATGACTTGGGCTGGAAGTGCCAGATGAGAGGCTGCCCACTCTCTGAGACCCTTCAAGGAGGGGAGGAGCCAGACCTGAATGGCCACCAACCCCTTGCTGATAGCAGGAGGCAGGAAAGCTTGGGGCCTGATACGTACATTTTCCCTGAAGATGAAGGCCAGGATGGCTGCTGAGAGCTCTGCCAGGAAGATGATCAGGATGAACAGGAAGAACTGCAGGGAGAGGAACAGCCTTGTGAGCCCAGAGGGCAGGCAGGGGATGGGGCGGCCACTGGCCAATGCATCCGTCCATCTGTCACACCAGTGACGCAGTATACTCATTTTGTAAGATTAAGGCACTCCACTGCTATCAGACATTTTTCATAACAAACACACCAGTGATTCCTCCTTGGAGTCAACAGGATTGAGATCAAAATATGAAAAGAATAAACAAATATATACCTTCCATGCAAATGGTACCCTTAGAGAGGCCCCTCGTACAGTGTGCAACCTGAACAACCCTACTCAGCCACCCTGGAAGGAGATCGCTGATGAAACCCGTTTGAGCCCACTCTGGGTAAATTTCCTTCTGGGTAGGTTGTACGGGCTGCGAGAATCCTGAGTGCCTTGGGGATCCCCAGCTGGATTTCCCCACCCTGCCAGCCCCAGGGCCACCTCTCCCTGCCCCACTGCCTCTGGTTCCCATGGGAAGTGGGGAGGTCACATAGACCTTCAGCCAAAACCCAAGGAATAAGATTGGAGGGAAGGTGGTATGACTACCAAATCTCAAAACCCATGGGCCAGGAGTTTGGTATCTAACACAGTCTTCTGCTCCACTCACTGAATTTGATGTTCCCTGAATGAACCACAGTGCCTCTCATTTCGGGGACCTCACAGGCTCTGTTACCTCTGCCAGGAAGGCACTGCCCTTCCTTGCCCACCAGTTCCTCATTTCTCCAGATCAGGTGAAGCCTCAGCCCCTCTCCTGGTGAGAAGCCTTTCCTGACTTCCCTAAGCAGGGAGAACCCTCCCTCTCCTGGGCTCCCCCGCACCACAGTGCCTAACAGAGGTGCCCGCACGGCCTTAGCACAGGGGCTGTCACTCAGCGCGCTGCCTGCTTGGATGCCTGGGTCAGCACAGGTGTTGGTGCAGGACTCTTACATGGATGAATGAGCCGGGGTGGAGCACTCGCCATGAAGGCCCTGTGATCTGCCACATCACCGGCCCTGGTCATTGTGTGGTTTCCTTTGGGCTGAGAGCTGTCAGCAGAAGAAACTGGCTTTGCCTTCATTACTCAGCATAGCTGGTGCCCTTGACAAAGTCCGTTGTCACCCTATCTGGAAACCACCAGCAGAGGACTTTATCTCTGGCACACACAGAGACTGGTTCTTCCATGCCCTCCCAGGCACCCAGGCAGCAGCCAGACCTGCTCTCTGGGGTCCCAGTCGTTAGGACCGCCTGCCTGCCTGCCTGCCCCCGATGTGCCAGGCTGGAAGGAGGCAAAGGGTGTTGGGCTTCAAGTCAGGACACCTCAGGGCCCACCTTGTCTGTCCTCGTGTGTCATGGGACAACCACTCATACAAACCCCTTCCAGCCTCAGTTTTCTTGCCAGAAAAATGGGGATGTGGAGACCCACTTCTGGGGATTCCCCGTGGGGAATCACGAGGCATGTGAAAGCATTTCCCCTGTTGGAAATGAGCCAAGCAGAGCTTGGCATTGGGCTCTCATGTGCAGAAGGGGAGTGAATGTGGGCCACGAGCAGGATCCTCTGTGGCCTCCGAGGCCCGGCTCCTGGTGATGCACTGGCCTCCTCACAGATGCTCTGTGGGCTGCTGACAATACCTTCAGGCGTCTCTCTCCTGGAATGTGCCTCTTGTGATCAGAGGAAGATTTCTGTCACTTTATCCCCACCCCAGGGAGACCCCAGTCCAATTCCCTCCCTGATTCTTCAGCATCCACAGCGGCTGCCTTCTAGAGGTCCCGAGGCCTCTCCAAACTGTGTGGGCCAGGGTCCACCTTAGTGAGCGCCTCGGGAGGAGTATAGAATCTGTCCATTCAGCACACGGACATAAAACATCTCCGAGGCCTGGCAAGTGGGTTTTAGTTTTTTAAGTGTCCAAACCTAAAGAGAGCCCCTTGCTTCAGCAAAGCAGCCCAGCCCGTGGCGGGGATGTGTCACTCCTCAATCCTGCGTTTTGCTGGCTGGTTTCTGTCCCCAGCCACCACATCAAGTCTGCTTCAGCCCTCAGATGCACCATGGGCTCCTGAGCCCCTGAGGTCTCACTGGGCTCCAGCTGCTCCGACACAGGCTTCTGCTCTCACAGGGGACCGCCGGGCACCGGACGCTGTTCTCACGGTCTCTTTTTTGTGTAGTTTCCCCTTTTCGAAGTTGAGGAAGCTGAAGCTGGAGAAGGGAAGTGACTACTCCACAGGTGCAGAGCTCTTTGGAGCTTTGCAGAAAGAACACTCCCCTCCTGGCCCAGCTGCCTTTTCAGAGCGCCAGGCTGTGTCTGCTCCCTGATGCAGGGCGAGGCTCAGGGATTGCTCTGTCACTCTCTTCTGAGCCCATGAGTCTGTCTCCACAGGTCAGCAGGTTGCCTGGCTGAGGTTTGCTGGGTGGCCTGCTGGCACATCTGGATGAGGGACACCAGGCCAGATGCTCCTGTGCTTCCTGAAGAAGGGACTGACCTCCAGCTGAGGTCAGGGAGCAGAGTTCCCCAACCAGTGCAGAGTATGATGAGGGTGGGGTGGGGGAAGCCTCCTGTGCCCCAGGTCACAATGCCCATGGTCCATTCTGCCACTCCTACAATTCTCATTTCCAGGAGGGTGGGGGGCTCTGGGCTCAGTGGCTGCTGAGTGATGTGTTTTCTGCCTCTGCAGCCTCGCCTCCCCTGTGACAGTGACGGAGGCCGCTGGCAGGGGTCCTGGCATTTCCATTTGGCTGGTGATGGATGGCCATCCGCTTCCATTACATGGGTCCTCTATGAGGAGCCCCTCCCCACCCTCTGCCCTCTCACTGGAGCCACTGGCAGGTCCCCAGGCTGGCAAGGAGCAGCCTCAGAAATGGTTTCCATCCACGGCAATGAGCTGGAGCTGGCGTGCCCACCAGCCTCGGCCTGGACAGTGATAAATAATGGACGAAGCAGATCACAGGCCTCGTGTACTCTGTGTGCCCGTCACTCTGGGATGTGTGTGTGCCATCCAGGATGACTGCGCATGGCTTCCACGAGGTAATGCAGGTGCGGTGCTTCTCGCAAGACCGGCATGACATGAGAGCTGCTCAGATGGTTACTTAGAGCCCAGAGGAAGCACATCCTTCCCGAAGACAAGTGCTGGTGTGGGCGGCTCTGGAAAAATAGCAATAGCTACCTGCTGAGTCCTTGCTACCCAGACACTGCGGATCTTACATGGATCATCTCATCAAGCCCTCTCATCTAGTGAGACAGATGCTATTATCAGCAACACCCCCATTTTACTGAGAGCGGATTGTGGCTGAGAGGAACAGTACTCGGCCCAAGCTGGCATAGCTGGTGGGCAGTACCTCTGGGACTTCACCCCAAGAACTCTGATTGCAGAACACAGCCTCTCATCACCATGTTACCCTGGAAGCCACAGGAGCCCCGAGGTCTTATGGTTTCTACATGGCCTGCAAAGCCTCCTGAGGCTCAGCACCAATTCTTCTAGTTTCCCATTTATAGAGTGCTTAGGCATCCCACAAACACAGCCAAGCAAAACATGCATTTCCCACTGGATCATGAATGCAACACTATGGCTGGGAAGGAAGTATGATTATCCTCATTTTGTATATGAGGAATCTAAGGTTTAGAGTGGTTAAGTGACCAGCCCCAGGTCATACAGCCAGGAAATGACAGAGCAGGAGTTAGAGCCCGGGCTTTTCTGACTCCAAAGTCCATGCTCTTAGCCAAACCTCTGCTACCACCTCCTCTCTGTTCCTTGGCTCCGGGGCTGTTTACTGAGCACCTGCTCTGTGCCAGGCACTGTGCTAGGTATTGGCAAATAAATGCATACAAGGCAGACTCAGTCCCCATCTTCATGGAGTTTCCATTGAGCTGAAGCATCAGGAGATGAGATATAAGAATAAACCTGGGAAGCCGTGGACTGGAGGAAGTGGGCCTCCCCAAGCCCAAGGCCTGGGCATGACTTGAGTATGTGGGAGTGTGAATCCTGTGAACCAAAGTGCAAGGCTGAGGTGCCCATGGCAGTCACAATGCCACCTCTGCCAACTCGCCCTTCTCCAGCATGAAAATGTCCTCCTGCTTAAGACAGTTTACCAGTGTTAAAGTCCTTTGGGGAATTCCCCTGGACCCAGCCATTCCTGGGGCTTCCCCTCATCAAGGCCTTTCCCAGGGTTTGCATCCCATTTGCCTAAGGACACCTTTGTCAGCCATTCCTGATCCTCTAATTTGCATCACTTTCCTTAGGATGGAAAAATTAGCAAAGGGGAGGAAACTGCTATGTTGTCTAGTTGGGAACATTTCCAGGCTTTTCTAACCCATCTGCTTATAGGCAATGTCTGCTCACAGTTCCCATTTCTAATAAATATTTACCAAATTTACATACTGCATGTACAATTCAGCTCATTTATCTTTTTTGAATATACTCATCTCTTTTTGCTGTTCTTTTTTCCAGTTGAGCTTGCCTTCATTATAAAATATTTTTAAAATTAGAATTTTTAAATAAGTTGGCTTAAAAAAATCCTTGAAATACTCAAAGGTAAGCAAATGAGAAAAAGGGATGCCACAAATTTTCAATAGGAGGCTGAAATTGTCCTATTGCATGTGAGTGCTGTAATACTGATCAACACGAGTATTTGGGAAATGGACCTTTAGATAGATAAATTGATCATTAGGTGGTCTGGTCATTAGACTGATTGTCCCCAGGTCCTGTAGGACTTCAGTCTCAGAGCAGAGGGAAGGGGACAGTCAGCCCCATCTCAAGGCCTCCTTGCTTTGTGAACCTTTGAGCCAGGTTTCCTGGGCTGACTAAAGTCACTCTTTTGGCCCCTCTCAAGACAAGCCTTCTCTCCTTTCTGACAGGCTGAGAAAGCAGTGAAAGGCTTCTAGAAGGATCCCAGAAGCTGCCAGGGGTGAGGCTCCATGCCCTCTTCGGTTGGAACCACCACACAGTTAGGTCCAGGTTCAGCCGGGAAGGGAGAAGTGGTTTTTCTTATTTTTTAGGGCATAAACCTTTTTGAAAACCTTCCAGAAACTTTGGTGCCTTTCTCTGGAAACACTCACAGAACCCCCCCAACCCCCATGCACACAACACACATGCACACACAACACACATGTGCACACACAGGCACATGTGCACATGCATATATATGTGCACCCACGCACACATGACACCCATGCACATGTAACGCCCATGCACGTATAACACCCATGCATGCATAACACCCATGCACATACAACACCCATGCACGTGTACATATGCACAAAGCAATGCACACATGTACACACAAACACACACGATAGAACACAACATACATGCACATACAACACACGTGCACATACACACTGTACCCATACACATGAGTATGCACACAATCCATGTATACACAATACACATACACAGGACCTGACATAACATAACATTTTGCATATAATTTTAGGTAAATTTTGGAGTCCATTCCAGGCTATCCAGAGCCTGTGGATAGCCCTGGTCTGGGAGCCAGAAGACCTTGATCCAAGCGTCCTTTGCCTCTGACCCACACTGTGACCTCAGGCTTGTGTGGGCGGGGCCCTAGAGAGGGGAGGGCAAGCAGGGGAAGTGGAGAGAGAGACAGGGAAACGGGGAGGGAGAGATCAGGACAGGGACAAGGAAAGGGCGTAGGAATAAAAACAGAGATCAAGAGAAAGACAAGGCCAAGTGTGTGGTGCCCGCCTGGAATCCCAACACTCTGAGAGGCCGAGGCGGTGGATCATTTGAGCCCAGGAGTTCAAGACCAGCCTGAGCAACATGGTAAAACCCTGTTTCTACAAAAAATACAAAAATTAGCTGGGCGTGACAGTACGTGCCTGTGTTCCCAGCTACTCGGGGGGCTGAGGTGGGAGGATCACTTGAGGCTAGGAGGTTGAGGCTGCAGTGAGCTGAGATCACACTGCTGCACACCAGCTTGGGCCACAGACTGAGACCCTGTCTCGAAAAAAAAAAGGACAGAGATGGGGAGGACAGAGGCAGAGAGGAAAGGGAGCTACACAGAGATAGGCAGAAAGAAGGGGGACAAAGGGAGAGAGGCGGGGGTGGGGAGGGGAAGGGGAAGGATCTGCCATCAGGCCTTGTCGAAGGGCCCCCAGCCTGGCAGCCAGGATCACCTCTCTCGGGAGGATCGTGGACACATCTCCTACCCCTGGGCCTCAGTCCTGCCTCGCATAGCACGGGAGGGAGGACGTCCTGGGGCGGCTGGCAGGTTTGCAGGCAGCCACTTACTGGAGGAGACTAGAGCCGCTCCAGCCTGCTCCCAGCCAAGAACACCAGCCTGGCTTCCTGTCTTGGCTTCAGAGCCGAGCCCATTAACAATGAATGAGTCCCTGGGGGCCGAGGTGAGGAGGGGGAAAGGGAGGCTGGGTCTGTTCTGGGACCCATATCCAAGCTCCTTTTAAAGTCCCCTCGGGCTCCCCAGCCAAGACTTCTGCGAGCACCGTGACAAGCTGTAGAGAATTGTCCACCAGGGGGCGCTCAAAGTTTTTCTTTGTTTCTCTTCAAATGAAGTCTGCAGTGTTTGCGCTGTTGAAGGACAAATAGGCCCAAGGCTCCTTGTCACTCATTTCGCAGCTGACTTCACTTCCTTTGGATGGGGAGCATCTCACCGGGACACAAATGGGGCCGTGCAGTGTGCTCTCGTCTGGGGAGGAGGTATGGTGCCAGGTCTCTCCTCCCAGCACTGCTGGTGCTGGCTTATCTACAGAACCTTGCAAGGGAGCCCCCCAGCCAACCAGCCCAGTTCTCCCTGTCATTTAACTCCGCCCACGAATTCGCCCATGAGGAGCATCCGCAAGCTTACCCAGACACACCCACGCTTCTCTAAACAGGGCTGTTTTTAACTTACCCTGTAGCGGGACTGGGCTCAGCCCAGAAGTTCTCCAAGTCCAGGACCTCTTAGAGAAGACCCATCCACCCAGCACAGGAAAGCAGGCGGAGGCCCCAAGCGCCACCACCCATGGGAATCCAGGAGACTCGAGAACGAGAAGACCCACTGCTTGTCTGGTTTGGCTGTGATCTATAGCTGAGCTGGTCGGCCCCCTCGTTTAACAAGAAGACATGGCTGCTCTGGGAGGTTGGGGAACTAGATGGGAGGCACACCCTTAGGGGATGGAGCAGGGAGTACCCTCAAACCAGGCCTGCCCACTGCCCAGCTCATCCGCACGGCTCGGCTGCCTCCCCTGTGCCTGTCTGTGAGGGAAGGGACCATCACTCCTGGTCCCCGACATATCTTCAGCACCCAGTGAACTACATGCGCATGATAGGAGTTCAAGGGCTACTTACTTGATGAATAAGAAACCTTCAGAGGCCATATCATACCGTTTCAGAATTGCATATCTACAAGGGGAAGGCCTCATCCACTAGGCATCTTAGCGATGTTACTAAGGAGTTATATATTAGAGTTTTTAATAGCAAGCAAGTGGAAAAACATCAAGGTCAATGTCAGTGCTCTCAGCTGACCATGCCTTGGAGAAACCTGGTTGTTCAGACCTGGATGCCAAGGCCCCCGCCATCTGGGCCAGCTCACCCACTGCAGGCACGGGCCCACTGCAAAAGCAGGCTCTGGAAGCTGGGGCCACCAAGGCAGATGGAAAAGGCTGGGGACCGCCCCACCCCTGGAGGTGGACCTATGTGGCACAAACCTTATTCTGAGTTTCCTGGCATGCGGACACAGACTAGGTGTGTGTTAAGCCAAGGGTCCTGGATTGACTGCAGGAAAGCAGCAAAATGAAGTGGGAGAGAGGAAGGGCTACCCCAGGGAGAAAACAGGTCCCAAAGGCATGGGAAGAGGCAGCCTGAGGCACTGCAGGGGCCCTGACCTAGCGTCTGTATCATCCCCTCTGCTGCCAACTCCATGGGACTCTGGGCAAGTTGCTGAATGTCTCAGGGTTTCAGGACCATTGACTACCAAATGAGTGGGGTCAGACGTGCTCATCTCCATGATCCCTTCTGCTTTGACAGCCCGCCCCAGTTTGGGAAGCACTGGTCTGAATGGAAGCCAGGCAGGGCCTGGGAGTCTGCAGCCAATCCCTGACACCCCTCAGAGCACCCATGGATGGGGTGGGGGCTGGGGTACTCACAAATAGCAGCAGACACTTGTTCTCACGGACGGCCCCGCAGCAGCCCAGGAAGCCGAGCAGAAAGAGCAGGCCCCCCATGGCCAGGAGGATGTAGGCGCCCGTGAGGAGCAGAGGATTGGCAGCCACGATCTCCCGGAAGCCGGTGGGGTCCACCATGACCCAGATGCCGATGGCCAGCAGGCAGGCCCCGCCCAGCTGCTCGGGCCAGTGGAGGAGTTGGGAGGAGAAACAGGCAGAAAGGGAGGTTAGGCACTTCTGACCCACCACTCCCCTGAGCCAGCCCCAGGGTCAGAGGCATCAAGCACTAGGTGAGCCAGGCAGGAATTCACCTGCGGCGAGAGCCAGTGAGTCCCAGCCGCACCTTGAATTGCTTTTAATTTTTCTAGCTGCCGTGACCTTAAGTGCAACACGCATCCTCTAAATCCAATTTCCGACCCAAGCCCCACCTCGGGCTGTATCACATAAAGGCTATTTGCCAATTTTATCTTCTCTTGAAATGTCAGACCTGTAGGATTAGGAGGTCATCTAGTCCAACCCTCTGATTCCATACAGAGGGAACCAACAACTTGCTGAAGGTCACACAGCAAGTTCATGGCAGAGTCAGAGTTTGGTCGCAGGCCCCCTGACTCCAGCCTCAACACCCTAAACAAAGGTCCATGAACATGCTCTGAGTCAGCCCTATGCTGTGTTTGCACCACCCATGCTAGGGGCTGGGAAGACACAGACCAAGTCATCGTCATTGTCCCCCATGGGACTCTCAGTGAGGTTCCAACTTGAGAGTGGGCTCCCCACTCTCAAATCCATAGCTCAAAAGATTTCTTATTTATGTCTCCATCAACATGGGCTCTCTATGCCTTATTTATCTTTGGAAAGAGGCAGCGTAGTCTAGAGAGAGAGCTGTGCCACTTATTAGTTGTGTGACCCTAGGCAAGTGTCAAAATCTGTCTGAGCCTTTTAGCTTCCTTGTGGTCAAAAGAAGACTCAAACACCTTCATCCTAAGGCAGCCCTAAGGAAGAAAGGATAGAAGGCGTTTAGCAGATTTCAATAAATATCTGCTCCATTTTTCTTTTTCTTTCTTTCTTTCTTTCTTTCTTTCTTTCTTTCTTTCTTTCTTTCTTTCTTTCTTTCTCCTTTCTCTCTCTCTCTCTCTCTCTTTCTTTCTTTTTTGAGACAGTCTTGCTCTGCTACCCAGGCTGGAGTGCAGTGGCGGGATCACATCTCACTGCAGCCTTGACCTCCTGGGCCCAAGTCATCCTCTACCTCAGCCTCCCAAGTAACTGGGACTACAGGCACATGCCACTACACCCGGCTAATTTTTGTATTTTTCTATAGAGACTGAATTTTGCCATGTTGCCCAGGCTGGTCTCAAACTCCTGGGCTCAAGTGATCCTCCTGCCTTGGCCTCCCAAAATGT